>NC_000006.12:46423636-46726666 GCF_000001405.40 Homo sapiens | reverse complement strand
CTCCAAAAAAAAAAAGTTTGTGTTTTTGTATTGACCAGTGATTGGGGTTATGGTAATAGATTTTCATACAATATGATGATGAAGACGGCTGTATCAAGGGTTTTAGTGTAGTCCTGTTGGATTCTCTAGTTCTAAGAGAATGTCTAAAGTTACCATTAAGTTTTTCAGGGTCCTAGTTCTTAAATATAAATACATTTCTAGCTAACTCATATCCCATGGTTGAGAAAAAGGCACTTATCTGTGTAAAGAGAACTTTAAAAGTTAAAAGACTTCTTATGAATTATTCCTGTGTGTTCATATTCAGAAGCCTCTGTGGTCATTGTGATTATTACATGTTAATATGGTTCCTGGCTCATAACTCCCGTTGCCCTTGCTACAGTCTTTGGTTATAATATTGGAGTGCTTTAGACCCCAGAAGCAGGTCTCAGAAAGCAGAATCTTTCTCTCTGACCTTTTCCTGCCTTCCTTTCACCTGCCCAAGGCAGGACTCTAATCTGATTGTAGGTTATAAGACCCTTATTCAGGGAAGGGTCCTCTTACCTTGGAAAAAGGAATGCTGCACAGACAGACCAAGAAGAATCTGAATAGACAGGGCTTGCTGGGTTGCCCCTCTGAGTCTATTAGCATTAGAGCTTACCCTTACTGTCCAGTCATATTTCTACACAGCTGTTCATACTTTGTTGAACCTATGCATAAAAATAGACAGTTTCCCCTGTATCTTTGGGTCTTCATTCTGAAGGCTCCTTGTGAATACACATTAAATAAATAATCTGCCTTTTACAAGTTGATTTTTCAGTGACCCTTCAGAGGTCCAAGGGGAATGCCACCCGTGGCCCCCTTGGCCCCTTCAGTGTGCATGTATTCGAGCCTAGAAATGCCTCTGGAAAAAAATCTGTTAGCAAGTCATTATTTGCGAAGAGATAACTCAATTTACCTTTTTCTGTTATGTTTGGATTTTTGAAATCATGTATTAACTTTATAATATAATTAAATGTAATACTGAAATAAGATCAAATAAAATCAACCAAAATTATAAATAATCTTAAAGAGTTGCACATATATACCTTTTTTTTCTGATCAAAAGAAAGATGTTGAATAAGGAAATACAGTCCCTCTGCAAGTAGTT
This sequence comes from Homo sapiens, assembly GCF_000001405.40. NCBI lineage: Eukaryota > Metazoa > Chordata > Mammalia > Primates > Hominidae > Homo > Homo sapiens. The sequence goes on along the minus strand of NC_000006.12, from coordinate 46,725,540 downwards.
TAAGAAGTTTTGGCTGGACACGGCGGCTGATGACTGTAATCCCAGCACTTTGGGAGGCCAAGGTGGGCAGATCATGAGGTCAGGAGATCAAGACCATCCTGGCCAACATGGTGAAACCCCATCTCTACTAAAAATACAAAAATTAGCCGGGCATGGAGGTGGGCACCTATAGTCCCAGCTACTCGAGAGGCTGAGGCAGGAGAATTGCCTGAACCCAGGAGGCAGAGGTTGCAATGAGCCGAGATCACACTACTGCATTCCAGCCTGGGTGACAGAGTAAAACTCTGTCAAAGAAAAAAAAAAATTTAGAGCTCCAGCAACACATTTACCAGCTGCCTATCTGGGTCTTTCTAGCCTGTACAATAGGAGCTGCCCTTACACGAAAGCCCCATCTCTTTGAAATCTTTCTGTCTACATTCCTGTTGCTCTCAGAACTTGTACCATATCATCTAAGAATTATAAAATGCCCCTGTAATTTGCTTTCTTCCTGTATTATATTGTTAATATATGCTAGTCTTGTCTCTGAAACACAATTGTAAACTCTCTGAGAGTAGGGATTGTGTCAAATTCTCTGGTACTTACCACAGTTGTTGCCATAGGAGAGGGCATATAGTATTTGCTTAAGAAATACCCTTTGATTGAATGACTGCAGATCTGATAATCAGGATAGGCCATGCTGTGCTCCATTAAGGCAATAACAGCTTCACCTGGAAATTTCAGTGGCTTAACACAGCAAAGGTTTATTTCCCATTTGTGAAAGGTCATTTGAATTGGCAGGGGCTCTTCTCTGTTCAGTGACTAGGTATCCAGGCGTCTTTCACTTCAAGACTGCACTACATCAGCACATGATTTCTAAGTTTGCTGTGTCAGGGAAAGGAAGGCATGAAGGAGATACAGTGACTCTGTTGCAGACGACTTCTGTTCAAATTTTTGTTTCTCAGGAATTAGCCCCATGGGCCCAGCCCAACCACAGGGGCGGCTAAGAAATGTAGGGAAGCACATAGATGTTCAGGAGCACTCATTGTCTGTGCCACACATCTATATTACATCTTCCCGCAAAATAGCTATACTAACGAGTGCTTCATTAGTGTCAGTGGGACACCGGATCATTAAACTTGGCTCGGTTTGTATTAGTAACCAGATGTGCTAGATTTATTCACTCAGCAGGCATTTACTGAGTGCCTCTGTACACCAGGCACTATTCTAGGTCTTGGGAATACAGCAGGGGGAAAAACCATCAAAAATCCTTACACTCACAGAACTAAGTTTTTAGTGGAAGGTGATAAACAACTAACAAATAACATACAAGGTACGTTAGTTGGTGATAAATATTGGAGAAAAATAAAGTAGGGAGGGAAATAGGGAATGTATTGGTGTGAAGAAGGAGGTTAGATTGCAATTTTAAATAGATTGAACCGGGAAAGTGTCACTGAGAAAGTATCACTGGAGCAAAAACCCGGAGGTGAGAGGACCAGTCATTTGGGTGTCAGAGCAAAGAGCATTCCCATAAAAGGGAACACATTCAAAGCCCTCAAAGTGGGGATGGAAGGTGGGTGTGGAGTACTTGGCATGTTTGGTGAATGGCAAAGAAGCAAGTGTGATTGCAGCAGGTGTCCAAGAGGGGCTAGGGGAAGGATTGGGAGTGTGTTGAGTAAAGGTTATGTAGATCATTATAAGCTATTTTGGGTGAATGGCTTCTCCCCCGTAACATATAACACCATTTGGGGGTTTTGTGCAGAAGGGTGACACAATCACTCTGGCTGCTGTGTTGGGGATAGATTTTAGGGTCAAGGGCAAAAGCAGGGAGACTCGTTAGAGGTGATGGCAAATTTTAGGTAAGAGATGATGGTGGCTTGGACCTTTTCTATCCCCCACAAAAGTTGAAGGGCCAAATTTTAGGGGGGAAAATGGATGCACAAATGCAAGATAGTTTTTGCTAATAAGATGTTAGCATACAGACTAATTATAATTTATTATTACCACACATCTCATATTCTCTTGTTTCATTTACTGATTCAACAAGCATCTATGCAATACTACTTCTTCCAGGCCCTCTATTAGGCACTGAGACAACAAATAAGACCTGACTTCTGCTTTTTGGAAACTTATATCATAGTAGGATTATAGAAATTAGCAAGAATATAACATCATATTAACACCCAAAACAACCACAGCAGCAGAAATATAGTCACTATATAATTAAATGATGGAAATAGCCAAAATTTATGAATTATTTACTATGTGCTAGACATACCTATGGATATTATTATGATGATGACAGATGGTTGTTATATTTGTTATATTTTGTTGGCTATTTTTATAGCTGACCATACTGTTATAAAGTTAGAAAACTAGTGACCAAAAACTTAATCTAACTGTCTGAAAGTATTATTTCTCTGCTCTACAATCCAATGTAATCCTTAGTAATGTAGGTAATGGTAATCCTACATTACCAAGGATTTTACCATTGTAGTACCAATCTAAAACCCAGCACAGAAAATACATGTTTTATTTTTTCCAAGTGTTACTAGTACCTCAGCCTTTCTTGATTTGTCAGCTTATTTAAGGCCTCTTCATTGCATACTTCTTTTTTCTTTTAATCATCTGCTTCGAAGGAGACTAAGCTGAAACTGCTGCTCAGCTCCCAAGATGGTGCCACCCAAATTGCATGTGCTTTTCTGCCTCTGCGGCTGCCTGGCTGTGGTTTATCCTTTTGACTGGCAATACATAAATCCTGTTGCCCATATGAAATCATCAGGTAAGAGGTGTATTTGTTCAAGGTCTTGAGCAACTGATCTGTCGCCATACTTCAAGTGGGCCCCAAGAAGTTGCACATCTGCACATCTAAACAAGTCCTATTTAAAGGCTTATGGAGATCCTGTATTCTCCTGGAGTAGGGGAGAGGTTCTCACTTTTTCCTCATTTCAACTGAAATTGAAGAAGCACTTGTGTTCTTCAGTATCAGGACTGCAGGACAGAACCAGGATGGGACATTTTAAGATATACTGGACGCTCAGCTTGCAATCACCACGGAGAACCTCCTTAATGCCACCCCTTCTCTCTCTGACTGCCCTAACGCATGCCCACACAAGCATAGTAATGCAACTGGTCTGGAGTCCACTCCAAGACAGCCTCAAAACCTGCTTCCATGAGGTGAAAAAGAAGCAGGTGTCTTGTTCAACAGGCATACTCCTGGTTAATAGTGGAAAGTCATGTGAGATAACAATTTCAGGTCTTGGGATCCAAAAGGAAACAATCTTTCCTACCTGATAATAGAGAGAAGTAGGGACAAGTAGGTGCTAGGGAGTTCCAGATGAGAATGGATGTGATCACTCATTCTTTCTTGCCTTGTGGTAAGTGGGGAAAGAAAGAGGTGGAAGGCATAGACTAACCCAGGAGGAGTGGCCAAAACGGGACAGCCATCTTTAGACGGCTACATTTAATGTCACTAAGAGAGACCTTAATTGGAAAAAGATTGTTTCTGGAGCTTTGCAAATTCCTGCTCATCCCAGAGGATTGTGATGCATAAACTTCTCTTTCCAGTCTCCTATGGAGAGCAGTGTAGGTGGCTTCTGAATGGTGTCATACTGACTATACCTACAGAGCTGTGCACCTGGATAGTTGTGGGTCACTCTGGATCTAATTGTTCAAGCTTGATGGGTGACTCCTTACGATAGCATTTGCAAAAGAGCTTTCATAATTCAGTACCTTAAATTTTGCCCTACTACATAAGCAGGAAAATGAATGCATTAGGAGAGGTTTTATATCTTATATCTACATTTGCATAGGAAATAGAATAATATCTCACAGGTCCATTCATCCTATAACGCATCAGGAAGTTAAGTCATCAAGGATACACTGGTGACTAAGACAATAAATGTGTAGTCAAATTCAAGGGTCCTGCATCCTAGATGACATTAAGTTCATTTTTCCTACTACCTTTTTCATGGATTGAGAACAGGTAATATCTTAGATGGTGGGAAAATCATCATTCGGGAAACATTTATATCCTTCACTTTTAATTGGTACAGGGTAAAAATTTAAACATTTTTAAAATCCCTTTGTCTTTAAAAATAATTGGAAGGCTGTTGCTGGACTGACAGAAACTTGAGGACAGGGACGTTGCTTTATCTTTATAGTCCCAGCATTGAGCCCAATGCAATGCCCATTCTAAATGTTCAAAAATGAATGCAGGCCGGGCATGGTGGCTCGTGCCTGTAATCTGAGCACTTTGGGAGGCCGAGGTGGGTGGATCACTTGAGGTCAGGAGTTCGAGACCAGCCTGGCCAACATGGTGAAACCCCGTCTATATTAAAAAAAAAAATACATAAAATTAGCTGGGTGTGGTGGTGCACACCTGTAGTCCTAGCTACTTGGGAGACTGAGGCAGGAGAATTGCTTGAACCCAGAAGAAGGAGGTTGCAGTAAGCTGAGATTGCACCACTGCACTCCAGCCTGGGCTACAGAGCGAGACTCTGTCTCAAAACAAACAAAAAAAGAATGCATATATATTGGTTTAAAGTATTAGAAACAGTTTATTAAATAAGATTAAAATAATAGGTGATTCTTTATAATTTCTTACTAAATGAATACACAGAAAATATGGCTATGCAGGTTAAAAGGTTTGTAGGAATGGGCTAGAGATATCCTCTTTACTAATGGAGGACATAAAGCCATATAAGAGTGTAATTGTCCTAGCATGTATACAGTTCATCTCCAAACCCAAGACTGAACATCAGGAATATTTGACAAATGAAAACCACCAAAAATATGTAATAAAATTAATAGCATGCCATAGGTTCCAATCCTCCTATTAAAATAAAGTTGAAGAAAACTAAGAAGAGACATTTATAAATTCTGAACCACAAAACTGTGTGAGTGGTCATTTGATCTGATGAGTCTCCTCCTTCCACTTCCTTAATGATGACTCCTGACAGATGGTTAGAGAATGGGAAATCCAGGCCCATAACCGGGTCAGCTGTAGGCTATGGAGCCTGTTCCACAGCCACCCCCAGGCACCCTGGCACTGGTGCATAGGACCCCATAGACCTATACCAAAACCTGGATCAGCCTGATGATTCCTGAGGTCTTCTCAGAGGTCAGGTGTCCTGGAACAGGCAGACCTCACCTTGACCTGAATGCTCCTGAATGCTGAGTGAGGAAACTTCCCAGGGAGAACAGGTGTTGGACAACCAGGGCACTCCTAACTTATTGGAAAATGTTCCCCTGTCCTTTGGAATTGAGATCTCACAAGCGGAGGCTTGTGTTGGGTGAAACCCTCCCATGCCTCCAGAACTGAGCCTCCAATTCTAGAGGTAGTGTCTCCAACAGCAGCTGTGGCCCTGGGGCTCCTTAGCGAGTTGTGTGAGCCAGAGGTCTCCCTGCAGCAAGCCCTGCACAGGCACACCATGCCTGCCTAGGGGTGGGGTTGCAGTAGCACCAGGCTGCTTACCACAGAAGAAGAAGCAGGTGTCCCTACCTTAAGGTCCTCCTCCTTGGGACTTCACATCTCCCTGTTACACCAGAAGCATGGCTCAGTAGATACTCTTTTAATGGAAGAAGAGCCTTTTGTAATTCAAAATAGACCCTGAAAGTTCACCTTGCAGGTAAAGTTTAAAAAAAAAGTTTCTGGGGTTTGAATCTACCTGGGGAGAGGTTAGACCTGCTAAAACTTCCCTAAGGACTCAGCACAGATTTACCTAGCAAGAGTAAATGGACTCTGGGGAAGGAGTAAACAGCATTATTTGTCTACCCCTTATGTGTCATGTTTTGTACTAAGAACTTGACCTACATTCTCACCTCATCTTTACAACTGTACTGTGGGCTGGTCAAGTGCTTTTATGTCATTTTACGAATGTGGATCAGAGAGGGGAGCAACTAGGCCAGAGGATTATAGCTTGTAAGAGGTACACCTGAAATCTGAAATAGAACCATGTCCCTCCAATTCACAGGGTTTGTTCATCTCCATCCCCTCTCCCCTTGCCTTTCTTGAAACTACCTCCTACCATTTGACCATGGATTGCTGACCTGTGTGTCAGGCAGGTGGTCTGGAACTTCAGCCCAGTGTCTCTTAAACTTTAATGGGCACTCCTTTTCTGATTGAGTGGAATTGTGGTGAAGTCCAGGAGCCTGCATTTCCAAGCTCCAGCTGGTGCCAGTGATGCTGGTCCATGGATCAGCTTTGAGTAGCTGAGCCTTATGTATTGAAAGGCTTCATCATGGGCAGGTGTTTCACACATGAGTCACCAGTGTGGAGGCTGTAAATTGGTTTCTTCCCATGACTCAAAACTTTTCTGGGCAATGTTCCATGGTATTGATGCAGACGCTTTATCTAACATAGCTCTTGATAGCTGGCTAGCAGAGAGTAATCAACTCCCACCATCCAATGGAAGGAATGGGTGGACAAGCTGAATATGTCAAGAAAAGTGAGAGTCTGAATACACTGATATTTTGTAATTAAATATGGATTTGATTGAGGTTTAGAAAGGAGAACGGATGAAGCTGCTGGTGTGTGGAAGATTGCACCAGAGAGAGAAAAGTAGTTTTAGGAGTGGATGAGTAAAATACTGCATGTGATAAAGGGTTTAAAGGAAAACAAGAGAGACCAGTGGCCATTCAAGTTAACTGAGCTTATTTTCACAAGTATTTGTTGAGCATTGACTATGTGCCAGACACTGTGTTAAGAGGATGCAAAGACATGGATATGGCTCTGAAGAAAGAGCCTAGTGTAGCATGCAGACACATAAGTTTAATATGTGACAGGAAGAATGATTACATGTGTGTATACACACATGCACATAGAATCTATGTAATATTGAGGATGAAATGATTAAGTCTGTCTGGGAAATCAGGGAAGGTTTCAGAGAAGACAGGACATCTGACCAAGGTATTAAAGTGTGAATGGGAGTTTGCTAAGGGGATTTAAGCATAGGCAGTAGCATTTACAAAGGTGCAGTGGCATCAACCAGCCCAGTGTGTTGCTCAGGAGTACTGTAGCACAAGGAAGGGGTATAACTTAAGGGGAAGAAGAAGAGGAAGAGTATGAGGCAATGGGCCTCCAGTGGAGGGTTTCTTTGCAGTGCCCAGAAACTTGGGATTTAACTTGTGCACCTGTGAACCTCAGTATGTTTCAACCCCAGAGCACTGGAAGGATAGGCCACATTTTTGCAAGTAGCAGAGTATTGGCTTAGGAAAGCATGTGTAGATTTAAATTCCTCCTACAAACTGCCTTCCAAAAAGATTACAATACATTCCTCCTTCAAGGAAAGAACACTTGCTGATAGGGAGGCATTGAAGGATTTTAAGAATTGTCTGGTGTGATTTGTGCTTTAAATCCCTCCAGGAGCTGTGTAAAGGATGCATTTGAAGGGGTCAAGATCCAACGTGGGTAGAACAGTTAGGAGAGAGAGCAACAGTCTGGTCAAGAGACAGTGAGGGCATAAATGAGACAGTTGAGCTAGAGGGTCAGCGATATATTGTGGAGATCATTCTAAGCTAAAAACTAATGTTAGCAATAGAGGTTTGGGGCTGGGCGTGGTGGTTCACGCCTGTAAACCCAGCACTTTGGGAGGCTGAGGTGGGCGGATCACGAGGTCAGGAGATCAAGACCATTCTGGCCAACGTGGTGAAACCCCGTCTCTACTAAAAATACAAAAATTAGCTGGGCATGGTGGCACATGCCTACACCTGTAATCCCAGCTACTCAGGAGGCTGAGGCAGGAGAATCACTTGAACCAGGGAGTCGGAGGTTGCAGTGAGCCAAGATTGCACCACTGCACTCCAGCCTGGCAACACGGTGAGACTCTGTCTCAAAAAAAAAAAAAAAGAAAAAGAAAAAAGAAAGAAAATAGAGGCTCCGTTGAATGTAGGGTGGTTGGTGAGAAAGAGGTAGGAGAATAGGATGATTCCCAGGTTTCTGGCTTGTGGTGCAGGAGATGAGGAGTTCTTGAGTTGCAGGCTGTGTGGTTGGAAAGTGAGAAGGGAGAGTTGAAAGATGATCATTTAGTTTCATTTTGGAAACTAGTTTCATTTTGACATTCTTATGGGAAGGACATCAGGTAGAGATGCTCAAGGAGAAGTTATAGGCACAAATCTGAAATGTGAAATAAAGTTCATGTTTAGGAAAAACAGATTTGTGAAGTCATCTTTAATTTACTCTGGATAGAAGTAGAATGAGAGGGCAAGGCTGCAAACATTAGGAGGTAACAGTCCAAGGCAGCTTGAGAGAAAGGCTATGTCTACTTTCATCTCTTTACCCTCCAAAACCCCTACACAGTGTTTCAAACAGAGCAGACCCTCAATAATTGCATATCTTACTTGTTAGGTTGAGAAAGAAAGAAGGCCAGAAACTATGGGAAGTAACTTGATTCCGTTGGAATTCTTTTGCATAATAAAATCTGATATGTAATGGATGACAAATGAGATAATATTTACCTGTTTTTCAGCATGGGTCAACAAAATACAAGTACTGATGGCTGCTGCAAGCTTTGGCCAAACTAAAATCCCCCGGGGAAATGGGCCTTATTCCGTTGGTTGTACAGACTTAATGTTTGATCACACTAATAAGGTAATGCTTTGATTTATACAACTTATCCTGATACTCTAATATTGTCTGTCGCTATGGACCACTAGAAGGTGTTCAAATGTGACCTTGCCCTCACCTGAGAATGACTCATTTTGCAATTTGTATTGTTTCATATGAAGGCTTTTACTAGTTTGGCCATTCCTCAATTCTTTGTTATTGTCTGATTAATTTCTCTATAAACCTTATTTTTCACTTCCTTAATACCTGAAGCCAGGCTGCTTGTATTTTCCTTTCACTGAGATAGAATATTGTTTTTCTGTTTCTCTTTCATGACTATCTTCAATCACCACAGCAGCCTAAAAAGTTCTTTAGACCTTTTTGTGAACACAGAGGTATTTGAGTCCCCACTAATTAAATATGCAAAATAGCTGCTGGAATATGTTTGAGACACAACTTCTCTAAAAGTGCATTAATTTCTTTCTTAACAGGGCACCTTCTTGCGTTTATATTATCCATCCCAAGATAATGATCGCCTTGACACCCTTTGGATCCCAAATAAAGAATATTTTTGGGGTCTTAGCAAATTTCTTGGAACACACTGGCTTATGGGCAACATTTTGAGGTTACTCTTTGGTAAGATTTCTGTTGATCCTTCTTTGTAGGCTCTTGCATGTATGAAAACCTTGAAAACAACAAGAACTTCAAGTAGTTAAGACCAAAGTAGATTTTTCTTCAGTCCAAATAGCTCCTAAAATGATAAGGAAAGTATTTCTTTAAAGCCCAGGCAACTACGACAGAATCAAGGTTCTCATTTTGTCCATTCTGAGTTGGATGGGAGTGGCCGAGAGTATCAGACTGACTCTGACATCTTTCTGTGGCTGCTCTTTAGTTTTCATCTGACATACCATGGAGAAGGCAATACCGTGGTGAGAATAGCAGGTTATTTGGTGTGGCCACTATCCCGCATGCTCTGTGCTAAAGTTAGACAAAAAGAGAAAGAAAGTAGAAGCCATCAAACTCTCCAGATCCAAAACAAAGGAGTCAAAGCTAATGCCTTTCTTGTCATACATGAAGAGACTCTACTCTCATTCCCATCACCTACCCCCATCGCTAAGACAATCTGATGTGTATTCTTCACTTACTGTCTACATTCTGCTAATATAGACTTTTCCTTCCTTATCTGTTTGACTAGACACTACTGTTGGACTGATGTTAACTGTGTCTTCACATTTACCCCTCAAAACGATCTACAAATTTTGGGATTCATCTTAAACATCGGCTTTTAATTTTCTTAAAAACCACTTATAACAGACATGAAAATAGCATAACTCTGCATATTTATGTTGCAAAATAATTTATAAATCACTTCCATAGCAATCATCACATTCAGTCTTTATGACTGCATCTGCATTTTATAGATGAGAAAATGAAACACAAATGATTGCTGATAATAATGGTGACAATAAAAATTGAGAAGTGAAAGAAGACAATATTTCCATTTTTTGAGCCCCTTACTATGTGATGGATTGCACCACTGCTTTACATATATTACCTAATTAAATAAAATTCTCACAAAAACCCTATGAAAGAGATATCATTTTCTGAAGTTTACAGAAGAGGAATCTGAAGTACAGAAAGTTTAAGGAACTTGCCCAAGATCCATAGTTAGGAAGTGGCAGAGCTGCATCCATGACTCAGTATGAAGTCAGTGGTTTCTCTACCTTTTCCTGCATGATTATGACCAAATCATAATGAACAGAGTCTCTGTTTCTTAGATTCTGGCTCTTAGTGTAATGTATCCAAGGTTTTATGGGTAGTTTGGTTTCAGAACATTCCCTTTAAAATTTTTCCAAAACCTGGGAATGGCAGTAAGTAGCAGCCTTTATGAATACACCTATAAGTGGGAAAATCTCTCACCTTAAGTCCAGAGCTGTCAGTAAGAACTCATCGTTAATGATCCTATGGTCTGAGGAAAGAACTTACGCCGGGTGCGGTGGCTCACGCCTGTAATCCCAGCACTTTGGGAGGCTGAGGCAGGTGGATCACCTGAGGTCGGGAGTTCACGACCAGCCTGACCAACATGGAGAAACCCCATCTCTACTAAAAATATAAAATTAGCCAGGCGTGGTGGCGCATGCTTGTAATCTCAGCTAATCGGGAGGCTGAGGCAGGAGAATCGCTTGAACCCGGGAGGCAGAGTTTGCAGTGAGCCGAGATTGTGCCATTGCACTCCAGCCTGGGCAACAAGAGCAAAACTCCATCTCAAAAAAAAAAAAAAAACTTACAGTTCAGCTCTTTGGTTGGTGGGTATCTAGTAGCAGTCTTTTTAATGAATCTACTATTCATCCATAAAAAAGTAGATATAAATCAGATGGGTCTGCATTTTATGCTAATGAGATATGAATTAAATTCACTAGCAACACTCAGAGAAAACCTTAACTATAACCTTCCATTGTTGTCTAGGTTCAATGACAACTCCTGCAAACTGGAATTCCCCTCTGAGGCCTGGTGAAAAATATCCACTTGTTGTTTTTTCTCATGGTCTTGGGGCATTCAGGTAATGTTTGAGAGGTTGAACAATTTTGGCTTCCAGGAATAAATGACAATTTTTTTATTCAAGAAAGAAATAGCAGAGTTTGGAATGTCATGCAGGCCCTTGTCTGGAGGAGTTGGGTTTCCTCAATAATTGGCTGTGGGTCTATTGATCAGTCCTAGACCTGTCTGGTCAAGTAGTTTTTTCCCTACTATCAGCTCATTGGGATTAGCCTCACAGCAGAGAAGAAAGGGTGTTGCATTTTCTATAGTTGTCCTTCATTATTGTAATATTTACACTCTTAAAATTATCCTCTGTAAAGTTTAGAACTTTTGAGAAACCAATTTTAGATTAGCTGGGAAAGACTGTTATTAAGAGAAATATCTGTGAAGGCAAGAGAAGGAGCAGGAAAAGATGGGGAGAACCTTTGGACCATGACACAGGTTGGACACCTGAAAAGGTGATGGGGAAGGGAGAAGGATTGGATAAGAAGAGCTTCAGAATGAAGCATGGTTCTAAGAAATATTGAGCCAGGCCAATGGAAGGAGTGCTGGACTATATTTGCTTATCAAGAGTCCTGTATCTCATAGGAATGGGCTAATGTTAGTACCCATGCTGTGCCAAGTCTCTGGGAGCAGCTCACTGGATGCTTAGCTTCCACTTGACCATGGTGATGGATACAGAGGGGCAGGAGCTGGATAGGGTCTTTAGTAAGCTATGCAGTCTGTAGCATGATAGCTGAGTGGCACATTTTCATAACAACAACCACCCTCTTCACTTTCTTCCACCACTTTCTCACCTGTCACCCCTCTTCTACTTCAAGGGATTGTAAAACTCAGAAAATAAGAGAGATGGCTTTTAGCTGGGAAGAAGTTGGGTAGCACTTGCAATAAAGAATTCTCTTCAGCACTGTAAATGTAGTTCAGCTAGCTATTTGATTTCTCCTACATTAGTGACTGGCAAATTAGAACCCAAGGGCCAAATCCAGCCCACTGCCTATTTCTATAAAGTTTTATTAGAACACAGCCACACCCATTCATTTTTGTACACTGTCTATGGCTACTTTTGTCCTACAACAGCAGAGTTCAGTAGTGGTGACAAAGACTATGGCCCACAAACCTGGAAATATTTACTCTCTGGCCTTCAACAGAAAAAGTTTGCTAATCCCTGTGCTATATCATTCCCCCCTCTTGAAAAGGTCCTGTATCTTCAGCAATAAATAAATAGTTTCTAGCTACCTCCTTTTTATTCTCTGTGGACATTTCCTATTGAATGCATGGTATGAGGAAAAGGTTGTGCAAATGAAGCTGTGGAAGAGGGCATAAATGCAGTGCTTAGCACATGATTTTTCAACTATTTCACCCAGTCCAATCATTTAAATAATAGCTAACATGTGTTAAGTATTTACCTGTTTCTAATATAAGTACTGAAAATGTATTAATTCAATTGATCCTCACTGATGAGGTAGCATACTATTATAGTGTCACCATTTTATAGATAAGGAACCAAGGCAGCAAAAATATTGTGACTTATTAAAGGTACACAGCTAACAAGTGGTAGAACCAGGGTTCAAACTCAGTGGTCAGACTGCAGGTCTCATTCTTGTAACTACAATACTGTACTGCTTTCCTATATACATTATCTTAGCAAAACCTTACAACTACCCTAAAACAAATGCTTTACTCTTAGGCCCATTTTACAGGTGAGGACAAAAATGCAGTAATTACCTAAAATCATATAGCTGGGAAGTGGCAGAGCCAAGATTAAAAACCCAAAACTCTCAAAGGCAATATTTATAATCACTGCCCTGGGTTTTCTCAACTTTAGTAGTCTTGACATTTTGGACCAGATAATCTCTTGTTGTGAAGGGTTGCCCTGTGCATTGTAGGATGCTTGACAGCATCCCTTTACCCACTAGACACCAGAAATACCCTCGCCCACATTCATGATAATGAAAATACCTCCAGACATTGTCAAATATCCCCTAAGGAACAAAATCACCCTCCTTTAAGAACCGTAGCTCTCCACTCCACCCCAGGGCACTACTACAGGGGTGTAATGGCCTCCATGTTCCCAGTTTTATTAGTGGACTCAGCCTTGTAATCATGACTGGTAGTTGTAATTCTTCCCTCTTTTTGTTTTGAAGGACACTTTATTCTGCTATTGGCATTGACCTGGCATCTCATGGGTTTATAGTTGCTGCTGTAGAACACAGGTATGTTACCTGATATAATTGGGCTCTTTGGCCAACTACAGGGAATGTCAATGCTCATAACTATGTTTCTAATTTTCATAAAAGTTTATTTAAAATGTTGATGGAACTTTCAAGTATGGTAACATCATGAGCAAAAAAGGAGATTGAGTTTATCGACTTAAAAGACTTAAAAGCACCTAACATTTCTAGAGTGTTTATTGCCTGCCATGTCCTATGCGAAATGTTTTTAATACGCCATTTCATTCAGTCTTCATAACAATCCTATGAGATGGTTATTATTATTATTGTTGTTGTTTTAAGGAAGAGGAATATAGAGGTGATAAAGGGTAATTTGCCCAAAGTCACACAACTAGTAAGTGGCAGTGCCGGGATTTGATTCCTGAGACTGAGTTTCAACATGGCTAACATTGCCTCCCAGAATTAGGAAGATAGAATGGATTGAGTTTACCTGCAACTTGATGATAGACAATAAGGTTTTTTTCCTGGAACTCTTTTACAGTCTTCTTTAATTTAAGAGAAAATATAGAGTGGAAGAAGAAAGGGAAGTCAAAAGATCAGAGGAAGTTGAGTCAAGGATGGAACTGAGAAACATGGGTCAGATGAGGAAGGGAAGGAGCATGCATAAATAATAATTTTGCTTGTATTATAGAGATAGATCTGCATCTGCAACTTACTATTTCAAGGACCAATCTGCTGCAGAAATAGGGGACAAGTCTTGGCTCTACCTTAGAACCCTGAAACAAGAGGAGGAGACACATATACGAAATGAGCAGGTACATTGCAGTGAAAGGAGAGGTGGTTGGTGACCTAAAAGCATGTACAAAAGGATGACATTTGTTAATTTAATTTTACACCTGGCAAGTTATGCTCCTAGCTCTCCTATTTCCCATTCCCAAAAGATCTGTCAATAGATTCCTGGAGCAGTAAAATTCCCTTAATGGAATATCTAGTTCATAGTAAAAACAAAGGCAAATACAAAAATTTGGGAGATGACAGTGAATATTCAGAATTCCCTTGAATTAAAACTTCTAATTTTAGAATCTAAAAAGTGCTAGAAAATAAATTAATAGATTCTTCCTCACAGACAATATAAAAAGACTACTTTTCAGAGAGGCAGTATACAATAGAATTAAGAGTATGGGCCTTAGAACCCAACTTTCTATGTTTGAATCCTGGCTCCACCACTTAATTTTGTTATAGAATAATGAATAGAAACATTATTTGTCTTACAGAGCTATTAGGGCAGTTAAGTTAAGTGAAGCATATTGGCTTCCTCTTTATAGTGGGTGTTTTACATGTGTTATTATGTTTGAGTCCACCCACATTTCCTTTAGGTAGGAATTATTATACAATCAATGGAAACTCAGAGAGGTTAAGTAAATCGTCTGAAGTCACATAGTAGGTAAGCAACAGAGCCAGGATTTGGACTAAGCTATACCTATGTGCAAAGCTGGGGCCTGTGTCATTATGGTAGCAAGTAATAGTCACTAATCAGATTTCCAGTTTATAACTGACCAACGATTTTTCCCAAATACAGCTTCTACCTAAACTTTAAAATAAGTGTTATAACTTTTTACTTTGTCATTTCCTTCTTCTAATAATTATATTAGGTACGGCAAAGAGCAAAAGAATGTTCCCAAGCTCTCAGTCTGATTCTTGACATTGATCATGGAAAGCCAGTGAAGAATGCATTAGATTTAAAGTTTGATATGGAACAACTGAAGGTAAGCTATAAAAAGTAATTTTTCTCTTGTCCTACAGTTCTTTATTGTTTTTTGTCATTTAATTTTCTGCTATATTGCAAGGTACAATATGATAAAGGGCTGCAACCAGCCCCCTCCCCAATGCGCACACACAGACACACAAAGCAGTACAGGTAAAGTATTGCAGCAATGAAGAATGCATTATCTTGGACTAGATATGAAATTGCCAAAAGTTAGTCAGTTTTGATCTACAAAAACAGCAATGTCATATGGTTCAACTCAACTCCTGTGGAAGTATTATTATTTCATGGACAGCTCCTGCATGTTTTTAAGCTTGATCTTGAAAACTTGACACAAGTTTGGGAGCGGGTGGAAAAATATCAGACAGAGTGGGCAGCATGAACAAAGACTCAAAAGTGTGTGTGGCATGTGAAGTGCAGGGATTAGGGGGAACTAGAGAATAAGATGATGGTCTGTTCTCCAGATACAATGAAGAAATTTGTTATCCCTCAAGCAGCCACTCTCTTCTGTATCCTTGCCTTTGTACATGTTGTCCCCTTGGCCTGACACACCCTTCCCCTTGCCTAACTCCTACCTAATTTCAAGACTCCAGTTGAGCATCACCTCCTCTAAGAAGCTTTCTTGGACCCCAATACCCACTTCTGGACTGGGCTCGCTGTCTGTCATGTGTGCTCCTTTGTACCACTGTACTGTATTGCATCATGCCTCTGTATAACTTTCTTCCCTGATGGACTGCAAACTCACTGAAATGAGACTGCAGTACCTGGCACAGAGTAGGTACTCAATAAATACTCATGGAATGAACAAACAAATAAACATGGGGTGAGGAGAGGCAGAAGTCAGAACTGATGTTGAAGTTTCCAGTGTGGGTGACTACAAAGAACATTAAGTTTACTTTCAAACCTTTACATATGTTATATATATGTGTAAATGTGTTTTATATGTGTATATAGATGTATATGTGTGTATGGTATGTATAAATGTATGTGTGTATATGTATATTCTATTTTATAAGAAATCAATGTATTTAACCATCCCCATGAAATGAACAATTATATGATTGACAAAATCATTTCTTCTAACACCACGAAATAGCTATAAATTTATATCATGCTTTTTCAAATAGGACTCTATTGATAGGGAAAAAATAGCAGTAATTGGACATTCTTTTGGTGGAGCAACGGTTATTCAGACTCTTAGTGAAGATCAGAGATTCAGGTAAGAAAATAAGATAGTAAAGCAAGAGAATAGTAAATTATTGGAAGAAATTATATTGTGAGATATAATTTTTTATTCAAATTCTTAGTGAAGAAGGGATCTCTTGGAGTTTATAAGGCTATTCTTTTGCCCCCATAAAATACTCTATATACATTTTCCTAGGCTAAAACATCTACCTCTCCTGCTATTAAAATCTCCCCCTACTCCCATAAGTTTTCCCTCATTATTCTTGTTTACCCAAGGGGTTAACACTTTTCACTGAAAAATTTATCTTTATATAATTTTTTGTGACATAATGATTGTGATAATAATATTGTCATCTTAACAGTATTGCCAGACTTCTCCAGTGGGCAGGACATTTTTTAATTAGGTTTTTCCCCCTTCCACCTTTAAGATGGAGCTGGATCTAAAATTACAATTATTTGGGTAAGAGTTGGGACAAGACCCCAGTTTTCTAGCTTGCAGGAACATTTTCTTTCTTAAACCTTCATTCCAGACTGATGAGATCACATAGAACCAACCGTACAGAGAGTGGGCAGGATCATTTTTGAAACTTCACCTCAAATTTCTTAAAAGTCCATTTCAGTGTAAGAATTCTCTTCTTTGATCCATTTACCAAAAGATCAGGAAACATAGGATAAACTTACTTTTAAAAAGGAAGTTAGTTTCATCTTCAAATGATATGCTCCATATGTTTTTCTTCAACCCTCAGACAGTTTTTCAGCTGAAGTGCCTCTAAATATAAAGTAATGGGCCCAATTGTTACTCTAATAAAGCTATAATAAATACACTACAAGGTGCATAAAAGCTCTGAAAACAAAGGTGTATTTATTATACTTTTTCAGATACTCCACAGTGTTGAAGAAATTATTATGTATTCTAAAATTTATTTTGAATAAAAAGTTTTAAGGATATATCACTCAAATGGTTGCAATTCCTAAAGGCATATAAAGAAAATGATTATATAAAATTCCAGGTCTGCTACTTTACAAAGTTAATCATATCCCTTTCCCACATTGAAGTATGATACCTCTTTATTCCAATGAGATAACCCATAATAAACTGGTATGGTGCGTGTCCACCAATCCTAGCATTATTAGGATGTCCTCAATGTTGGCTAGTATGTAACCAGTTTAATTTCATCATTGTCAACAAATATCTACAGATGTGGTATTGCCCTGGATGCATGGATGTTTCCACTGGGTGATGAAGTATATTCCAGAATTCCTCAGCCCCTCTTTTTTATCAACTCTGAATATTTCCAATATCCTGCTAATATCATAAAAATGAAAAAATGCTACTCACCTGATAAAGAAAGAAAGATGATTACAATCAGGTAAGTATTAGTGACTTATTTCATTATGTGAAACAAACTTGAAGCTTGGGTAAATATCAATCGATATCATTTGGTAACTATTAAAGAATTGCTGAATTGGTTGTTTAGACTTTCAATAAGGAGAGAATTAGATAATCTCAGTTTCTAAGTACATTTAGTCTTACTCTTTTTAAAATGGGAATGTTAACGTATATAGTATATATACTGGTTATATTAGTCTGTTCTTGCATTGCTATATGGAAATACCTGAGACTGGGTAATTTATAAAGAAAAGAGGTTTCATTGGCTCACAGTTCTGCAGCCTGTACAGGAAGCATGATGCTGGCATCTGCTCGGCTTCTGGGGAGGCCTCAGGAAACTTACAATTATGGTGGAAGGCAACCGGGGCATGAGCACTTCACATGGCCAGAGCCGGAGGAAGAGAGGGATGGGTGAAGGTACTACACACTTTTAAATAACCAGGTCTCACAAGAATTCACTGTCACAATGACAGCACCAAGGGGGATGGTGTGAAACCATGAGAAACTGCTCCCATGATCCAATCACCTCCCACCAGTCCCTGCCTCTGACACTGGGGATTCCAATTTGACATGTGATTTGGTGGGGACACAGATCCAAACTATATCACTGGTAATTAAAATTAGCATTATACTACATGCTACTTCAATCTAAACACCAGAATATGCCTACAGATTTTTGGGGGTAGAGCTAGGGGGAAGTATTCCATCATTAGGCTGGGGTAGGAACTCTTTAAAGAAAAAGTCAGATTATCGACTGAGACCTGCAATATACTAACCTGTTGAGAAAGAATATGAGTTTATAAATTCCCCAAAGCTATAATGGGGTACCATGACGTGTTGGCAATTCTTGTATCCTGGAGGTGAAAAAGAACTCCTGATAAGGTTTTGAACTCTCGATGAGATATTACAAAGCAAAGATGGACCTGAACTCACCCCTTTCCTATCTGAAATCTGGTTTATTTAGGAGAAGAGAAGAGGCAGGAAGGAAATATATGGAGTATAGGCAATAAACACTATGGGCTCAGAGAATAGAGGGGTCTCTTCCAACAGAAAAGGATTCATAGATGACACTAAAATTGGATTTTGTAAGATCAAGAGAGTTTAGATAGTAAGGAAGGGTTTAGGTATTTCAGGCAAGGACTTCATTTAGCTTATGTGTATGTGCAACTCTTTCTAATTCTAAAACGGAAATAATACAGAACACCTAACCTTCCCTCAACCCTATTTCCTTACTAAGCTCTCACCTTTGCTTTTGTCCCTTCTCTGCTAGAAACCTTCAAAGAATAGCCAATATTAGTCATTGCATGTGCTTACTTCTATTCACTCTTTGACTCTTGTGGTCTAGCTTCCTGGGCCCCCACGGGCATGCCAAAACAAAGACACTAAAGGCCTGCTGCCTGCCACACCAGCAGCCTCTTCAGAGTCTCAACCTTGCTCTCTGCATCTGTTCAACATTGCTGACCACCCCTCTTCCTGCTCCCTTGGCTACTATGACCCACCTCTTTGCTGCTTCTCCTGTCATTTATACCACTCCTTCCATTTCTTCTCCTCTGGCAGTTCTCTACAGTCAGATCATCCAAGCTTCTGCTCGCAATTCTCTTGTATTCCTGCTGTTTATCTTCTTTATGTTTCTGACATTCAAGTTTCCTACTACAATGTGGGGAAGAGTGAGAGGGAGTTAAGTGGCCCTGTTTTGAGCTTAGATGACTAAAAGAATGATGGGTTGCTTATAAGAACCAGCAGAGTCAAGAGGCAGAGCAGCTTTGGGCAGGACTGGGAAGATGTCTTTTAACTTCACAATTTCTTAGCTTGAGAACTGAGGAATCTGTACACAGATGTCTGGCCACACATTGGATGATTACATAATTTACATGATAACACAGATGAAACATTTGAAGTAGAAGAGATTGCAAAGTGAGAAAAGAGTTGGTCTGCCAGTAGAATCCTAAGGAATGCCTACATTCAGCCAATGGGAAATGGGTGAAGAGCCAGTGAAGAACATAGAGTGGTTAGCGTCAGAAGGGAAGGTGCAATGTTAAGGAAACGTAAAGAAAAAAAGTGCAAGAAGGCCATCAAGTGTCAAATGTCCCAGTGGTGGTAGAAAACGAGGACTTAAAAAAGGCCATTCTATTTGACGTTAGGCTATTGATGAATTTACAGAGCAGTGCAAATGATATTTATAAAGTGCTTACAGTTTAATACTGGGAAAAGTGGTGTTTGAAATCTGTTTCCTCTAAGGCTTAAATCTAAAGTGATTTAAATTTAAAGTGACTAGCATCAAATACATACCACGTTCAGTGGTGAGGGCAGGTAGCAGGCTCTGGCTCTGAGTTCAGGGACCCTTCAATACAGAACACATTCCAGTATTCAAACTGGAAGTATTCCAATTCACTAAAAAGCAAGAATCATTTCTTCTAAAATCAAGATACCAAGCAAGAACAAGATTCTTTGAGTTGTATTTCTAGAGGGAAGAAGAATATACTCTGGGATCCCTAAACAAACAGCCTGTGACCCTTGAAACACATCTAAGTAGATCAAATTACAAGTTTTATTTCTTCTTTGGTTTTCAGTAAACAGACCAACAAGACCAGTACCTTTCTTACACTCTAACTAAAAAAATAATAATTTTATCAAACAATGTGACTTTTAAATGTCTTGTTCTCTTTTAGGGGTTCAGTCCACCAGAATTTTGCTGACTTCACTTTTGCAACTGGCAAAATAATTGGACACATGCTCAAATTAAAGGGAGACATAGATTCAAATGTAGCTATTGATCTTAGCAACAAAGCTTCATTAGCATTCTTACAAAAGCATTTAGGTAAGAAACTATTTTTTTCATGACCTAAACCAGATGAATCTCAGGACAAAGCTGTCTATCTTAATACAGCTTTAGTACTATTTAAACTATTTCCAGTTGGTTTACAATGGAACAAAGCAGTATATCAATTTGAAAACAGAAATTTGAGAAAGTCAATTTTGCTGCTTTACATCCTCTATATCATAGAAAGCAAATCCAACTGTTAAAGGTAATATTCTTTGTATGAAGCCTAGAGTGGACTTCCATGTTGAGGATACTGACAGCAGGTTGCCTCACTCCTATCCCGTTTGCATTCAGCTGCTAAAGCAGCCATGAGGCAGCTGATACAGAGCACATCGTCTCTACCATCCTAACGGAACTTGTGTAATTTGTAAATCTTTATTGCCACCTAGGGGCACCAAACTGTTTAATGCTCTCAAAAGTTTAATATGTTGATTAACACTTTATATTTTATAGGACTTCATAAAGATTTTGATCAGTGGGACTGCTTGATTGAAGGAGATGATGAGAATCTTATTCCAGGGACCAACATTAACACAACCAATCAACACATCATGTTACAGAACTCTTCAGGAATAGAGAAATACAATTAGGATTAAAATAGGTTTTTTAAAAGTCTTGTTTCAAAACTGTCTAAAATTATGTGTGTGTGTGTGTGTGTGTGTGTGTGTGTGAGAGAGAGAGAGAGAGAGAGAGAGAGAGAGAGAGAGAATTTTAATGTATTTTCCCAAAGGACTCATATTTTAAAATGTAGGCTATACTGTAATCGTGATTGAAGCTTGGACTAAGAATTTTTTCCCTTTAGATGTAAAGAAAGAATACAGTATACAATATTCATATCAGCCTAAATTTTAATTTTAAAGATGATTCCTTTTCAGTGTCGAAGTTAAAAACTGTTTTTACATTACTTTGACAGACAAGTAGATTAAAACAGGCAAAATCCCAGTGAAAACCTGTTGCAATGATACAAGACTCCCTAAACATAGAGTAAAAAACAATTTCTTGCCTTTTATTATCTACTATGGGCAGTGGAGTTTAATTATAGCAACATGATATTCTAGGTAGAATTTGGCAGCTCTTCTCTTTGACTTTTGGTCACGGTAAGAAAAATTAGAACAAGCAAAAGCCATTGTTTCAGCACAGGATTGGTGGTACTACACAATTTCAAATGATGACTAAAAGGAGTAGAGAAGGGTTAAGAATATTAGAGATGAGGCAAAGGCAGTGGATTAAATTGGTAATTTTTTGACACTTTCTTTAATTCTTTAAGGCATTCTACTTGCTAAAGAAAGGTTCCACAGGTATTACAGCATATAGCAGGGATTCCAGTTAGAATACATTAGTTACTCACACAAAGGCTGTGAAGGATAATAAAACATTCAGAATTACATTTAGCTTCTTCATATTCCAGTTAATTTTATTTAATGTTTTCAATTCTATATGTAGTAGTAAAACAGAATAACACGATTAAATGGAGGTAAAAATATAGCTTAAGAATTTATACTTATAAATATGGGAATCATGGAAAATGATTTTATTTCCCAGGGGACATAAAAATTTATACCACTCATTTGGTACCCTAGTCCTATCTTAGTGGTGTCAGGTGCAAAGTCACTCATTCTGAGAAATTTTACTTCTGTAGCCATTCAGATTAAATTTTTTAAAATAGGGAGTTAAACTCAGCTTGAAATTGAAGGCTTCCTATAATCTGATCCTAATGCATCTTCTCTGAGCTTTGCTTCTGGCAATTCACATTATATTATCTATATGAGTAAGCCAAACTTGTCTATTCATTATTCCAGGAATAAGTAATATACTCATCTACCTCAATTACTTTTAATGCAAACCTCTCTCCCTTCTACTTACGGAAATTATAATGGGTTTTTAAGGTTCATAATTCTATTTCCATTAGGCTTCAGAGTCTGATAATGCTTCACAGAGATACACCTTTACCCCAGTCTCATTTAGCAAACCTTTTCCCTATTCATTTTAGAAATAAGCATTCCAACTGTATGGATGTCCCATTCAACACTTTTTTGTTTGTTTGTTTTTTACAGTCTTTTGTTGGTGGCGCATGCTGATGCTGAAAGGAGAAAATAACTATTGAAAATATCTAATAAGTTAAGGTTAAAAAGAAATAACCTAACATAGTGCACACTGAGTATTTTTCAGGGTAAAGAAAGACACATTTATCAAATGCCTACTCCTTTTCAGGGACTTTATATCAATTATTTCTCATCTTAAAAAAACACTGCAAGAAAGGTTTTATTATCACCACTTTACAGATGAAGATCAAAGTTCAAAATATTACATAATTTGCCCATGTCACATATCTGTTAAGCAGCATATAGCTCAGATCTGTTTCTAAAAGCTAAGATCTATGCTTTGCAAAATCATGTTTAAAAAGTCATGGGCTTCAAAGTTAGGTAGGTCTGGGTTTGATCAAGCCTCTGAGACTCATCAGCTATCTGACCTTAGGCAAGTTATTTAACCTCTTTATGAAGCTTCAATTTTCTCACCTATAAAATATGGATAATATTGATATGCACTTCAAAGTTGATGAATAAAGTGAAAAAATGCATTTAAAGTATAAGCTAAGTGACTAATACATAAGAGCTAACATTTAATATTACTATGCTTTCCCCAATCCTCCATTACAGAGGAGAGATGGAACCAAGTATATTTAAGAGTTCTATTTCCTTTTTAATAAAATGAGACCATCATATTAAGGATAAACTTTATTTAAGGATAAACTTTATTCAAATCTTGTATTAGAATACTTCCAAATTCAAACAGAATGTTAGTCAAATGTTTAGACAAACAGGCAAAGATTCAAAGTCAAGACAAAAATTCTGAAGGAGATCCTGCTAAAAAGCTATCCTAAGTAGAATCAAATAATGTACTTGTCATGAGCCCTTATTTTTCTATTTTAATTTAAACACTGTATTTGAAAGGTACCAAAATAGTTTTTGAAATGTAATGTGTTAGTAAACTGTTTAGCAAAATAAATCCTCCCAACTAATTAGAAACGTAAGACAATAAAGACGAAAGATCCCAGATCTGTATATATAACAGGATCACTATAAACACACCCCACCATCAACCTGAGACCTAATTTGTTTTCCACCTATATAGAAGTTTTTGAAAATGACAACTTCTTGTGGTTACATGTTTTCAATTTTCTCAAATACTCTGTTGGTCTGCGTAAGATGCCACTTGTTCAAGGGCAGCTTCTGACTGATTGGCCACAGCTATAGATCCACGGTTAAATCTCCATCACCTCCAAACCCCTTTTCTGAAACAAAAAGAGAAAAACTTCAAACTGAGAAAGAAACATACAAACAAAAAAATTTATTTCCATGGGTGTTACCATGACAAATGTAATGTTCTCTAAAAGGGAGAGGGGACAGATGAGTATTCTAATTACTATAGGGCATTATTTCTATAGAAACAATGTTTTATTTTCTTATTAATATTTTGGTTCTCACACTGTACCATCAAATCAAGTTTCTCTAAAAATTATGAAATTGGCATATTTTATATTTTGCTAGAGAATGGTGTGAACAAGGCTGATAATCAATTAGTTCTTTTTCCTTTTTGATTAGTATATATTTTTCACATGATATTAAAGCTACCATTAGCTGATTTTATTCTCAATGTGCCTCAATTCTAAGAACCACTGCATTATTTATGAACAAGAATGTGCAATACCAAGAACCAGCCAATAATTTGAATCTTATATAAACTAAAGATTCAGAAATTCCAAGAGATTATTTAACAAATATCATTTGAACATATGAGCTAATTAACAGAGAAAATTCTTTAAAATGTGAATTTATCACATTCATAATTTAACTTTCAAGATTAATTCAATTAATAAATTTCCTATATTTCAAGAAATCCTCATCTTGGGTTATTTATCTCCATAAGTATATTTAAATTTTTTTACCTAAAGTGGTTTTTCTTCCCTGCTACCTATGTCCAAAGAAATTGATAAACCATTTTTGTTTGAGGGATTCAGCATAACAATATTTTTAAGAAATTGTAATTCTGGGTGATAAAAGTATTTTGTTTTAAAAACACAAGTTACCTTTAATAGTGGTATCACCCACTGACATGAAGTAAAGATCTTTCCCTACTCTTTGGGATACAGCCTAACAAAAGGAACCTTTGAATTGCTATTGATTCTTTATCACGAGTACAAAATAATTCAAATCAGAAATGGAACCACAGATAAGCCAGAAAAGATGTAAACAACAAAATGTATTTCTATCAAAATTATGACAATCTGATTTTATAATGAGGAATCATGTCAAGTACTTTTTCTATTCTTCAAATACTCATTTCTCTAGAACATATCCCTGGAGCACTCTACACAGGGAGTAAAGTACCCTTTTCCAATGTTTAGCTCTCAAATCCCCAACAACTCTGGTAATTGGTGAAGGAGGGAGGGACATCATTGTTCAAGGGGCTGTTATTCAAACACAGTATCCATGTAGAGCCACAGATGCTTTATTAAGGACAATGAAAAGGGAAATATTTCTCCTATATTCCTTTTAACAACCAATAGCATCATGTGCATGCATTATGTGATACAGTAACTAACAAAATACTCTTATGGTAAAATAAAATAACTCAGATAAGAAACCATTTTTTTAAAAAAAGTAATTAGATTCCTAGATCATAGTGACTTGATGTATCATTAAAAAAAAGTCATGCATAATACAACACTCACTTTGTAAGGAAAGCTAGCTCATTTGTAGACAGGTATCCAGAGTTAAGAGCTTCCTCGAATTTGAGGGAAGGATATTTAAATCTCATTAGTAACCAAATCAAAATTTTTAGAGTCTTACTCATAAGTAGTTTCTATATGTCTGCTAACTGGCCTAGTCAAAGCCAGAGGTAGTTATCTATTTACTTATCTAGATATATAATTTTATGTCTACTTTAAATAGTTCTTTTCTATGTAGCAGGCATAGAGAACTTTATCCAAACTGAATCTTGTATGTACATATGTATGCATTTGGCTGTGGATTCTTCATAATTAATGGATGGAGACAACCCAAATGTAAAAAGTTTTAGTAAATACTGATGCAAAAAGTGTAGTAGGCTGGTATTTTTGACCTAAGCAAAAAAGTAATTAACATAAAGAGAGATATTCATTGATTTTTTATAGTAAAAATTTCAAATGACCTAAATATCCAACACTATGGGAAATGGTTTAATACATTATGGCTCACTAGTGTCATGCAGCATTATTTAGCTATTAAATATTGTTTATGGCCTTCTGGGTGCAGCCAAGATGGAATAAGCTGACTATAACCTCTTTCGCTGATTACAATGAAAAATTCTAGACAGAATATAAAAAGCAACTACTCAAAGACTCAAAAGTGAACAGAAATAGGTAGATTAAGAATTAAAGTAAAAACGTGAATAATGACTCACAACAGGAGTGAGTTTCATAGGCCTTTTCTTTTCTTTTTTTTTACTTCTTTGTCTCCTGATTTTGATCTGAGGGTGGGCCAAATCAAAACTGCCTAGCTAGCGTAGACAGCAAAACTCTGAGAGAAATTTCTTATTTATAGCCAGTGGACTAGGGATAAAGGAACCCTGAATGCTAGAGAGTAAGAAATAGGTAGGAAATCTCTTTGCTGTATTGTGGTGTTATGTTTATTTCTATTTTTTTTTCTGGCCCTGCCCTGAGGGTGGCTAACCCCAGTTACTGCCTGGTGACAGCTATGGCAACATAGGCACCTACAAATGTGAGAGATGACCCGTCTCTCTAGCCAGTGGAACCAGGAAAAGAGCTTTCTGTCATCTGAAGAATAGTAATAGGAGATTGTTTTTGTTATCTCTTTATCTGCTTCGCTCTTACGGGCAAACAGAACTGTGTGGTGGAGCAGAGGCTGAGAGAAAAATACTGTCTGGCTAGGTGACCAGAAAAAGGGGCCATTGGAGGCTGGATAAGAGAGGATCCTGGGAGCCAGAAAATGTGGAGGACATCTCAGAGAGGAAAGGAGTTGAAAATGTTTAACTCCTAATGCTACATGTGAACTCTAAGTCTCAGGATTGCCCCTGAGCTATGCACATGCAGAACAGAGCCAAATAAGCACAGCAAAGTCTTTGACACTTAACTACTATATAAACCACTGACCAAAGTCCCTGACTACCCTGGGTGGCTTATGTACCTGGAAGACCTGAACAACAAAGGCTTTGAAAACTAAACTGACAGGACAATCACCAACCACAGAAGGAGAAAGAGAACATGTAGGATGAATTGAAACCAGCTGATCATCTGCTGTAACAAAAACTTCAACATTCTCCAGATTTTAACAGGACCCAATGTCTTAAAACATAATATGCAAAATGTTCAGGATATAATCCAAAATTACTCAACATACAAAGAACCAAGAAAAGCTGACCATTTCTCTAGGGAAAAGAAAATCAACAGCTACAAACCCCAAGATGACCAGATATTAAAACTATCAGACAAAGATTGTGAAGTGAGAAGTTCAAGAAGTCCAACCAACCCCAAACAGGATAAACTCAAATGCCCAGACACATCATAATGTCATGGCAAATTGCCCACCATATAGTCTTAAATGAAGAAAAACAGAATATAAAACTATACATAGGATGAAATCAATTGTGTCTAAAATATGTAGATGAAATACTTATATTACATATAAACAGAAAAATTATAAAAGAAAACCAAACTGGTCAACCTATTTGTCTCTGGATGGGTATATTATCGGTGATTGTTACTTTCTCATTTTTAATATTGTTATATTTCTCAGGTTTTCTGCATCTAATATGTATTTTATTAGAGTCATGAAGACCAAAACATTTTCTAATCAAGGAGTAAAACATTAATAACTAGTTTTCTCAGAAGAATACTTGGCATAAGGACTAAAATCACTGATTTTGTTATTGCTGTTTTTAACTATTGTCACAGGATTTTTCTCCCATTTTTCCAAACACAAGGACTTTGGAAATAGTTTGTTAAATCACCTTTCAAAATGAAGAACAATGCTCTCACTAATTACTATTTATAGAATTCCATACCTCAGGTGGACTCTTATCCAATTTGGGTATGCCATTCCAGACATTCTCAGGGTTCACTATCTCCTCCATACCATTTGAAAGGTTCAAAACCTACAGGAGAAAACAAATTTTTTTAAAGTGTCCAATTCAAAAAAATAACTGATTTATGTACCAGAGCAATTATTTTAAAAATGAAATACTATTATTATTATTATTATTTTGAGATAGGGTCTTGCTCTATTGCCCAGGATGGAGGGCAGTGGCAGGATCAGAGCTCACTGTGACCTTGACCTCCTGGGCTCAGGCAATCTGCCCATCTCAGCCTCCTGAATAACTGGGACTACAGGCGCACACCACCATGCCCAGCTAATTTTTTGTATTTTGGATAAAGACAGGGTTTCACTATGCTGCCCAGTCTGGTCTCAAACTCCTTGGCTCAAGCGATCCACCTGCCTTGGCCTCCCAAAGTGCTGGGATTACAGGCATAAGCCACTGCACCTGGCCCTAAAATGAAACACTTTAAAAGACAATGAAAATGAATTTATTGAGCTTCAACCTTATGTTTCAAACTCCATGCTACTTCAGTTTCCCAAACATATGTAGAGTATCTATGACTGGTGATCAAAGATGGATAAAATTTCAACATCAAATAGTTCAAAATCTAGTGGAGAAAAGACCTCTAAGCAGATAATTACAATACACCATAGGAAGTTCAGACTTCTGTAGTAGGAGGTATAGGATTGTAATACAGAAATAAGGCTTTTTTTGGGATGGGGGAAGGTTGAGGACAAGAATAAATTTAGAAAATAACATCAGTGAATGCTCCCTGGTAGAGGCAATGGGTAAGTAAATTGGAATTAACCAGTTTGGTAACAGGATGGAATATAGGTAAAATAGAACTGCAATATTAAATATATCGAAAGAGCAAGCAGATGGTATATGTAAGAGAAGTCAAGAATTTTGATGTCCATTTAATATAAAGTACAAAATATAAAGAATTAGGGCCAAAGAGAGTACATAAACACTTAACCCTAGAGGATTTCCTATGCCATGTTAATGAGCTTGACTTTTATGTTCCAGGCCAGGGGCTCTCCAATTTTAATGGAATATGAATGCATATTCTGGAATCCTAACCCCAGAAATTCTGAATTAGCAGTCCAGGCCAAGGCGTAGGAATCTATAATACAATTTAAAAAACAGCCGGGCGCAGTGGCTCATGCCTGTAATCCCAGCACTTTGGGAGGCTGAGGTGGGCGGATCACAAGGTCAGGAGATCGAGACCATCCTCGCTAACAAGGTGAAACCCCGTCTCTACTAAAAATACAAAAAATTAGCTGGGCGTCGTGGTGGGCGCCTGTAGTCCCAGCTACTTGGGAGGCTGAGGCAGGAGAATGGTGTGAACCTGGGAGGCAGAGCTTGCAGTGAGCCAAGATGGCGCCACTGCACTCCAGCCTGGGTGACAGAGTGAGACCCTGTCTCAAAAAAAAAAAAAAAAAAAAAAAAAAAATATATATATATATATATATACACACACACACACACACACACACACACACATATATACATATATATACACATATATACACACATATATATACATATATATTACATATACATATATATATATATATATACACACATATACATATATATATATATACCAAGTAACTCTCGAACAGGTGGTTTTCAAATCACGGGAGAAACACGATCAACAGGCTCCCTAATAAGTTTTACACAATAATGAAGTAATCAAATTTACATTTTACAAACTTCACCCTGACACCATGGACAATCAATTTAAGGAAGACTAGAAGAAGCAAACAAAATAGAAGGTTATTAATGTAGTTGTGAAATGACTCAACTAAGGTAGTGGCATTAGATATAAAAAATTCCAACTAAGAGATAAGATGTGTAAAGTGTGGAACTAGGTGACTAATAGCATTTAGAAAGAGTAAGGGAGATAGATGATACAGCCTAGGATGATTTCTTGCTACGATTCTTATATATGGAGATTTAAAATATATGTGCATTACATCAAGTTATCAGGGGGAACAAGCAAGTAAACATTTGTTCAATCGCGTTCTCTAGTCTGACAGAGTCTGGTAAACTTTCCTTAATAGTCTGCAAATACATTTGGAGATAAAGTACTTAAACATCACTTACCCTTGTTCCTTCTTCAGCTGTTTCTAAAATCTCACATTTAGACCATGTGTTTCTTAGACTTGACCACACAACACATTTAGATCCAACAGTAAAGGCTTTCAGAGTGTAGGTGTTCTGTAGTTGAGCTGCCAAATTGAATTGAGTAAGACTCAATGCATATCTCTTAATTCCTTAATGTAACATACACAAGCAAAGCATTTTCCTAATCTGCATTATTTCTATATCATCAATATCATGTAATTAGTACATTGGTATGACTGTCTCCCTCAATTTTGTTTAAAATTCTTACAGTGCCCGCCCCCCCATATAATCTCTTATTGCTTTTCTAAACCAACAAACCAAACAAAAAATCACCACAAGGATGTGAATTTGATTTCTAACAGTGAAAATCGCTAATAAAATATGGTACTATTAAGACAAGTGGTGTTTTTTATACTTACAACAGCCATTTCTATAAGAAAGCAGCATGTTACAAATGAGCAGACATTCTTATCACAGAGTTAATACTATTATTAAATATGACAATGAGGAATAAATATCTAATGCAAGGGTAATACTTAAATAACTTATGTGTTACCCATAGGATGGCATACCATGCAATTAAAATATTTTGAAAGCATTTTTAAGGGACTAAAATGCAGGATTCAATACTGTATGATAGTATGATCTAAATTGTTTTTAAAACTATATAGTAGACATACACAAAGACAGTAAAAGACAACAAAAAGAAAATACATCATGGTGTTAACATTGATCACTTCTTGTTGATTTTCATTCTCACTATTCCATTATTTTCCTTATTTTTACAATGGTTCAAATTTAATAATATAAAAATTGACATTTAAAAAGTATAGCATTGATTATAAAAAGCTAAAAGTTACCCATTTAACAATTCTTTTTAAGTAGCAAACAGTAGTAAAAATAATTTATAAAAAAGTTAATAAATGTTCTCCAAGATTTACACATGAAACAGTTTTTGATTAATATAGGCTACCTAAATCTATTTTTTTTCTTTAAGGGTTTCTAATGAATTGCAAGATCAATGCATGATACAGTTAAGTCTAAAAGACCCTGTTGAAATAATCCTTAGTGTAAATTAATGCCTGTAGTAGTGCCATAAATTTGGCAAGGGAATACCATGTTTTATAAAACTTACCAACACATGCCCTCTTGATTATAAATGTGATTACATTTTAAATGTGATTACCTTTTGGAGACTAATAGATTTCAAGCATTCAACTTTTAAACACAAAACTAATATTTCAGTGTTTCTTCCAGCACATATTTTGCACTGATTTCACAATATATTTTCCCCAAGTTTAAAATGCCCTTCATAAAATCCAATCTGATTCACTTTCCAGGTTTTTAATCTCTTACAAAAAATTATTTTTTAGAAATCCATATAAGAATTATTCTCTTTTCTTTAAAACAAATAACAACTCTGGAAAGTCACTATGTTAAACTTAAAAGTAAAAGCACACTTTGGGAGGCTGAGGCAGAAGGACTGCTTGAGCCCAGGAGTTTGAGACCAACCTGGATAACATGACAAACCCTGTCTCTACAAAAAACAGAAAAATAAGCTGGGTGTGGTGGCACACACCTGTAGTCCCAGCTACTTGGGAGGCTGAGGTGGGAAAATCACTAGAGCCTGGGAGGCAGAGGCTGCAGTGAGCCAAGATCACACCACTGCACTCCAGCCTAGGTGACAGAGCAAGACCCTGTCTCAAAAAAAAAAAAAAAAAAAAGTAAAAAGGAAAAAAAATTCACATACCTGAGATATGATCTGGTAAACCATTATTGTGCTTGCTTCCATCACTGCTTTCTTCCTCAGAGAACAAAGGCATCAATGCCGAAATGGCATCCCTGTTTTTATACTCTACAAATTCTTCTTCACATATATTCATTTCATTCTGTGTTTTAGGATCACAATCTGCTCCATGTAGATGCAATGACATCCTGCGCTGGTCATCAAAAGATTCTACACAACTTGACTTTCTCATGTCCTCAGTACACATGGATTCCTGTGCTTTCTGACTAACTCCTAAAGACAAAGGATCCATCTTGTCATCTAAAGGCAGCTGGGCTGTAGGTAGTTCTAGTTCTGGCTGTTTCTCAGCTTCACAGCTGAGAGGAAGCTGCAGTGTAAATAGCTCCATGGCGCCTTTTGTGACACACTCTTGGGAGAGTGGCACATTCGGTGGCACCGGGCTTAGCTCCCCTTTTTCTTCATCCACCACCAGAGAATTCTGTAACTCAATAGATTCCAGTTCTAAGAATTCTTTTGATTCATCATCAGGAGAAAGCGGCACCTCAAGTGAATTCAGTTCTAGTATCTCCTTTGTTTCATTAGCATGTGGTAGTAATGTGTTAAATCCTGTAATCAGGTATTTATCATCAAACTCTGCTTTGTCAACCAGATGGCACTCTAATTCACCTTCCAGTTCCTCAGTATCAATTTTATCTTTGCAGGGGTTTTCAAACCCTTCACAAATGTTATCAGTTTTAGGGTCACGGAAGTTACTTGGTTTGGTTCCAATAATGTTTACATCTTTTTCAGTTATTTCAGCAAGCTCATCTGTCTGTTGTTCCATATATATTTTATTTTGTACAGCTTTATTACTTAATTTCTTAAGTCCTACATCAAGATTGTAGGACCCAAGAGTCTGCTTTATCTCTGAGTCAATATTTTCATAGGGAAGAGCACTTTTAATACCAGTCTTAGAATATTTCTCCATTTTCTCATTAATACTTTTACCTTTGCTTTTCAAGTCAACAATTGCTAAAGGGATATCACAAACATCCCTTCTGATTTCTAGTATTGTTATTTCCAACACATCTTCTGTTATTATTTCATAGAAATAGTCATTTCCCTCTTGAGAACATAATCCTTCTGAAATGTTAAACCCTGAGAGGCAACATGGAAAGGCTTGCATGGGAACCGACAGAAGTTCAGAAGGAATGGCCCAGAGTGCTTTTGGGTCCACACAGTCTTCAATGTTTCCAAAGTCCACAAGCCTGACAGATACAAGATAATCTTCACAAATATTAGTGATAAGTGCCCTATAATAATGTCCATCTTCTCTGTATCTTACTATACAAGGATCTCCAATATAAGGACATGGGATACAATTTCTCCTGTCTGCTACCTGTTCTCCAGCAGTCTGTACTTCTACTTCTAAACACTGAAGTTTCTCCGTATCAGCAAACTGACACCAAAAGTACTCAGGTCCATCTATCACAGTGGCATAAGCTCTTATCATTTTTTTTTCTGGATTATACCAGTTAAGAAATACTGAAGTGTCAATGTCTGATTTGTTAACAGACTTTGAACTGGCACTTTTAATTACTTGGGTAGAAAGTTCTACTTGAGATTTTTCACTGAGAGCATACCTGCTAATCATATCATCTGCTATGATCCCATGTTCATCAGCAAGAATAACTTCCCATCTGTCTTGAAATTTAACAAATTCACATCTTATTGCAGCCTCGCTGGTCCGTTGGGAAAAGTAATGCATCATTTTCTTAGAATTTTTATTGTCAGGAACCTCAAATCCCTGCAAGGAGCAATGAATGCACAACCCCGGCAATATTGCATTAACAAGGTCAAGCCTACCTATTTTGTTAGTATGAACCACAGAAACATTGCCATAATCTATAAACTGCACAGAGAGAAGGTCATTGGGTTGTTGCTCCTTGATCACAGCACGATACCATAAATTATCTTCTGGGAAAACAGCACATATCATATCTCCTCTTTGCAAAGGTGGACCTACATAATATTCGGGCCTTGTTTTAACACTGTTTAATCTCTCTGAAAGATGACTAATTTCAGCTTCATCTTCTATTAGTTGAACATAAAAGTCTGAAAGGTCATTTATATGAGAAACATATACAGTTGTTTTAAATCCAGGCATTATAGTCTTCTGTGGGAACTCACAAAATTTCAGAGGCAAATCTTTGTCACATGAATCTCCTATTTTTCTCTCTGAAAGAGTAGCTTCTACTCTTGCTGTTTTCAAGGGTGTCTCAGCAGAAATTTCTTCTTTCTTTTCTGTTGTTAATGGAAACACTTGACTATTTTTATTTCCCACAGAGTCTTGATATTGAGTGACTAAGTTTGTTTTTGTTAAACTTTGTAAAAGTTTGAGTTCCTTGTATGATGAGTTGATCTGAGGTTTATATGACTCTTCCAAAATTTCTTTATTAGGTAACTTGTACCCTACTGATTTACTTAAATACTCTGTACATGGCAACTTCATATTCTCATTTTTTTCTTCAAGAGTTTCAGTTGTAGAACAGAGGACTTCACTTTCTTTTTTTCTTATTCTATCTTTGTAACTAAGTAGCCCCAACTTCTTATTAATACTAGCACTAATTTGAATATTGTCACCATATAGTTCTATAATCAGTGTTCCATCTGGATCTTTTGCTACAACTAAAGCCTTCAATGACTTATCTAAAATAGTCTCCTGAAACCACACCACCACTTCTTCTGGTATATGATCAGGAATATCAGATAATGAACATCTGACAGCTTGCATGGGCAAAAGTAAGACATCATATGCATCACTAGGTATTGGAAGCAGATCATCACTTGTTACTACATAAATATTCCCAAAATCAACAAAGAAGACTTTCTTTGGCTCTTTCTCTATTACTATGCCCCTATACCAGTTTCCATCAGTATACTTGGCAAGGCACAAGGTTCCAGGGTTCAAGGGAGATGTTTTTAAATTCAGCAAAACTTTACTTAATTGTGTAATACTACATGACAACTGTTCTAAAATATTTGCATTTCTTGCCAGCTGGCAATAAAATGTCCAAGGGTCATCAATATGCGTTATATAAACTAATTCTTCACTTCCAATTTTCATATCATGTGTAGAATAGAAGTAGGAATGTAGCTGAACAGAGGACTCCAAAGGCTTCTGAAGTTTTACTGGTCTTGCAAGTCTCTTTTCTACCAAGAAATGGCATGCACTCTGAAAGGGGGTTAGCAAATCCACAATGTTAAACAGTTCTTCATTAATTGAAGCCAGAGCAAATATTGTACATTTTAATTCTAGATTTTTTTGCCATGCATTATCTATAAATTCATTGAAAGCTTGTATTGCCTTTACATCCCAAACAAAGGGATTCTGGCCAACTGGTTGAATTAAATTATAAAGACTGCACCTAAAAGCCTGTGCCTTAACCTTCAGAAATTCTTCACTAATTGAATAAATATTCTTCACAGATACCATTTCTCTGTCTCCATAATCTACAAATGTTACATTGACATGCTCCACAGACTGTATCCCACTAATAAGTGCTCTGGACCACTGTCTGTTTACTGTTCGCTTAGCCAAACAAGCAAGGGTGTTTCTCTGGTGAGGAGCAGCTGTATTTTTGCAATAGTACTGAATATCAGACATTAGAGTTTTAAGTCCTTGTATGTTCCTGGTCAGCTGACACCAGAAATAGCCAGGGTTTTCAACATAAGACACTCTGACTTCTACTGTACTTCCAACTTCCAGCTCTCCTTTACTAGAGGAGCCTGGCTTAATTTCCAAGCAATTCTGCATAAGAGGAAAATAAACAGATGCTCTTTTCACTTTTTCCTGCACAACTAGTTCAGTTGAACCATTTGTTACAACTGTTGTGTCACTCAAAGCTTTTGAAACAGATGTGGTTTTATTCTCTCTCTTGGCTTTCTGCTCTCCTTCTCCAGTCTTGGCAAAAGGTATTTTGTTACTCTCCGTAGTAAAGTGGTTTGAAACATGCCCTGGGGAGTGGGCATTTACCAGGATATTTTCCTTTGTTTCAAATTCCTGATACTTGGCATATCCAGCTTGGGCAATTACCTTACTAATGTTTTCTTCCCCTGTTCTTGATTCGTCAAGAATCTCAATAACATATTGATGATCCTGTTTATCAAGAATATGGATGACTAATTCTTTGTGGAGCACAGTCTTTTTAAAAAAGGAAACTGCCTCCTGGCTCCAAGTTTTTCCCAAAGGCCAAATATCAGCCAGGGTGCACTTCACAGCCAATATTGGTAGCTGCCTAAACTGAGGAAGCAGCATCCTTACGTCATACCAGTCCACATTTTCCGAATTGCCTCGGTCAACTAAGAATACATCCACACTCTTGTCATCCAATTTGGTGACTATGGCCCTATAATAACCATTTTCTTTCCACTTGACACAGCAAAGGTCATCAGGTTCAGGTTTCAAAACTACACCATCCAGCTTACTGGCAGAGGAATAGAAACCACACATTCTCCTCATCAGCTTACTGAAGGTGACATTGTGTTTCCTCAACCTAATCCAAAACTCAGAAGGATTTTTAACAAACTCTACCTGCGCATCGTAGAAGGCATTCATCTTTAACCTGATAGATCTTAAGGCTGGGAGTGAAATCTCTTCATCTACTTCTTCAGCAGGAGACTGAGACTGAGATGTTTCTGGTTCCTCCTCCTCTGTTGCCTGGCTCTGAAGGACTCGGTCAGCCAAGCAACACGACTGTACTCCAAACACACGGTTCAGATTAATCCCATCTTCTCCATACAGGCTGACATAATACACATGCTCAAAGGAGCAATAAAATTCAATCTTTGCATTCACTGCCTTGCCTAGTATCAGTGTCTTCAGGTCACCGACCTGTGACCGAGACCAGCCTCTCCCACCGTCCCAGAGTCCATACAAAGCACAAGGGTAGGTCACCACCGGCATTCGAAAATATTCAGGCAGCAAGTACCGAAGGCTGCTGCAACTCACTAACTCCTTCCTTCCATAGTCCACATGAAGCACCTGGGCACAGCGCTGGGGCCGAAAAGTCTCAAGCAACAGTGCTCTGTACCAATGTCCATCCAGGCCACAGGATGCACACGGAGAGCCCGGCTTATCTGGGCTCTCCTCCCTCTCCTCCCAGGTGGCACTGGTAGAGTTCTCATCCCCTGTCCCCGTGGAACCCCGGTATACCTGGGCCATGCTCTCGGAGAGGCGGTGGATCTCCTGCGAGACGCTGCGGAGCTGGCAGTGAATGCGGTGGGGATGGCACACTTGGGTTATGACCACGGCCTCCGTCACGCCCAGCTGCAGCTGGGGATAGAAGTAATCCAGACCAGGCTGCTTTTGCTTGAGCGGGACTCGCGAGAGAACCGGGACCCCGGAGCCCACGCTAGCAGTGGCCGCTGTGAGATAGCGCTCCAGCAGCGAACGGAAGAGGCTGTCGGGCACCCGCCGAGCCAGGCCCAGCTCCCGCATCTGTTGGAACACATCAGGCACCTCCAGGAGGACCAGGCGATGGAGCAGCAGCACGTCCAGGACGCACCCGTGCACCTCCTTGCCCTGAAGGTTGCTAAGGAAGTCCACGGCGTCGGCGGGCCAGTGCTGCGGCGGCTCGCCTGAGCCCGCGCCGCAGCCTGCCGGCACCAGGCCCGCTAGCACGCAGCCCAGCACTTCCGAGGGCAAATTGAAGAACTCTCTGCGCCCAGGCGCCAGCGAGCCTGCTCCGGCCGTGATGGTGCGGCCCTCGTCCAGCAGGAAGACACGGCTCTCCTGTGCCTGCCGGCTGACCACGCGGCAGCGGTGCCACAAAAGCCCGACCTGCACCAGGCACAGCTCGCCGGGCGAGGCCGAGGCGCTGCCCAGCGCCCACTGGCCGCGCGTGGCCGCCGCTTCCTGGATTTCCCGGCTCAGCCGCAGGTACTCGCCCCGCCGCTCGCCCACCAGCCCCCACAGCTGCACCGGGATCACATCGGGATGCACGTCCACGAAGGACACCCGCAGGGCCAGCGAGGCCCCCGGCGCCGGCATTCCGGGCGTCGAGCACATCTTGACGGCGCGGCGCGGCCCCCACTTCCGGAAATTAAGGGCCGCGCCTCAGGGCCTCGAAATCCTCCGCGCCGCCTGAAGGCGAGTCCCAGCCAAACTAGGTTCAAAGGACCCAGTGGAGGGGAAGAATGCCGGCGAGGCCTTTTCTCGGCAACTCCCCCGTCGAGGGTCCTCCGGGACTCCCGCCACGGACTGGTAAGACCCGGTAGCCCCTCCAACCGCCCGAGGTCGCGCTTCCGGGCACGCATTTACCTCACTCGGCGCCGCCACTTCCGGCCGCGGAGAGTGGGCGGGGCCAGCCGAGGCCTGGGGTTGGCCTAACGCCTAAGGGCCCAAGGAGCTTGTTGGGACGTTCAGGAGACCCCGAGGTGGGAGGTTTTGGACACAACCTGCATCTCCTCAGAGCGCCTTCGACTCTGGAGGCCGCCGTGTGACGGCCTGACACAGGGCTGCGGTGAGGACCGACCAGAGAGGGATTTCCTTTTCGTCCTCCCAACTACCAGGGATTGAGCACTGGGGGCCAGGCAAGGTACTAGCCAGTGGCGTTCCCGACGGGAACGAGAAACGCAGGAGCCAATGGCACGTTCCTAGGCGTTAAGGCCGGAACTCTAGGAGGGCCCTGGGTGCTGCTGCGGGGCACGGGTGCTCCTGCTGGCTCAGTGTGTCCGTGGACAGCCAGGTGCTCAGCCTCTATTCTTTAACCCTGTTCCATCATCTGAATTGATAAGAGTTGTTATGAGGTTAAAATAACGTGTGAAAGTATATAGCAACTGGTACATATTTCCCTTCCCACACTTAGCTGATACGGGTTCCTTTGCTCCTTTGCTGTCTAACTCTGGCATCCCAATTTTGAAGGCATTTTCATTTACTCACAGAGCTAGCACAGAACTGGATTCATAAAAGGAGGCCAAGAGGAATGGAATCAACATTCCTTCAAGCCCCTGCTGTATATACTAAAATCTTAACAGGATAACCCTTTGAGGCCTCTGTTAAATGTCCAAACCTCCATTTGGAATGGAAAAGTGCAGGCAAACTAGAAGTTTCCAGGATATGTCTACATTAGATTTTTGTTCATTTGCAAAGTTAGACACATCCGTGGAAGCTTCTTATAGTCTGCCTGTACTTTTCCTTTCATTCCACGTTTCGAAATGTCATTACATACAAATACAACAAGGCAGTGCTTCAAATGACCCTGGCCTAACTGTAAATCTCAGTGTCTTCAGTCTGTCCAGATTAGAGGCAACCATGTGCTTCCACATCACCCTATGCTTACTTTTTCACGGCACTTTTCACATTGTGTGGCAACTGTCTGATCTCTATCATCCCACCAGCCGACAGGTTCCCTTTGGCAAGTACCGTTTGTTGGATTCTCGGAATCTAGCTTGGAGTGAAGGCAATGAATATTTGCTAAATGAATATGAATGAATGAATGAATGAATCCAATTTCTCTAAAAGCCAAAGCTTTTCTTTTCCTGAAGAACTCATCCTTGAAAACTCAATTTTCCCATTTTTTTTCTAATTGTTTCATATTCATTATGGAAGAAAAACATTTTATTTAAAAACATCTAGCAAGACCTAGCTCAAACGTCGTTTCCTCGTGACCCTACTATTCAACCTGGCAGAATTGGTTATTCCTTTTTTTTTTTTTTTTTACATACTTCTATATTATTATATTTTGTAGCTCTCTGTTTGCCACAGTAGGAACATCTTAAAAGCAGGAACACTTCTCATTTATTTTTATGTTCTCGATGCCTAGCCAGTGCTGGACTGTTAGCATCCAGTAAATCTTAACAAGAGTAAGCAATCTAACACTATGGCCTTTACAGTGGAAAGAAGGAATTCATTATAAAATGGTCTTATGATCACTTGAAATTGTTTTATCATTACATGGAATAATGGAGACTTTAATCCATCATCTATTTCAGGTTCATGTAGTATAACCAAACTCCTTTGTAGACCACAGGGTTGTAGATATTATGACTTTCTGTATTTCATTTGTCCTCCAACCTCCTTCCATGGCTCATGGCCTTAATCCTAGGACGTCAGGGTATATCACGTGGCCGTTATGGGCTGATCTGAATCCTTTACCCCCATCCACCCAGATTTTCCAATGTCCTACCTTTTCTGTATCTGGAGCAGGTAGCATTAGTTTGTTCTGTCATGCTCTGCTGTTGGACAGGGACTCGGGTTAATTTTAAAAATCAGGTCATTGCACTGTTAAGATTAAGCTCCCCTCATATATCTCCCATACTATATTAAACAAAATATCTTGAGTTTTATAATAAATAAACTTTCCTCCCATTAGTCTTGAGAGGCCCTTGGTTTCGGAAAAGAAGGGAGAGGGGATTTTTTTTTTATTATTATTGTACTTTAAGTTCTGGGACATTATGTACAGAACGTGCAGATTTGTTACATAGGTATACACATGCCATGGTGGTTTGCTGCACCCATCAACCCATCATCTACATTAGGTATTTCTCCTAATGCTATCCCTCCCCTATCCTTCCACCCCTTGACAGGCCCCGGTATGTGAAGTTTGGGAGAGAGGATATTCTTATCCTAATACAAATACGTAAGGGATAAAGGGGGAAAGGTTAAGGCCAGGGATGGAATGTGTATGACAGGTGTTTGAATACTAATATTATGAGCCACTTCAATATTTTTTATGGAAACGATGCAGGAAAATTGGGCTAAATAAATCATACTTATTTTGTGCTGTCTTAGGCCTCTGTGTATAGAGAACTCTAAGCAGAAATGCAGTATACTTTACAGTCTATAGTTTCTATACTACTAATTGACTTTGTTTAAAGTTGCTTAGAAAAATTAACATTTACTGGATATTTTTAGAAAACAGTTCAAGTAAGAAATACCCTGTTAGGAGAATGAAAAAGACAAGCTACAGACAGGGAGAAAATATTTGCAAACCACACGTCTGACATAGGACTTGTATCTATAATAGATAAACGACTCTCGAAACTCAATAGTAAAAAAAATAAATTTGAAAATAGGCAAAAGATATGAAGTGGCATTTCACGGAGGAGGATGTACAGATGACAAAGAAGAATATGAAAAGATTTTCAACATCATTAGCTATTAGACAAAAAAAAAAAAAAACCCACAATGTTATATCACCACATGCCATGGTAATGACTAAGCTAAAAAATCGTGATAACACCAGTACTGGCAAGAATGTGAATAAACTGCATCACTTATGTTGCTGGTAAGAATGTAAAATGGTACAGCCACATTTTAAAAACTATGTACTTGCCATATGACTGAAAAATTGCATTTAGGCATTTATCCCAAAGAAAGGAAACATGCTCATGCAAAAACCTGGAACCCAAAACTGGAAACAACCTAAATGCCCTTCGATGGGTAAATGGTTAAACAAACTGTGGTACATCAATACCAAAGGGTCCTACACAGCAATAACAAGGAAAATGAATTATTGATGTGAGCAACAACTTAGGAAGGTTCTCCGTAGAATTTTACTGAGTGAAAAAAAAATAGTAAAAGGTTACATACTGCATTCTATTTACATAATATTCTTAGATTAATAAAATTATAGAGATGGAGAAAAGATTAGTGGCTTCCAGGAGTTAGGGATGGGGAAGAAAAGGGTTGAAAATGCCTATAAAGGGATAGCATCAGGCATGGACTGATGAACTGTTCTGTATCTTGTGTGCAGTGATAGTTATCAAAGCTACACAAAGGTGATGAAATTGCATGGAATGACACACACACACACACACACACACACACAAATGTGTGCTTATAAATTAGTGACTTTGGAATCTGTGGATTGTACCAATGTCAATTTGCTCCTGGTTTTGATTGTGTACAACAGTCATGGTATATCCCTATACGTTTTTCTTTGGAAACTTTATGAAAATCTAAAATTATTTCAAAATAAAAAGCTTTTAAAAATTTAAGATTTCAGTGTCACAAAATACAATTTTATTAGAATACACACACAGACAATTCAAGACCAGATCATTATAGGGGGCAATGAGAGTAGAGAGAGCATAGTCTTTTGAATTACAGCAGGATTGGCCTCCATTTGTAAGAGCCATGTGACCCAGGCAAATAATTTACCCTCTGTTTCCATATCTGAAAATGGATATAACGGCATACACCTTACACTTTGGTTCCAAGGACTGCATGAATTAATGTAAATACAGTTAACATGTTTGCATTAAATAAATACTTGAGATGCAGCAAAACATAGTGGGAAAGGAAGGGCTTTAGATTTTGAAAGTCCATGTTTATCATCTCAGGGTGACATGGATAATAAAATTTTCAGAGTTAGGTTCTCTTCATCTATAAAAATGGAACTATACTTAAATATGAAGACGAAATGAGCCAATATGGGTAAAAGACCCACCACAGGAAACATGTAATAAGTTGTAGTTATTAGTGATATGAATGAAATTAAAACTTAAAAAATATGTTCTCTCCTAGGATTCTTAAAGATTAAAAATCTTAAATTAGGTTTTTTAAAAATTTGGTCTATTTAGGCATAATTTTTGTACAGTAAAACTCACACTTTCATATTGTAGTTTGATATTTTGACAAATGTTTACAGTTTTATT
Organism: Homo sapiens; assembly: GCF_000001405.40. Lineage (NCBI taxonomy): Eukaryota > Metazoa > Chordata > Mammalia > Primates > Hominidae > Homo > Homo sapiens. The sequence goes on along the minus strand of NC_000006.12, from coordinate 46,683,536 downwards.
CCCTTAAATAGTGTCTTTTGAAGAAAATTTGTAATTTTGATGAAATCAAATTATTCACATATTTTTCTTTTCTAAATGGTAGTTTATTTTGTTGTTATTGTTCCACTAAATCTTTTACTAACCCAAGGTAAAAAAACAAAACAAAAACCCACAAAACAAACTTTCAATGTTTTTGTTTAGAAGTTTTATAATTTTGGCTCTTGTATTTAGGTCTATGATTCATTTTAAATTAACTTTTTGTAGTGAGGTAAGGGTTGAGGATTTTATTTTTATATATGGATATCCAATTGTTATACTGCCATTTGTTGCAAAGACTATACTTTCCAGTTAAGTTATCTTGGTGCTTTTGCCAAAAATTAATTGACCATATGTATGTGAGTTTATTCTTTGACCCTTTATTCTGTTCCATCAATCTATATATCTGTCTTTGTGCCAATACCCCTTTGTTTTGATTGTTTTCTAAACTGCTTAAAAGCCAATTTTAAAATTAAGTAATATGAATCCTCTTTGTTCTTTTCCCTCAAAATTGTTTTTGATTTTCTATATGTATTTTAGAATATACTTGTCAACTTCTGCAAAAAAATTTGAAGGCTGCTGGGGTTTTATTAGAATTGCTTTGTAGGTAGAGATCAATTTGACAATAATTAACTTTGGAGCAATACTGAGTCTTTTAATCCATGGACACAGTTCATTGCTCTACTAAAATCTTTAATTTCTCTCAGTAATGTTTTATATTTTTCAGTGAACAAATCTTGTACACATTTGTTAGATTTATCCCTAAGTTTTTAATGTTTTTATGCTATTGTAAATAATATTAATTTTTAAATATTTTAGTCCCTAGTTTTTCATTGCCAGTATACCAAAATATATTTTTGTATATTGGCCTTATATCTTGTGAATTTGCTAGGACTTCATTATTAATTCTTGTAGCTTTTGGTAGATTCCTTGGGATTTTTTTTATATATGTAATTATATCATCTGTGAATAAAGGCAGTTCCATGTCTTCTTTTCTAATATATGTGCCTTTTATTTCCTTTTCTTGCTTTACTGCAATGGCTAAGACCTTCAGTACAGATTAGAATAAAATGGTAAGAATTGATATTGCCTTGTTCCTGATTTAAGGAGAAAGTCTTTCACAAATACGATGTTAGCTACAGGTTTTACTTAGATCCTTTTTATCAAGATGAGGAAGTTTCTTTTTTACTCATGTAAAAATTTGAGAATTTTTACATCAAATACTGTTGAATTTTATCAAATACTTTTTCACATTCTGTTGATATATGTTTTGTTTTGTTCTGTTAATTGGATGAATTATATTGATTTTTTAGGATGTTGAACCAATTTTGTATTCCCAGGATAAGTCTCACTTAGTCATGATGTATTATACTTTATATGATGCTGGATTCAATTTGCTAATATTTTTCACATCTACGTACATGGATTTTTAAATTTTCTGTTTATTGTGGTAAAATATACGTAAAACAAAACTTACCATTGAAACCATTTTAAAGTGTAGAGCTCAGTGGCATTAAATATATTCACATTGTTGTACAACCATTACCACTATCCATTTCCAGATTTTTTTCATCATCCCAAACTGAAACTGTACACACTAAACAACTCCTCATTCCCTCCCCACTATTCGAAACTGTCTTTATGAATTTTCATTATTCTAGTACCTCAAGTAGAATCATGTATGTATTCACTTTTGCCTGGCTTATTTCACTCAGCATAATGTTTTTAAGGTTCATCCATGCTGTAGCATGTATTTCCTTCCTTGTTATTACCTTCTTAACTCAGAACTATATCAGGACAAAACAAAACCCGTGATAACAAGCAATTAGGCACTTTAAAATATTTACTTTTAAAATCAGAATAACACAGTTTATTTACTCACATATATTCCTGTTTGTTACCAGATATTTTCAGCAAACAGACATCTTTAAGCATCTTCATCTGCTTTTATCAAACCTTCAACTGGCTCCTGCTGCTGTTGACAATCACAGCAGCCTGTTGGGGGTAAAGTATGGGGAGAGAAGAAAGTAATGTATTCCTCAAAATTCAGAAATAATAAAACACTTGAGTGGGTAAAATGTTCATGTATATGGCATCAATGAAGGCCAAATAGTGATATAATTTCCATACATGCTTTAAAATCACATATTTATTAACTGTTAGTCAATTATATATTATTTAAAACTATCAAATTCTCAATTTTATGGAATAGCTATTAAACAGATGAAGATGATCCTTAAAATTATGACATGTTTTAAACACACATGATCATTTAAAAACATAATTAAGCATTTAATATGGTAAAAAATTTCATAAAATCAGAAGTGTTATTGACCCAACATAATTATTCTGAAGAAGAGAACAAAATGATTTAATCATGTGTATAAATGTCTTTCTCCCCACTCTCCAAAAAACCCTCTCAATTCAACAGATACCTTCAGAGTGGCTCCTATTTGAAGTTTGTAAGGGATACAAAGATGTGTTACATGGTCCTTGCTTTCAAGCAATACATTTTGTGTAGGGGACGCTGATATGTACATCTATGTAGTAGGGGAAGCAGTGGGAGAAAGGGGGTACTGAAGATACTGAAGGCTTCAGAGAGGAAATAGTAGGTGATTATTTTAGATAACTGAGGTAGAATTTAACCAATACAAATAAAGATGAATAGGTGGTGGTGGTGGGAAGAAAGGTAGATGGAGGGAACAGAATAAACTACATAGAAAAGCAGCAAGTATAGTGCATCTCCAGGGAAATAATTAGAGCAATGCATTTCCAAGGAGGTAGGGTACAGGTATGCAGTGAAAGGTAAAAGTGAGAAAAATGGGCTGGAGTCAGGTTGAGAGGGTCTTGGATATAGCATTAAAGGTTTTAATTTTTAGTATGTGTGTATATAGGAGAAATTGAAGGTGAGAATATGCCCAAAGTTGCCCCATGGAAGACGACTGTGCTTCCCTGTGAAGAATGGATTTCAGGGTGACAGTCCAGACACGTCAGAAGTCTGTATTGTACTTTAAGGTCTGAATAATTTTTCCCCATCTTGAAATATGAGAATATAAACCCAAGCATAAAGAATCCTAATGACATTTTTAAAATTCTATTTTTTTAAACATCACATCAATATGGCTCCCTTTAGGTATACACAGGTTAAGATTCTAGAGTTCAATCACTTCAGCTTTTCTTTTTTTTTTTTTCTTTCACGGACAGAGTCTCCCTCCGTTGCCCAGGCTGGAGTGCAGTGGTGTGATCTCAGTTCACTGCAACCTCTGCCTCCTGGGTTCAAACAATTCTCCTGTCTGAGCCTCCCGAGTAGCTGCGACTACAGGCGCATGCTAATTTTTTGTATTTTAGTAGAGACGAGGGTTTCACTGTGTTGCCCAGGCTGGTCTTGAACTCCTGAGCTCAGGCAGTCCGCCCGCCTTGGCCTACCAAAGTGCTGGGATTACAAGCGTGAGCCACCGCGCCCGTCCCACTTCAGCTTTTAAGGAAATGGGAATTCAGAGAAGTGGAGGGACTTGATCCTAGTTATACTCTTCTGTCAGAAGTAGAACCCAAAATAGGATAAAGATCTTTAGATTCTGGGTTCAGTCTTTCTTCCACATTATCTGACATTCAATAATAATATATATTTGCTGGGTAGTCATCTTTAAAGAGTCTCAGTTTAATTGGGAAGAAAAGAATTACTTATTTTCCTTTCCAAAGAAATTGTTTTAACCATCAAGTATTAAAATTGACCATTTTTTCTAGGAAAGTCCTGAAGGAATTTGTTTTCATTAATAGAAAAAATATATGTAATTATAACAACTGTAAATAAATGTGCTTGAAAATTTGAAGATGACTGAATAACAAATCCTTTCATATTTATATTGTCCTGAATTTTTATTTTTTTATTAGCAAAGTAAAAGAGAAATTGCAGACTCATATGATAGTCACAGATTCTTTTTTTTTTTTTTTTTGAGATGGAGTCTCACTCTGTCACCCAGGCTGGAGTGCAGTGGCATGATCTCGGCTCACTGCAAGCTCCGCCTCCTGGGTTCACGCCATTCTCCTGCCTCAGCCTCCCTAGTAGCTGGGACTACAGGCGCCCGCCACCACGCCCCGCTAATTTTTTGTATTTTTAGTAGAGACGGGTTTCATCATGTTAGCCAGGATGGTCTCGATCTCCTGACTTCGTGATCCGCCCACCTCGGTCTCCCGAAATGCTGGGATTACAGGCATGAGCAACCATGCCTGGCCAGTCACAGATTCTTAAAACAATAAAGATAAAATTAATTGATTCATGTTATACGTAGCTGTAATCATTTTTTCTTAATAGCAAAGAAATGCTACTAAAGAGAGCAGAGATTTATATAAAAATGGAAGATGTATACCTACCCACTAGTAGCTTACAATCAAATAGTATTGGGAGCACTTGAAAAAGACATGTTATTCCATATTGAAAGCAAACTTAATAAATGTTATCCCTTTAATTATATATAAATTAATTCATATATAATTTATATCATATATGGCAAATTTAGTCTATAATTATATATACTAATTCATTTATACATATAAAAAACTACATAATTAAAAATAAGTATATGCATTTTCAGTAAGAAAAAAATCATTTGAGAGGAGAAAAAATAGAGAAATACCACATAGAGTAGTACTATAAGTAAGTGAGTTTGGAATTCTTAAGTCTGTGAGTATGGACACAAAAATTACTGAAATTTTTAATCCTTTTTATTTACTGAGGATTATTTTGGAAAACAAGATGATTCCAAGTTGGCAAAAATAAGCAATGTTCCAAAATAATCAGTAGATATGATTTCACCAGAAAATTATGAATGTGATTGGATAAGTATTGGGTATACTGGATTTGGTTAGGTTATAGAAGGTCTTCATGTTCAAGCTAAAGCATGGTGACTCCATTCTAAAATGTATGCTAGAGACAATTCAGATTCATCTAAAATGTATGAGACATAAAAATGCCATAAGGAAAAATCTGTTTTTAGAAGACTCTACTGGGTTGTGACCATGACATAAGACCCTTCCTTGGTACCTAATTAGTGAACAATAACTCTCAGTCATAATAATCATATTAGGAGAACTGTGTTTTTATCCTGGCTCTGCTACTAAGTCACTCATGAGCATAAACAACTCTACTTCTCTGAATCTCAGTTTACTAACATGTGAAATGGGAAGGTTAAATTAGATAATCCCAAGGAGTCATTTCAGGTTAAAAGTTCCTGAAATTCGTGTTGATCCAGATCCCAAGGAATGATGTCAGTGCGTAAGCAGTGTTTTCATCCCAACTCCCCGACCCCACAAAGAATAAAGCTAAATCAATTGTTCACGGTCCAGGTTGGATGCAATTATTTTGATCCAGTCTTTACTTAATTTTAAAAATTACAAAACATAAAAACAAACAAAATTTTCCCTAAGTGGTTCAATGCAGAACACTTGGGAAGTTAAGCATATATATATATATATATATATATATATATATATAATATTTTACAACGCAATTACATATTGACAAATTCAATGAAAAAGTAGACCATCTAAATATTTTAAGAGATTAAACTTCACATTCTCTGCAACTAGAAAAACAATAAGCTACTGCATATCAGTACATGACATTCAAATATATTTTAAAATGTACTTCCCCCTCTTAAAATGGCAGTGAGTATACATTAGTGCAACCACAAAGCACTTGTAAACTTTTTTCTGTTCAACATCATCCATGTCCATTAGAACAAATTCTGTTTGGCTGGCTCCAAGGCCTTTCTTGGGCCTGAGCTTTTCATGTTTTTCTGTGTTAACAGTTACAGCCTTTATCCATAACCGCAGCCATCCATCCAGAAATGCCCACCGTCTGAGGTTGGGAGAGCCGGTGGTATGTAGCTGAATTTGAAGAACTCTTACCTTTCTAAAATAAGAACATGGATTTGATTCAAAGATTCGAGACATAACTGTATACCATAAACAGATTTTTACTTATCACTTTTTAGGCAAGAATTTTTGCTAAACTGAGTAAGAGTCAGGCCGCTGGCAGTTTTAGTGTGATTTGTGAGTGCTCTCTCTGCCTCTCTAGAGCCCCTAGTGTCAGGTAAGGGAGATAAGAAAGGACGCATGTCAGAGTTGGCTGACTTCATATCTATCTGCCTTGCTTTTAAAATACCAATGAAAGGCTGATGTTTAACAAAAGGTGCTTTATAAAAGGATCTATACAGCTGAGTTTTAATCAAATAAGTTGTAGTTCTTAATATATTACAACTCTTGAGAGCTAGCAACATATCTGGCTTGTAACAGACTATGTAACAAGGCAAATGCTCTTCTCTTTTTTCATCAAGATTCGGTGTGTGGCTGTCAGAGGAAGTCATTAGCATGTGCAGTGGAGTGCTAACTAATTAACACAGATCTAATGAGAGGGCACTGACAGAAAGCAGCCTCTTTTCTTGAAATTCAAACATCATCTCAACTTGATTTTTTTTATCTTTCTGACAAGAAAAAGTACACCTTCCTTCAACACTAGGGAAACTCAAAATGTTTATTCATTAATTTCCATTCACCTCCCTTTAATTTACAGTATGTACGCTTTAACAATGACAGAAAAGTGAATTATCAAACTTCATTGATAAATACTGACATAACAGGTTAAATGTATTTCTTAAGCACTATGTATGTGTTCTTCCACATTCCTATCGTCTACTTCAGATCTGAAATGCTGGCTCCCTCCTGGTACTCCTCCTCTAAGCAGGCTCTTCAGCATAGAATAGCAACTCAAAGGCCAAACCTTCTTGCCCAAGGTGAAAGTGGTCAGGCTTCGATTCTTCTTTAGAAAATGCTGTGCGGGGTCTCATTGGATGGCCTTGTGAGATCCGACCAGATCACTTTTGGACAAAAAGAGGAGTCAAAGAGAACTTGGGTTTCCAGAAAAAAATAAAGTGCTGCCCCCTATAAATCAGTCTCTGTGGAATAGGTGTCTTCCTAAAGAGGTAGAAATAATAGGGGGTATGTGTTGCAGATGCCCATATTTCAATAATACTGAACACTGTATCTTTAAGGGTTGCATCTTTAGGGGTTTAAAATGGACTGACTCCACTCATCTCTCTGATTTTTTCATAAGTAAGCCAGAACACCATTGACCAAGGGGTCTGAAAGATTAACCAAAGAAGTTAGTGCATATTTCAAAGCAATTATAAATAGTCTACATATGTGCATACATATATTTGAATGACAAAGTCATTTTGCAACCACTTAGGCTGAAAACAAATATTTTGGTATTTCACCTTTGTAAAGGACTTTATAATTTACAAAGCATTTTTTATGTCTTATATATCACAGATTTCTCTAAACAACATCTTACAATAGAAAGGAAAGATATTAATATCCCTGATTTTCAGATGAGACCACTGAAGCTTAGCAGTCAAATGCCTGTTGACATGTTGTAGAGCTAGACCACAGGCTTCTGTTTTCCATTCTCAGAGTTCTTTTTATTGAACCATTACTGGCTAAAGGGCTGGGACTCAAGATGCCTGAATTCTAGGCAGGCTTTTCTATATCTAGTTTGTATATGGAGCATAAAAATAAGTCACTTTAGAACTTGAAAGTGAGGAAGGTGAAAGATTATCCATGGAGATTTAGGTCATAAAACCAACACCTGATGTCTCACAACATTTATATAAAAATTCACATTAAATAGAAAAAAGCCCTTCCAGTTCAGAAAGGCTTGTCTTTAACTTGAATGAAGGTATGGCTACATCTAAAGGAATTATAAAAGAATAAGGGTTAGAAGAGGACATAAATGCTAAAGATGTAAACTGTAAAGACACAGAGGGAAATCACAGGGTAAACACTGGAACAGAGAAAGAGTGCCTTGGATCTAATAATTCCTGCCTAATTCAGTTCTAATCAAAATTGAACAGAGAGTAGCTCTATCATTCTAGAGTAGATAAATAAGCTTAAGCAATTAGAAAATCAAATGTATTTGGTTTTGTTTGTAAAGCAAGGTTTATCTCATATTTGTTTGGAAATACTGAGCATGCTATATTAGTAAACTGAGAATTCACTAAATAGTGGATTTAGGAGAATATATCTTGGTTATTTAAAGGTATGATGACATAGATGAAATAAGGAATATAAAGCTACGATGATACCATATTCTTGTAATAAAAATGAAGTAAACCAATATACTTGGAGTTGGATGAAGAAGGTAGAGGTCTTAGTTAAGAACCCCTATGCAATCATTCTTAATTGCTGTGGTAATCAATCTTCTTCATGTTAATGACATTATAGCAACAAAATCCATAGGCAAATGAAATAAGTACTAACCAGGGACTGAGCAAAGCAAGGTCATAGTACCTCTACCCAGTAGAAGGGATCAGGATAGAGTTTAGCTAGATTTTGAATAGAGTTTTTAAAGAGTGGGAGATCATATAGCCAAAAATGTGGGTGGTATATAAATGGGATTTACCAAGCCTCTGTACAGGAGTAGCACATGTGGGCACTATGTTTGCTTGCTGATTTTCTCGCTGATACAGCTATGAGCATTGCAAATAATCCAGTGTATATGAACCCATATTGTTTCTTTTGGTCTATCTTTTGCCATAAGGCTAGAGAAAAACCAGAAGCAGGGTCCCTTTTCATGCCTGCTACTGTGGAGTTGAACATATAAGAGCTCTCTTGGGTTGATTAAGTTTACAAATAAGCTCTTCCTGTTTTGAATCTGTGTTAAGAAAGTAACCTTCTAATTATTACTTGAGTACCCATATAGCTTGAATTTAGGAAAAAACACATTGGCCAGAGGACTTGAACATCCAGATCACTTGCCAAATGTGTTGTGCAGTGTGAATGAGCCAACTATTGTGGCCTGATCATCAGTGTCAATGAGATCAGCTGAGTCGAATCTGTATTTTCAAGGCCAATTTACTTGGAAATGCTCATGAATTAGGTTTCTGTGCTCTGGGTCATGCACTGTGGCAAGTCAACCAGGCAGTGACTTTCTGGTGATCTTTGGTGGTTAGCCAGCCTTTCTTTAAATACCCCTCCACTGCTAGGAATGTCTCTTCAATTTTAAAACTTCTGTAGCTAGCTGCAGGATGTTGAGCAAATCAGTATATTGTATCAGTAAGGAGCGTAGGGTTTTGAGTGGAACAGATCTGAGGTCAGTTCCCAGCTCTGCCACATACTAGCTACATGAACTTGGGCAAGCTTCTTATACTCTGAGCCATGATTTTCTTATCTGAAAAATGAGGATAATACTGCTTGTTTTGCTAGGTTCTTATACAGTTTTAAAAAGTAATGTATGTAGAGCTTTGCACGTATTAAGTACTCTTTTTTTCCTTATTTATACTTCCTGAGTCATATGTATAAAGACAAAGGATTAAACAAAGTGGTCCCATCCTTTGTACTTAAATATTCTACTTGCCCCTCATCCCTCCTGACCCTGAGTTTGTGTTTCTGCAATGGTCTCACTCATCCTCCTAGTTTCCTGCATTAGAATTAGAAACACAGGAAGTCCCATTTGCTTTTTTCTGTCCCTCACCTTCTACATATAATCAGTTACTAAGTCCTATGGAGTTAACCATAAATGTCCCTAAAATTTATCTCCTCTCCATTTCTACAGTCATCTAACTGGTTAGATCATTGCTAGAACTTCCTTTCTTACATCCTAGCTTTCAATGCATCTACTATACGACTTCCAAAGTAATCTTGCTGTCAAACAAACCTTAGCACATTGTTCCCGGGCTTAAGCAAGTGCTCCATAGAGTTCATCTAAACTACTAGGCTTGGCCCACAAGGTTCTTCCCAACTTGGTCCTTAAGTACTTCTCTAGCCTTATCTCCTACCACCTCCCCTATGAGGACCTATTCTTCAACCAGACTGAATTTTCTGTAGTTCTTCAAAGATAACAGGCCTACACATGACATGATGCCTATGCTCATGTTGCACCTTTATATTTCTCTTGACAAACGCCTATTGATGCCTCAAAGCCCAGATCAAATATCAGCTCTGTGAAGCCTCTTGCGACTTCCCAAATATGGTCATAGCCATTTCCACTCCACTATCTGTGTTCCCACAGAGTACTGTTCATACCACTGGTAAAGCAAGAATACAACCTCCTTAATAAGGCTGTGTTATTGGGTGTCAGGCCACCTGGGTTTGATGCCCTGAACCACTCACCTGGCCAAGCTATTTAGACTTTTGATGCTTTTTGTTTCCTTCTCTATAAAAGAGGGATATGATAGTAACCTGCTGCACAGATTGTTGGGGAAATTCAACGAGTTAAGTCATGAAAATGATTAGCACAGTGTTGGCCATATACCAAGTGATTCAGTAGTATTTATTTAGTAATTTTTATTATTTCTGTAATTTTAACTACTTACATGTTTAACTTCTACATCTCATTGTAAGCTCCTCCAGTGCAAAGACTATGTTATTCCTCAGTGTTACCAGCACTTATAACAGTGCCTGGTTTATGCAGGCCAAATCAAAATTTACCTTTCCAGTAAGAAACAACCACAGTTTTGACATAATTTCAAGGTATAATCAAAACCACCAAAATAACATCTCAAACTCTGGTATACTTTTATCAGGTATTGCCAAGGGCTTTGGCTATTACTTTCATGTTAATACACAAATACCTACTATTCCTTGATGATATCATTTATTATCAACATTTCAATTACCATCTATATGTGGAAAATGCTCAAATCTAAACCTCCATCCCTGTATTCTCTCCTAAGACATAGACCAATATATTCAGTTTGTCATCTAGACATCTCTGCTTGGATGTCCTATGGGTATCCAAAATTTCATAGGTCTTAAACTAACCTTATTTTATCCCCAAATCTTCCCTGCAGATGATCCCCGTTTTAGGAAATTACATCATCATCCTCAGTTGCTCAGAGCAGGAATCTGGGAATGAAGTCTGACTTTTCCTTATCTTCTCCAACCATTCTCCCATCCCCATCCAATCAGTCATGTTTCTATTCCCTTTCTACCTCCTAAACATGTTTTTAATCCATCTTCTATTCCCACTGTCATACTCTTGTCCAAGCCACCATTATCTCTCATATATCACTACTCCTGGCCTTTTCCCAATCCACACGACAGGCAGAACAAATTTTCTAAAAATGCATATTTCTTCAAACTGGTGCCCATTACTCTTCTGGCTCATATGGTCCTTCCTAGTGTGGTGTCTGCCTCTCTGTGGTCTCACCCCTTGACTCTCTCCATGAGGTCTCTGTAGCTTGGTCTGCTAGGTTTCCTTGAACTCACCCTGCTCTCTGTCCACTCCAACTGTCCCTCTATAGAGAATGTTTTTTTTCCTGCCCTCTTTCCTGGCTAAGTCATACTCATTTTGCAAATCTAAATTCAGAAGTCCATTCTCCAGGGAGGTTTACTCAATTGCCAGCTTAGGCTGTGCTTATTTGCTATATATTTCCATAGCATTATGCACTCTTCCCATAACATTTATCACTTATAGTTTCTTATTCAAAGCTGAGTCCTCAGTATAGGGCTTTGCATGATGTAGGTACTCAATTAAAAAGATACATATAATATTACATTATATATAATTGTATTATAATATATTGTGTTAATTTTTGATTGCTTGAATTTCTAAACCTATAACTCACCTATTCTTTCAAATGTTTTAACTTACAAAAAACGTCAGCACTTTGTTTTTATTATATTTGCTATATTACTTAAACAAGTCTATCTAATTCTACATTATAGAATTAGAATTCTATATTTTATTTGCTATATTGCTTAAACAAGTCTATCTAATTCTATATCTTAATTCACTGCAATGAAAAATAACATCTAAACCAAATAAAAATGACATAATATTTTCTTACTAAGCAGAGTTTTGTGGTAATAAATATTAATGGGTAATGTAACATCTGCTATCAAAGTAACAAATTTTTTTGAAACAGTATTTTTTTTTGTAGGAGAGGTCTCTAGTGTAAAATCTGTATATATATTCTAAAATATTGTATTAAAATATGACTAAATGAAATACTAAAAATTTTACATTACAGAAAATCTATTTACTGGCTTTATAACAAGACTATCAACTTATTCGTCAATGGATGTAACTTATTTTACCTTACTCTACCACAGAAGGCAAGATAACTCTGAGGAGAAGTGAAAGGAAATAAAAGAAGATTTAAAAAAGAAAGAAAGGACCTTGATTTGGGGGGCAGGGCCATGCTTCAAACCAGAAGAGAAAAGGGAAAATGCTTATAAATTAAAAGTAATTTAAGTACAAAGAAAAAAAACAAAGGAAGTAAACCTAACTTTACCATTCTCAGCCAAGATGGTAAAAAGCCTTTATATAGACTCATGAATCCTTCACCTTGAACAGCCTGAATCAAGCAGTCAGTCGATGATTTATACAAAAGTCCCCTAAAAAGGAAACAAGATCCTTTTAATTTTTTTCTGTGTAAAAAAATATATATGTACATAAAAATTGTCTAAGGAATCTTATAAAAATTAAATATTGGCCGGGCGCGGTGGCTTACGCCTGTAATCCCAGCACTTTGGGAGGCCGAGGCAGGCAGATCATGAGGTCAGGAGATGGAGGTCATCCTGGCTAACACGGTGAAACCCCATCTCTACTAAAAAAATTAGTCGGGCATGGTGGCAGGCGCCTGTAGTCCCAGCTACTCAGAAGGCTGAGGCAGGAGGATGGCTTGAACCTGGGAGGCGGAGCTTGCAGTGAGCGGGAGATCACGCCACTGCACTCCAGCCTGAGAGACAGAGTGAGACTCTGTCTCAAAAAAAATAAATAAATAAATAAAATTTCTGCTAGTTTAGAAAAATATTTGTGGTTCTACAGATACAGAAAACTTGTTTTGATCTTAAAGATATTTTCAAGGTTAACTCTTCTGATTCATGCCACCCTTGGTCTTATATTTAGAATTCATTCTATCTTTTCTCTTCCAGGGAGAACATACTATTTCATATCAAATCAGATTCTCCACGTTACCTACTCAAGTCATAAGCGTCTGAAGAAAGTGCTCTGTAAATTCTCAGCAGAATATGCTTTTAACAATTCTTTAAAAACAATAAAGTCATAATAAAAATCTTGTGTCTAAATAATATGATTGTTAATTAGCTTATCTCCCCAAATGCATGTCACTTTTTCATCAAAGAGCAGGTAATTGCATAAAAAAAATGCGCTCAATTTTCTCAAAAAACACACAAATACATTTCTATCAATAAAAAATGCAGAGATGCATCTTTAAAACACAAAGGTATTACAGATATTCAAGCACATGGATACTGAAGACTTTTTATCTACCTTCCTTGTTTATCTCGTGGTTGATTCATTATTCTGCTTTTGATGACATCGGCTGGTGTTCCCAGAATAGAAGCTACCAGTCCAGAACATAAACTATAAATACAAATAAATGAAATTGAAAGATGGTATGTAGTAGTTTGTAGCTTAGGAAAGGGAATGTGGTATTCAGAAAGAATATAATACTAAATATATTCTTACAAGCTTCATAATGCTCTTTTTGCTTAAAATTAATGCTAAATTAATTAAAGAGGTAGAAAAACAACAAAAAGAATGTCAGTCAACAAACAGGCATTGTGCACCTGCTGGTGTCAAGCATTCTTCTAGGCAGTGAACAAGACAGGTAAGACCCTGCCCTTGAGGAGCTTATACTTCACTTGGGAAAAGGCAGAAGTCAAATAAATAATTTCAGAAGCTGACAAAAGCTATGAAAAAAACATGGGGAAGTGTGACAGGGAGCAACTGGGTGACAGGCAGTCAGGGAAAGCTCCGGGGGTGACAGCAGAATTGAGTGGTTACAAAGGACACATGTATATGAAGACCTGAAGGAAGAATGTTACAAGAAGATAGAACAGTACATGCAAAAGCCGAGTCAGTAATACTCTTGGAGTGGTTAAATTCACATGCGTGTGTGCATGCGCGTGCACACACACACCCCTACCTCCAAATATTTGACTTGACACTATTACACTTTTAGGGTTGTCTACTTTTAGGGTCATCTAAATAGCATAGGAAGTTTTAGAATTTGGAAACGATCAGAAGCTAAATGAAATCACTATAATGTCAAGGACAGTAGACATCTATAAAATAAGTCATTCTAATGGATAATTTGAAATTGTGTTGCAAAGAGATCAAGGTACTGCTCCTTCCTGGAAAGCCCTTCGTATCCCTTTCTGTGAAGAGTCACAGCCTTTGAAAACCCTTGTCTATTTCTACCTCCTTTGTGGATCCTTCCAAGTGGTTATGTTTTTTCCTTCCCCTGAACCCTGTAGTAACTAGTTGCTTCCTTTTAGCATTTCCTGTAGAGTGTTTTTATATTTGTCTTGTTTTCCTGGTTGGTAAGTTCCCTGGGTAGGAATTGAGTTTACCCCTTTGGTGCCCACTGCAGAGCCCTGCCCAGTGCCTTTAACATAAAAGGCACTCAAACATATCTGTTGAAATGAGTTGGAGAGTCCATCATCATAGCCTGTTCCTGGGATGGCCCCATCAAGATGCAAATATTTTGAGAGGTTTAATCCAAAACATCCTACAACTTTGTCTGTCTCTTCCCCATTCTAACTGCAAGAAACTTTAAGAAATTTCTCTTTATAAATGTACTCTTCTCTAAAGGTGATGCCAGTACAATCCCAATCAAATGAGCCTAAAGAATTTATGTCAAATATGGAAGAAAAAGTGATACAAAAAAAAAAAACAGAGTCCAACTAAAACAATCCTTACCTTGATAAACCGTGAGTCATGATATTGTCCTCAAGTGGTGTATTCAATACCAAGTAGTGTTTCACTGTATCATAAGTGGTTAAATCTGGCAATGGAAAAAGTTTAAATATTCATCAGTCAACAGTGAATGTCTTTTGTGTCAAGAATATGCTAGGCTTGGGGCAGGAATGTGTACCAGGATGAAAGCTACCAAGGAATCCTTCTTGTTCTCAAGGAAAGCACAGCTACAGATAGAGGGAGAGAAAAAGAAGAAGAGACAGAAAGTCAAATGTATCATTTAGACTCCTTAATCTAGCTATGCCTAAATTCAGCTCAACCCCTGGGCCTTTCAGTATTTGAGCCAATAAATTACTTTTTTAGCCAAAAAAGTAATTTGATCAAGTAATTTGAATTGAGATCCTGTCACTTATAAATAAAAGGTCCTGACTATTATTCTACATTAAGCATTTTATACATTTTCAAGACAGGGTCTCTGTCACACAGGCTTGAGTGCAGTGGCGTGATCGCGGCTCACTGCAACCTCCGCCTCCTGGGCTCAAGTGATTCTTGTGCCTCAGCCTCCCAAGTAGCTAGGATTACAGGTGTGCATCTGGCTAATTTTTCAATATTTTTGTAGAGATGGGGTTTTACTATATTACCCAGGCTGGTCTCCAACTCCGGAGCTCAAGAGATCTGCTCACCTCAACCTCCCAAAGTGCTGGGATTATAGGCATGAGCCGCCGCGCCTGGCCCTTTTATACATTTTTCTAATGGCAATGAAGAGCTATGGAAGGGTTTTAAATAGGAGAATGACATCACAATGCTAGAGTTATATAAAGTTAACCCACACTAAAGTATGGGGAAGTAAGTTGTAATGAGGCAAGAATGGATAGGTACATTTGATCACATTGGGGGAAACAGCCATGGACAAAATGAACAAAAATCCTTGCTCTCTGTTGTGGGATGAGACAATAAAGTAAACTACATGGTGTTTCAGATGCACTTGCTCTTGAAGTAAATGCCCTGAAGACAAAGAAGGTAAGGAAAGGGGACAGAGAGTACCAGAGGGTAGGGAGGAATAGTTTCTATTAATTTTAAATTGGGTGATCAGGCAAGACCTCTTGATAAGTGGACATTTGAACAGAGACCAAAAGAAAGCATGAGAAAACAACCCTGTAGATAGCTAAGAGAAATTGCCCCAGGCAAAAATACAGTATGTTTTCTAACCCTGAGTCAGGAGTCAGCTTGCTGTGTTAGAGGAACAGCCAGAAGACTGGGCCGGCAGCAGCAGAATATGCAAGAAGTAGCAGAGTCTAGATGATGAAGAGCAGAAGCCAGGGGAGGCTTTTGAGCAGAGGAGTGACTGCCCAAGGTTACTATTTAGAACTTAATAGAACTATCGAGTTCTTACTGGAACTTAATAGAACTCAATAGTTCCTATTAAGAGTAGACTACAGGAAAACAAGGCAGAGCAGTAATCCCAGTAAGCGATGATGACGACTTGAATTAGGGAGTTGTGGAGCCCTGGTCAGATTCTGGATAAATTTTGAAGAATCAACAGGATCAGCCAGCAAACCGAATATGGAACGGAGAAAGAAATCAAAAACAACTGCAAGGTTTTGAGTGTGAACAATTTAAAGGACAGAGGCACCATTTATAGGGATGGTGAAAATGAAGACAGTTTTAAATTAAAAAAAATAAGGTAGTAGCAAAGGTAATCTTGATAAAATCAGTTTCAAAGGCATAGTGGGGCAAAATGGGAATGGGGTAGATATGGAAAGACTAGTTAGAAGGCCTCTGTAGTGGTCCAGTAGGAGGGGATAAATAATACTTGGACTACAGAATGGCTCCAGGAATGGAGAAAAGTGTATGAGTTTGAGATATATCTGGAAGATGGAACGACTGGATTTGGTGACTGCTTGGATATAAGCAATGGAGCAAATGAAAGAGAAGAGCCAAAAATCATGCCTGAGTTTCTGCTTGTACAGCTGAGAGAGTGGTGATATATTTTTGAAATTATGAAGAATGTAGAAAGAATGGTGTGAAAGAAGAGTTTCTAGCTTCTTTCTCATACTAAGAAAGAATTGGTGTGATAAAAGAGTTTGGTTTGGACATATTCAAAGTAATGTGCTTGAGATATCCAAAAGAAGATACTGAGTAAATAGCTGGAACTTGGAAGAGAAATTTTGGCTACAATAGATTTTGAACCAATGAATTAAGAAAGTACAATCATAAAGATTTTCTGAAAATCAAAATATCCACAAATATACAGTAGACACAGACAGACTCTAATAGCAAAGCTGAAAACAGATTGACTTCCTTTGATGTTTAGGTGCTATATTTCTAGAACCCTCAAACATGCTATTTATATATTTCTTAGAACCATATAATTAGTCTTAGAAAGGATTATTTCATTAATTCATTCTTCAAATGTTTATTGACTACGTATGAGGGTCTGGGAAAATAAAGATGAATAAAACACAGTCCTTGCCTTCAAAGGGTTTATAATATAGTGGAGGATATGGACATGCAGTAGCAGGCAAGGAAAAGAGACACAAGCAATAATAGCTATAGAAACACACAAAAGGGCATATAATACAACATGGCATGGGGGAAGGGATTGTGGCAGGTTCAGGAAAAATATATTGGTGAAGAAGACACCTTAGCTGAGTATTAGAGGACCTCTAGAAGAAAACTATGTAGGAGAGGAGGGAAAAGGACAGAAAATACAGAGGTGAAGAACAGTTTGGTATGTGCAGGCAGTGGAATCTTTCAGCTCATTACTGCACCACTCTTTGCAAGAGAATCAATGAATTGCTTAGTTCTCTGAAGGCACAGGCCAGATTTTGCAGATCTTCTAAGTCACATTCCAAAATTTCCACTTTATTTTGTGGGTGATGATAAGCCAGTGACAAGTTTTAGGGACACCAATAATGTGTTAATATCTGTGTTTCAAATAAATCACTCTGGATACCGGGTACACATTTGAGGATGGAAGAGGAGACAAGTTAGATGGCTGTGGCAGTGGTCCAGCGGAGAGGTTTTGAAGGCTAGTGGTGTAGAAATGGTCATTTTAAGGATACTAAAGTAGTACGTATAGGAGGGGAAAAACTTCTTTTTTTTTCTTTTGAGATGGAGTCTCGCTCTGTTGCCCAGTCTAGAGTACAGTGGCGCGATCTCAGCTCACTGCAAGCTTCGCCTCCCGGGTTCACGCCATTCTCCTGCCTCAGCCTCCCGAGTAGCTGGGACTACAGGCACCTGCCACCACACCTGGCTAATTTTTTGTATTTTTTAGTAGAGACGGGGTTTCACCATGTTAGCCAGGATGGTCTCGATCTCCTGAGCTCGTGATCCGCCCGCCTCGGCCTCCCAAAGTCCTGGGATTACAGGTGTGAGCCACCGCACCCGGCGGAGGGGAAAAACTTTTAAGAAATATTTGGGAGACAGAATTGGTATGTGAATATGAGAAGTGAGGGGTAGGGATGAGTTAAGAGAACATTGAGGTTTCCAGCCTGGGGTGTGAGACTGTATAAAAATTGATTATTTAGGAATAGGAGCAGGATTGCCAGGGGAAAGATTTGGACAGTCTGGATATAATAATGATCAGATAGCTGTATATATCAGTTTTAATCTTAAAGGAAGGTCTGGACTGGAGGGGAGGCCTTACAAATAGTTTAGCCTTGTGTCCTTATTGTCACAATTTGCCTATTTTAGTAAATCCTATCCTTTTCATACATCACTATAGAATGAAGCAAAAATGCTCTGTGGAAAATATTCAGTTATGACCTAGAACATCTATACAGCCAGTCAACAATATATGGTCACCAATATATTAAAAATAAAACATAAATTTTAATTTCCCTAATATAAGTGCTTACAGCTATTAAGGCAATTAGGACTTTTTAGAATTTAACAAAGTTTTCATTACCTCCCATATTCACCAGTGCTGCTCTTTGTATATTGGGTACCCAGCCTGCCCAAAGCCCTCGTATTCCTCCTTCAGCTAAGATTTTTGCAAATGCATGATGTACACCACGAAATCTAAGGAGAATAATAATTAAATGTGAAAACTCCATGTATTCCTGTGTATGAAATTCAACTGGATAAGCTTCACTTATAGCTCTTATAATCTGGAGTAAATAACATCCAGATATAATTTATCCAGAATTATTAGAAATGAAGCAATCTATGCAAGTCTAATTTACAGATAAACATAATAATCCTTTAGAAAAAAGGCCAACATTTGACTTAAATATTTTTAATCAAAATCTTTATACACTGTATCATCCTCTTCTCAGATTATTAAATGGATAAAAATACCTTTCTTGATATTTTATATTATCAGTACATGTATTAATTATAGGAGAAAACCAAAGGTTATCAGATTCTGGGTTAATTTTACTGGTGATGGAAGGGACCTGCAAATTTTTAGAGTTCATCAAATAATGACATTAACAACAATTAATCTCATAAAAAATGACAGACTAAGAAGTAAAAAGGACAATTTCATAAAAAGTTCTTAAAACGGAAGAATTTTAGCTTCAAAAAAATTTAGTAGACTATCTTTATCTTGCTCATTTCTCTATAGATAGATGAAGAATGGTGCTGAAGAAGCATAAACAAATATGAAAACTTCTGGCATTAAAAGAAAGTCTGAGCTTTATGTAGTCAGAAAAACCTGAAGTCACATGCCACCTTCACCACTTACTAGCCTGTGTGGCTTTTACTCAGGCATCACACTCTCTGAATCTCACCAAAAAGATAATATCACATATTTATTGGACACACATAATTGCTGTTATGATACATGAGAAGTTATGATCATGAATGATGATCACTGTAACTAAAATTTATGGAGCACTTACTAAGTACCAAGCATTTAATATACATGAGATGCATGTTAATACTGAAAATTCTGTGAGGTATATAATATGATTCTAATTTACATTCGAAGAAACCAAGGCTTAAAATGGGTAAGGAACTTGACTATGATTACAAAGCTAAAATATGGTAAAGACTGGCTTTGAATCCCAGGCTGTCTGATCTCAATGTTCATGCTTTTTACTGTAGTATATAACTTGTCCCCTATTACAGGTTAATATAAAGAGTTTGATTATTAAAGTGTACTACATTAGGTGCATTCAATCCAAAAATTTCCAACATTAAGAACAAAGAGGGGAAAAAAACTGAGTGATCAGTTAAAAACTCAGATATTCTGGATCCTAATAACCAGTTTTCTCCTCCTATCCAACAAGGCAGTGTGACTTCTCCCTGTTATTTAGTCATTAGAAGTTGTTATAAGATGACAAACTGGGCCCTGGGGTTCTATAAACTACTTGGTTAAGTCACAGTGGTACCCTTTTCTCCTGTGCTGTGCATATTCTCTACATGCTTTGAAGGCTGAAGGGGACCCTGGGCTGCAGCAGCCCAGTCTCCTTTTCCACTGAGTCAGCTACATGAAGAGGGGCAGACAGCAGTGGTCAGCGGTGAAGATGGCCCCAAACCCTCCTTTGCCTCTGGCTCAGCTGCAGACCTGGAGTGTTCACAGGAGCAGCTCCCTTTGTACTCAGCTCAAGTCATCCTGTAATTACCTTTTTTCTGGGAAAGGTCTATCCATCTGCATGATTTTGTCCCTTTCCCAGGGGAAACTAAGTGGTATTTTAATAAACTGTTGAACATGAAACCCTTGGAAGAAAGGTGGATTTTAGTAATATAGTGTAATGCAATGGGAGGATTTTATATCCCAAAGCCATATTAGGGAAAAAGAGGGCTTCAAGATGAAGGAGGAATGAGATTCAACAAGAAAGTTGGGACAATATGCAACGTTATCCTTGCTACTCTCTTTCTGCAGGAGAAAGGGAATGAAAGCAAGGTTTTTCACACTAATGAGCAGTCAGGCATGTTAACCATCATGACAGCCTTTTGAGCGAGTTTATAAAGATGAAAACCCAAGAGACCAGAAATGTTAAGTGACTTCCACAACACCAAGCCACAGTGGCAAAATTGAGATTCACACCAGGGCAAATTTTAATAATCAAACTGTTTATGTTAACCTGCAGTAGGGGACAAGTCTAGCCTTGGCTGGGAAAAGCAGCAAAGAACATTACACATATATAATTTGTCTGGTATAGAACATGTACACTTCCTAGTGCAAAGAAAAGATCCAGCTTAGTGTTCCTCTTAATGAACTTCCAGATTAAAAAAGTCAGAAGTAATATCTTTACTGCATACTGGATGATAATTCTATTAGGTACTTGTTAAAAATATGACGGTGGCCAAGGGAAAAAGAGAGGTATTGGTTAATTGGAGAACTTACCGCAATGGTTTTCCTTCCAGTTTCCTTTTTCCTTCCATTTGCATCTGAACCTTCACTAGGTCAGTTGGATTGGCTAAAAACTGGCCAATAACACCAGCCATCATCCCTCCAATGACTGATTTCCTAATTGCAGAAGGAAATTCTTTTTAAAGTTGCCATTAATTTCACGAATTTTATAGTGAACCAATACTGAGCTGGTACAGGGCCTAGGTAAGAGATTTCAGATCAAGTAAAGAAAAGGATATACCCAAGTAAGTCACAGAGTAAAGTAAACAGTTTGACTGTTTACTGATGGGAGGTTAAAGGAGTACAATGAGTGAAAATTTCAGGCCTTATATGGCCTGAAATCCAAAGGAAAGAGCAGTTGCTTCAAAGATACACACATCTGAATTGATAATTTAATTGTAGTTTAATTCCAACTACAGGGGAATAAAAACTGCATAGATGTAGTCAGCCTAACAGACAAAGGCTAGACTCCGGTCAACTTTAACCCAGATTACTGCAGTAGTCTCTTGGGGAAAATAAGCATTTTATTTCCTTTTACTTTAAAATAACTTGAAGAGCTACAAATGGGTATAAAAGAAAAGTCTCCTTCTGACCTCTATGTCCAGCTCCCCTCCAGTGAAGCAATCACAATTACTATTTTATTATATCCCTTGCCAGAGATAATAACGAATTCACTGAATGCTCATGTCAGGCACTGTTCTGAGCATTTTAAAAATACCATTTCATTCTCATATCAACCCTCATGACAGTGCTGTCATTCTCTCTGTCAGATGAGGAAACTGAAGCATAGAGCAGTTGAATGGCAGCTCAAATCACACAACTAATCAGTGGGACAGCCAAGATGTGAATCCAGACAGCCTGCATGCAGAGCCCACAGTCTTAAACACTAAGTTATGACTGACAGTTTGTGCATACACAAGCATATCTGTATAAATGTTCCTTTGTAAAAGCGCTAACATAGAATGTCAAGTTGTACAGTGTTCTGCACTGTTTTCTTAACAGCATATCTTAAAGGCTATCCCTATCAGGTCATATAGAGCAGCCTCATTCTTTTTAATAGTTTGACAGTATTTCATTTTATGGATATGCCATAATTTATTTAACGAACATAACTTTAAGAAATTTGAACATTTACATAACATTTGCTAGAGCCTGTCAAATTGCTTTCCAGAAAACCTTTATCAATTTGCACTTCCACCAACAACCTGTGAAAATGCCTGTTTCTCCACACAATGATGAGCACATACATTATCATATTTTTTCTCTTTGCATCTCTCATACCTGTTTCTCCACACAATGATGAGCACATACATTATCATATTTTTTCTCTTTGCATCTCTCATAACCACTCTTTTCTCTGTATTTTTTACATAATTCTAATTGTTTATTCATCGACTCTGTTACTGTAAGCTGAATGACGGCAGGACTGTTTCTTTTTCATTACTATAGCCTCAGTATTAAGTATAAGACTGGCATACCATACCATAATTACCCAATAAATACCTACTGACTGAATGAATTGTTCTGATTGGGTCAAAAGGACATTAAACCTATCCACCCTAAAAGTTCTGGTATAATATTTCCTTTGCACTTTTTACTTAAACCTTTCCCTTCTGGAAGAAATTCCAAAACGCAAGGACTATAAATCTATTCCATAATTGACTCTGGGAAAGCAATTAGTATAGCTTAGTACATTACAATTTTTCAAAAACAAGATAAAGAAATGTTGCCTGAAAGGTGAAACTCTACATATTGCCCCTTTTTATAGCTGTGACTTAGATTTTTTTAACCCTAAGAAAGATTTTATAGGCATCTTTCCATGTTAGTCATATGAAACCCACCTCATGCTTTCAATAGCTGTGTTATGCCATAAATATATCATAACCTACTTAACTGCTTCCAAATCAATAGTTTAAATTAAAAAAATAATTTTCTATCATCAACACTGCTACAGTCAATATCTTTGTGTCTGTCTTAATGCATATGTAGAAGCATTTATAAATGATTATAATCACAAAGGGGTTACACGTTCAAAAATGTTAACAAGTAATTTATGCTCCAAAAAGACTATAGTAACTTATATTTCCACTAACAGCTTAAAGTTAGTTTTAATTAATTTCCCTGATTATTGGTGAGTTTGAACATTTTTATGTTTAATGAACATGTATATTTCTTTTGTGAACTGCCTATTGGTATCCTTTCCTTATTTTTCTATTGTGCTTTCTCTCTCTCTCTCTATACACACACACACACACACACACAGACACAGAGGTGAAGAACAGTTTGGTATGTGCAGGCAGTGGAATCTTTCAGCTCATTAGTGCACCACTCTTTCCAAGAGAATCAATGAATTGCTTAGTTCTCTGAAGACACAGGCCAGATATTGCAGATCTTCTAAGTCACATTCCAAAATCTCCACTTTATTTTGTGGGTGATTAGAAGCCAGTGACAAGTTTTAAGGACACCAATAATGTGTTAATATCTGTGTTTCAAATAAATCACTCTGGATACCGGGTACACATTTGAGGATGGAGGAGGAGACGAGTTAGATGGCAGTGGTCCAGCTGAGAGGTTATATAATTTTATATATATAATTATATATATATATGCAATTTTTTATTTTTATTTTATATTTTTTGAGACAGAGCCTTGCTCTGTCACCCAGGCTGGAATGCAACAGTGCAATCTCGGCTCACTGCAACCTCCACCTCCTGGGTTCAAGCGATTCTCCTGCCTCAGCCTCCTGTGTAGCTTGGATTACAGTCCCCCACCACCAAACCCAGCTAATTTTTTGTATTTTTAGTAGAGACAGCGTTTTGCCATGTTGGCCAGGCTGGTCTCGAACTCCTGACCTCAGGTAATCTGCCCACCTTGGCCTTCCAAAATGCTGGGATTACAGGCGTGAGCCACCCCGCCCAGCGTGTGTTTTCTATATTTCTATTTATTTATAGGAGCTCTATGTATATTATTTTTAGTAACCGATTTTTTCAGTTTCCGTTAAATAATATACACTTACATTCATCATCTCACCGTGTCCTATAAAAACACTTAATGGTTTGTATTACTTCTATAGCTGTGAAAACTGAAGATAAAAAAGGTGAAGCAGTTTGTCCAGGTTATACAGTAGCAGAGCAGGAATTTGAGCCCATCCCTGTCTGACTCTAAAGCCGAGAGTTCTTAATAAAAAGAGGAATAAAAAGGTACTCTATAAGAATTCTTTCAACAGTAAAATACTAAATATCTCTATATATGCAATTTATATATGTATATACATGTATGTCTGTATACATCTGCAGTAAATGCTCAATTATCTGGACTTATATTGTAATTATTATTTTAAGTCCATAACTTAAGGCAATTTGGGTACAAATGTACAATTTTACATAAACCTAATAAACATTAAGGCATTTGGGGCAACAGCATATTATTTTCCAAACAAAACTTACCAAAGGGGATAATGCTCATCTTCACTTTTGCCAAACACAACCTCTCGGAGATGTTCATATGTGACCATTCGACCTCCAGAATACACTGGGTAAAAAAGATCATTAAAAAGGTAACTTTGGCTATATGTATCTATATGCTTATGTATGTATAAAATAAGAGGACATTCCGACATGGCCTAGTCAATCTCTCTAGCTGTGTCTTTGTCTCATGGGGCCGGTGCTTCTAACACGTGGGCTTCTTGATGCTTCTCCAAATGGGGCATGCTCTTTTCAGACTCTGCCCTTCCCACACACTGTCTGATCTTTCTAGAATGAATTCTCCCTTCTCTGCTTTACTAACATCTCCTTGTCTTTCAGGACTCAACTCAAAAACATGTTTTTCAGAAACTGCTCTCTGACCTTTTTATCATATTGATTAGAAATTAACTCTTCTTGCTTATCTTTCCATCAGACCATGAGCTTCTCCAGGCAGGCTCTATGTGTTTGTTTTTACTTACCCCAGATGCCCTAGTACATACCTTGGTACGCAGCAGGCATTTTCATTAAATAAAGATACATAATTTCATTGGAGAATTTATTGTAATTTTTCAGCTAAGCATCAAACGTATGAAATGAATCTTAGCTGTAAAACAACACAATGAACAACAAACTACAAATGAAAAGAAACTCAAAATAATAATGGGATGCAAAGCAGAAAATATTTTTAAAAGGATGGAAAACAAAATAATTAAAATCAACCATGGTATTTGTATAGAGAGCTTTTCTTGATGTTTTAGAAAGTTGATGAAATATTTTAAGATACTCAAAAATATACAACTTGGAAAACCAGTAACAGTCTCTGCACACAGTTCTAGATAGTTTTTGATGATACACGCTAACTTACTCATATGGAGAATTGAATCTTTAAAAATATTAAGCCAGCAAATTTTAGAAATTAGAACTGAGCACTCTTCTGATCAAGGATCCTTTCATGCTTCAGGAAACATTATGAGGAGAAAAATGCCAAACCTATCCTACCTCCTTTGAAGCCAACTTTATATTCTCCTGTACACAAGCTATAAAATCAAGTCCTCCTCTTGTGAGTGCCACTGTGGAAGCAGAGCAGAAAAATGTTCTAACTGGCATAGTTGCAACCATCTTCCTTTAAGGGTGACTAAGGCCCACATAGCTAGTTAGGTAGCCTTGGAACTGGGGCAAAAATCACCTGTGTTGCATTTACACTACAGCCAGTGTTGGATTAGGCAGTGAACTCTGTCCTCTTTCAGAGTAGCCTGGTCTTAGATTATGAGACAGGGACTCATGAGATTTGGCACTGTAATAAATATATGTTAATTTTCAAAAAATATGAAAAATTTAAATTCTGTGTTTAAAGTTCTTAAGTGAAGAAAAATGATAATCAGCTATTCACTTTTTCTTTCTTAAACCTATACAAATTTTTATTAAGAAAATTTTCAAACACTGAAAAGTAAATAATATGTAACTCCCTCTATCTCTACCATTGAGATTTATTAACTGCTAACATTTTTGCCATATTTCCTTAATTTTCTAACTTTTTAAATTTATTTTGTATTTTTTATTTTTTTGAGACAGAGTTTCGCTCTTGTCACCCAGGTTGGAGTGCAATGGCATGATCTCGGCTCACTGCAACCTCTGCCTCCTGGGTTCAAGCGATTTTCCTGCCTTAGCCTCTTGAGTAGCTGGGATTACAGGAATGCGCCACTAGGCCCGGCTAATTTTTGTATTTTTAGTAGAGACAGGGTTTCACCATGTTGGCCAGGCTAGTCTCGAACTCCTGACCTTAGGTGATCCACCCACCTGTGCCTCCCAAAGTGCTGGATTATAGGTGTGAGCCACAGCACCCGGCCCAATTTAATATTTTTAGAGATGGGGTCTTGTTTTGTTACCCAGGCTGGAGAGCAGTGGCAGGATCAAAGCTCACTGCCACCTTGAATTCCTGGATTCAAGCTGTTTTCACACCTCAGCCTCCCAAGTAGTGGGGACTACAGTCATGTGCCACCAGGCCTGGCTAATTTTCTTACTCTTTGTAGAGACAGGGTCTTGCCATCTTGCTCAGGCTGGTCTCGAACTCCTGGGCTCAAGCAATTATCCCGCCTCGGCTTTCCAAACTGCTGGGATTATAGGCATAAGCCACTGTATCTGGCTTGCTTCATTGTTTTTTGCTTAATTAAATATTTTAAAGTGGTTTACAGATTTCATGACAGTTCATCCCTAAATACGTGAGTATGCGTTTCTAAAAATTTAGGACAGTAACTTCTTAATAATAATCAGTAGTTAATTTTTTTCTTCTTAAGAGACTATATGTGTTCTGGCTGGGCACGGCGGCTCACGCCTGTAATCCTAGCACTTTGGGAGGCCAAGTCAGGTGGATCACCTGAGGTCAGGAGTTTGGGACCAACCTGATCAATATGGTGAAACCCCGTCTCTACTAAAAATACAAAAATTTCACAAGGTCAAGAGTTTGAGACTAGTCTGATCAACATGGTGAAACCCCATCTCTACTAAAAATACAAAAATTAGCCAGGTTTGGTAGCATGTGCCTGTAATCCTAGCTACTCAGGAGGCTGAGGCAGGAGAATCGCTTGAACTCGGGAGACAAAGGTTGCAGTGAGCCAGGGTCACACCACTGTGCTCCAGCCTGGGCAACAGAGCGAGACTCTCTAAAAAAAAAAAAAAAAAAATTAGCTGGGTGTGGTGGCGTGCACCTGTAGTCCCAGCTACTCAGGAGGCTGAGTCAGGAGAATCGCTTGAACCTGGGAGGCAGAGGTTGCAGTGAGCTGAGATGGCGCCACTGCACTACAGCCTGGGCGACAGAGTGTGACTCCATCTCAAAAAAAAAACCTAAATAATAATAAAAAAAGACTATGTGCTGTATGTGTTCAGTTATTGTATCAGTAAGATAAAAAAACTAACTTGTTTTTGGACAAACAGAAAAGCACAGGAGACAAACACAGAACTCATAACAAACTTACCAGCTAGAATCAAGATAAATACCTACGTGTCTGTAAATGGCGGGTGTCACTCCTTGCCAAAGCTTTAGAAAGCCTTCCTCTTCAATGATCCCTAGAGCTGTGCGCACCATTCCCCTATAGGGGGCAGATTCTCTTGCACCGTCTCCCAACCGAGCAAGAGCTGCTTCTCCTTGCATTTGGAGTCGAGTTTTTGTGAGATCCAGGGGAAAGGTTGCTAACAAAAACACAAATGCAGGGAAAAACCCACAACATTCAGAGAAACAAACAAAAATCTAAAATCATAGGAGTAATATTTTCCCAAGACTGGTTGTTCTCAAATTTTAGAATATATCAGAATCAGCTAGGGAGATTTTAAAAATTAGAAATTTCCTAGCCCCGTGCCCATGGATTCTAATTCAGTAGGTTGAAGAGGGTTTAGAAACTTGATTCTCACACAGTCCCAAATTTAAGAATCACTACGCAAGAGCATCCTGGATCACTAGCAAAAAAAAAAAAAAAAAAAAAAAAAAAAAAAAAAAAAACAAACATTAACAATAAAAATTAAAATGACAAGCCTTGGGTTCTTTCTATTCAGAAATTTAACTTTAATATCTGTTAGTCATTAATTTTTGCTTTTCAATGGGAAATAATTTAAAGTACCATATTGTGTGCTATCCTCTTGACTGCAGCCATGATTATTTGAGATCTAATGTAACATTAGAATACTGCACTATATATTCTTATGTACTATAACAAATGCTAGATGAAGCTGAACTCTATAATTTCGTGGGTGATGTTCACATGCAGATGAATGACTGACATAATGTTTGAGATACAGAAGATGTAATGGAGTTTATAATGTTGTCTTTTATATGCAAGGGTCATAAGCTCAATATCCTTTCAATTAAAGCATATATGGAATTATTTTTCCAGCACTAAATTATATGCATCGCCTACTCATGGCCTCCTTACAAGTACTAACTGTATTTTGGAAAAATTTTTTGGTTTTAAGTTTTAAATTAGATACAGACCTTTTACCTTAATACAGTTAAGCTAAACGGCCTACATAAGGAAGATAGAGCTCATAACCTTATACAGAAAACGTCCTGAATAATTAAAATAATAACATTCAGACAAGTTCATGAACATTACTTACATTATATAAGACTTTTCAATGACCACCACCTGACACAAAACCTTAGTATACCTTTTCCAAGAGAAAACAATGTGGGGAAGGGAAGTGAATATTAAATCTTACCACTGGTTTTTGGAAAAGTTAGTATCTTGCTGACAGTTTCCCTAGAACAGAAGTAGCTTGCATAGACTTCAAGCAATATTTTATTGACATATGAAACCTGAAAAATCTTAATAGATTTCTCCATATTACACAGATTATGTCTTTCAAAATAAGTTTTGTTTTCTCGCTGGTTTGTTAAATGATGCTTCAGGTTCCTGAAGTGGTTTGTACTTAAAACCATCCCACATTTTGATTCCCATCCATTCTCCACACACAATTCTCTCCATGAATTTTTAACGAGGAATAGTCCTGTATAAAAGCCATTGAGTCAGAGGGGGACACATCAATTAAAAATAAAACCTGGAAATATCATTCAGCAATCTGCTTTTAGATCTTTTTAAGCTGATGAATTTTATTTCAGTAAAAACAATGAAAAGTAAAAATTCTCCATCATTTTCGAAAGGAGAGACATTAAAAAATAGAGGGGCTAAAAGGCAAAAATGGAAGAGCACGAAACAACTGATCATGGCTGGCTATGCTAGAATTAAAAAATAAACTCTTAAAATAGGACCAACTAACATTTACAAATGATAACGCATCAGAACTGTTCTTTTTATTTTTTTGTAACAGGCAAGAAAATGTAAGGGTAATCTTAAAATACACAGTTAAGGCTTCACAGGAAACACATGAGTATACTACTCACAAAATCCTTGGAATAAACGCTACTTGCTCATTCAAGGGCATCATCATTCCACTCTAGATGGCCTCTTAAAGTTTTTTCTTACTCATGTAGGCAGATGTAACTGCTCTTCTATGCTTTTATGACACCTAATAATATCTTCATTATAACAAGTAGCACATTATAATTGTCTTTCTCTGTCTCCCCAGCAGCCTGTAAGAAGGTCAGAACTGGGTCTTTTCAAATATATATCCACAGTCCCTGGTATTGTAGGAATTATAAAAATGTCGCAACTAATGGGTGTCCTGCCTTGGGTTTAGCAATCATATATTATTGACTTCTCAGAATCCTGCAAGGTAAACAGTATAGATGAATTACACTCAAAGAGGTCAAGTAGTCGATGCTCTGTGAGTGGCAGGTTAATAACGGAAGTCCCACAAGGTAGGTCCACAACTTGGACCCACAAGATAATGACAGTGTGGCTGTGTAAGACTATAAACCACAGAGATGATCTCAGTAAGGATGGAAAACAGATTACGTTTTTAAAAAGGTCATCCTCATGAAAAGGAAAATGATTCCTACAGAGGAATGACAGCTCGCGAAGCTTCTTAAAGTACAACATTCAAGCACCACAGCACATGCCTAAGGGAAGCATTAGAAGAGATTAGAAGGAAAAGGCCGTGGAGACCTCAATCCCTCCTCCTCCCACCGCGGGCCTGGCCTCCACCGCCACCTCTGCCAGGCGGGCATGGAAGGGGCGACCTCTCCGATGCGCACTGCCGGGCGCGAAGCCGCCCGCGCACCCTCCCCCAGCGCGGCGCGTGCCACTGGCCCGGGAGGCCCAGGCGTGGGCAGCCGGGTACCTAGCTCGGCCACGGTAGCCGCGCAGCCGGACAGTAGGAATTTGCTCGCTCGGGGCCATCTCTGGGTCAGCGGCAAAAGCCTCTCCTCCTCCTCCGGGACGGACATTCAGCAGTAGCGCAAGACGATAACGCACTCCTTCTCGCCGCTGCGCTGCACCGCGCCGCGGCGGCCGCTTCCCTGCCAGGGCGGCCCCTTTTCAACCGGCGAGTGGCCGGGTGAGGACCATTTCCCTCGTTCGGCTCGGCCGGGTGGACCCGCAACCTTCCTAGCAGTCCCAGCTGGAGTGGTCCAGCTGCCCCTTACACCCCAGAATAGAAAAACACAGCGGAGCCCAGGAGGTTACTGGGCAATGTAGTCCGCCGGGCTCCGCTACGTCTCTGATTGGCCGGCCGCGGGTCCCTCTGCGGCTCCGCCCCCGGCCTCCATGGCAACGCGGCTGGTTCTCGCCCGTCAGTCCTAGCCCGGCCCTGCCCCTCCTTGCATTTTTTCCGCGCTGGCTGAGATTCAAAGAGAAGTGGAGGTGGGAGGGAGCGACAATGGAAAAATCACCTGAAAACTGGGACAGAGGAAGGAAGCTACAGTTACGAAGGAGAGCTGCAAAAGTTGCAGCAGAAAGGTTGGGAGTCCCGACAGGTTCCGTAGCCCACAGAAAAGAAGCAAGGGACGGCAGGACTGTTTCACACTTTTCTGCTTCTGGAAGGTGCTGGACAAAAACATGGAACTAATTTCCCCAACAGTGATTATAATCCTGGGTTGCCTTGCTCTGTTCTTACTCCTTCAGCGGAAGAATTTGCGTAGACCCCCGTGCATCAAGGGCTGGATTCCTTGGATTGGAGTTGGATTTGAGTTTGGGAAAGCCCCTCTAGAATTTATAGAGAAAGCAAGAATCAAGGTATGTGGTCGTGGCAGACGGGGTCTCCAGAGGAGACAATGCTTTCTTTTTTAAACTTTCTTTCATTGACTCTTAAGTGCAGGGCTAGAACACGGGGAACATACCTGCTTGCCTCAACTAAAGGATCTAGTCATTTCTGAATTCCTCTACTAACAATTAACAACAATATCCTGTGCAAAATTTTGCGAAAGAAATGAAATACAATTGCAGCGTGCATCGACATTTTTGGAAGTAGAGATTAACTTTTCGTATTTTTACTTCATCGAAGTTAAGTTCCAAATGTGTATGTGTTAAGTAAATGTTTTCAGTAATTGGGAAAGATAAAGTGTAATCCAATTTAAGTTTGTGAAAATGAGTAATTCGTATCCAAATTGGAGTTAACACCAAAGTATTGTACAAATTGCTTGCACAGTTGGTCCGTACACAATAAACAGGCTCTGTATTTTTAGCTGACGTTGTTATTTGATGATGATGTACTCCATTTTCACTACGGCCTGAAGAGACTAGTAATCCTCCTTGTAGTAGATGTTTTTGTCTTGAAAGTATCTTTTAAATGTCTGAGCACTTTAAGGAACAGACCTTTATTAATGTCTTTTAAGTTTTATTCAATTTCCAGTCACAAATATTTTATGGTATTTGATTGTCTAATAAATTTGTATGATATTATAATTATTCTTATGAATTATAATACTTTCTGTGGTGACCCATTTTCCATCTGGTTAGCCCAATTTGTAGAATGAATTTATACGTAGTAGCATTATTTTACCACTGATCATTTGCCTTCAAAATCTCTGAGATTCCAATTTAGTAAAAAACATATAGAAAATTAAAGAGAACTAAGATGAAAATAAAAATAACCCAGAATATCACACCAGCTGTACTGTAAAAATTTAGTGTATTTATATTATTTTGGTCATTTTCCTATGTATTTACAACTATTTAATGAACAACAATGGAATAATAGTATAATACTCTTTTATGTGCTTTTGATTTTAACATATAATGTGAATGACTTTCCTGTACCATGAAATACTTTGAATCTTCCTTTTATGGCTATATTTTGTCATAGGAGGATACAATAGTTTACTTAAATCTCAATAGTTGGGTTTATAGGTTGCTGCCAAACTTTTTTCTTTCAGCCAGTGCTTCAGTGAACATTCTTGCGTGTTTGTGTGCATGTATTGATTGTGTGGTTGTACATTTTGCAATTATCTGATTGTTTACTCAGAATAAATTCCTAGGAGTAGAATTGCTGAGTCAAAGGACATGCACACTTAAATTGTTTATATGAATGTGTTACTTTTGGAAAAAGAAGTATGAATATGCAATTTTTATTTTCCATTGACTGTATGCAATTGCCTAACTTCTCAAATCCTGGGCCATACTGAATACCATAATTCTTTGCAATTTTTGCTAGTCTGATAGATGAAACATTATATCTCCTAAAGAAATACTCCTTTGTCTCCCACAGCCTTCCTTATGCATATGATCTTGATAATTTTTAAGGAACTGTTTTTTTACAAGCTTGTGTCAGAAGGCTAAATATTTGTGAGGTCTCTATTGCTTTCCTGACTAAACAAAACAAGTTATTGCTGGACTCTGTGTCTCACACCTGTAATCCCAACACTTTGGGAGGCAGGGGTGGGAGGATTGCTTGAGGCCAGGAATTTAAGACCAGCCCGGGAGATATAGCAAGACCTCATTTCTACAAAAACTAAATAGAAAAATAAAAAATTTAATCTGGTCCAGTGGCACATGCCTGTAGTCCCAGCTCCTCGAGAGGCTGAGGCGGGAGGATTGCTTGAGCTCAGGAGTTCCAGATTCCGGTAAGCTATGATTGAGCCACTGCACTCGAGCCTGGGCAACAGAGCGAGACCTTGTCTCTTAAAAAAAAAAAAAAAAAAAAAAAAAAAAAAAAAAAGAATATGACTGCATTATTTGATGTTTTACTACTAAAAGCTTTTAAGGTTCACTCTTGTCTTTTCTTGTACCCTTAATCTGGGCAGTATGATAAAAAAAAAAGCCAGAGTGCTCCCACCTTTGGTGCCAGGGGAGATTCAAATCACACAAACCTCAACCTTCATGCAGGAAGGCTCACACCAGCCTACCCCCTAACCACAATGAAACCCTAAGACCTGTCTCTTTTCACTGTTTTCTCAAGTCATTTTCAGATCAGCTTGAGAGGACTGCCCTTCTTTCCCCAGAGAAGTCTCATTGTGTATGAAATAAACCTCTTCATACCCTCTCAAGGTGTGTATGTGTGTATGTGTGTGTGTGTGTGTGTGTGTGTGTGTAAATGTAGTAATTGTCTTAACATCCAAACCAGATCTTGGGTGGGGGTCCATTCTGAGTTTTCGCAGTGGCTGCAACAGGTACTCAGTAGACTTGATGCGAAATTGCATCTAAATGGCACCTGCATAAGACACTACTTATGGCGTATTGAACCTTCAAGAAAAAACTTCTAAAACTCCATCATTAGCTAACACTCTCAGCTTCTCATGCTCCTCTAGAAGACTGAGAAGAGACAACTTTGGTGACCACAAAAACATCTTCCCATTATTTTTATTTAATCTTTGAATAGATCATGCATTTATACGGTTCAAAAAATTGTAAATATAAAAACTACGGGGAAAGTCCCTTCAACCTCTTTTTCCCTTCCACCCAGTTCTCACTCCTCACTCCCAACCTTGGCAACTGTAATTCATTTCTTATATATTGTTTCATAGTTTCTTTAACTGTATACAAGCAAATAGAATTATAGATTTTTATTTTCCGCCTTATAAGCAAAATGTGTCATATTATTCACACTGTTCCTATGTCAGTAGGGATTTACTCTTTACATATTAGTACCATATAGAACTCCTAATTCTTTGAAGATGCATGGATATGGCTACATTTATTTAATAAGTTTCCTCATCGATAGACATATGGTAGTCAGATTTCTAAGATAACCTGCAATGATCTTGCAACGATTCCCTTGTGTAATCACTTCCTTTTGAGTGTCAACAAAACCTAGTGACTCACCTCTAATGAACACAATATGGCACAAGTGATCTGATGTTACTTCTGTGATTAGGCTTTCATCTTGATAGCAGACTCAATTGCCTTCCTAGTTTGCACTCTTTGATGATGAAAGCTGTCATTATAGAGAGGCCTACAAGGCAAAAAATAGAGGGAGGCCCTGGCCAACCCCAGTAAAAATCAAAAGTCTTCAATCCAGTAGCCTGTGAAAAACTAAATTCTGCCACCAACCGTGTCAGCTGGGTAGTGAATACGACTACCTGAGTTGAGCCTTGAGATGGCTAGAACCCAATCTTTAGTTACGAAATTCTGTTACAACAGAAAAACCCATATTGCAAACCTGATACTTTGTACTTTATAATTGAGACAGAAGATTTTGTTTATGCTTCAAACTGCCTGGTTATATCAGTCTTTTGTTTATTAGAATTTACCATTTTTTAAGCATGAGACATTGATAACATTTCTGGCACTCTGAGAGAGTTATTTTAAACATGTAATAGTATAGACAATCTGCAGCTATCTACAAGTATCTATTTGTTGACACAATGGAAACATTATTTGTTTTTTTTTTTAACTTTTACCAACTGTTTTAATATACATCAAACAATCTGCATTAATCCTTTTAGTCTTTTTGACCTACCCTCTCTGCATCTTAATCATTTTCTTGTTGTGCCAATACTGTTTGCATAAGAGTAGGTTTATAATTTTTTTTTATTATTATACTTTAAGTTCTAGGGTACATGTGCACAACATGCTGGTTTGTTACATATGTATACATGTGCCATGTTGGTGTGCTGAACCCAGTAACTCATCATTTATATTAGGTATATCTCCTAATGCTATCCCTCCCCCCTCCCCCCTCCCCCCACCCAACAACAGGCCCCGGTGTGTGATGTTCCCCTTCCTGTGTCCAAGTGTTCTCATTGTTCAATTCCCGCCTATGAGTGAGAACATGTGGTGTTTGATTTTTTGTCCTTGTGATAGTTTGCTGAGAATGATGGTTTCCAGCTTCATCCACGTCCTTACAAAGGACATGAACTCATCCTTTTTTATGGCTGCATAGTATTCCATGGTGTATATGTACCACATTTTCTTAATCCAGTCTATCATTGATGGACATTTGGGTTAGTTCCAAGTCTTTGCTATTGTGAACAGTGCCACAGTAAACATACGTGTGCATGTGTCTTTATAGCAGCATGATTTATAATCCTTTGGGTATATACCCAGTAATGGGATGGCTGGGTCAAATGGTATTTCTAGTTCTAGATCCTTGAGGAATCACCACACTGTCTTCCACAATGGTTGAACTAGTTTACAGTCCCACCAACAGTGTAAAAGTGTTCCTATTTCTCCACATGCTCTCCAGCACCTGTTGTTTCCTGACTTTATAATGATCGCCATTCTAACTGGTGTGAGATGGTATCTCATTGTGGTTTTGATTTGCATTTATTTGATG
The DNA here is from genome assembly GCF_000001405.40 of Homo sapiens. Taxonomy (NCBI): domain Eukaryota; kingdom Metazoa; phylum Chordata; class Mammalia; order Primates; family Hominidae; genus Homo; species Homo sapiens. The sequence continues at coordinate 46,647,928 of NC_000006.12, read as the reverse complement.
GCCAGTGATACAGAATGGGAAAAAATTTTTGCAATCTATTCATCTGACAATGGGCTAATATCCAGAATCTACAAAGAACTCAAACAAATTTACAAGAAAAAAACAACCCCATCAAAAAGTGGGCAAAGTATATGAACAGATACTTCTCAAAAGAAGACATTTATTCAACCAACAGACAGATGAAAAAATGCTCATCATCACTGGAAACATTACTTGAAAACACAGTGTCCCAAAGTGTACTAGGCTGAAGTTCGATATTTTGCAAAAATATTCAATAAATAGTTTAAGTAGATTGTTGGAAAAATATTTGCTCAATAAAGCATCATTATTTTTCAGGTTCTAATGAGGGAAATGGTGTCTACCTCCCACCAACAGGTGTAGAATGTGAAATTCTGAAAATGTGGGCATAGGATCTAAATGTCAAGCAGCCCCCAAAAAGACAAAGTTCCCTACATTAAAATAGGTAAATTAGACAACTTCTGCAGTTTGTCTACTTAAACAGCTCTTGGGAAGGGCACCTCCTTTAAGCCACTCTAAGCGATATTTGAAGTCTTACCTGTAGTCATCTATGTTGAGTTAAAATCTACTTTCTCTTATATTATTAAAGCTGCACCAACTTTGTTTTGGTTAGTGTTTGGATGATACATATTTTTCTATCCCTTTCAATTTTTCTGAGTCTTTGTATTTTAACCCAGTCTCTTGAAAAATAAAAGATAGATTGAACCAAATGAAAATAAAAATACAACATGTCATAATTTCTATCACTATGTGCTTATATTAGAAAAGAAAAACCTGAAATCGATAAACTTTCAAGAATCATCTCCTTTTATAAACAGAGTAAAATAAGCCCAAATAAAGCAGAAGGAAGGAAATAGTAAGGAACAGAAATCAATGAAGTTGAAAATTAAAAAAAAAAATAAGGAAAATCAATGAAAGAAAGAACTGGTTTTTTGAGAAGACCAATAACATTGCCAGACTTCATGCAAGACTGATAGAGAAAACACCAATGACCGATGTTTGAATGAAACAGGGAATATCACTGCAGACATCAAAAGGGATGATAAGAAAATACTATGAATAACTCTACAAACATAAATTTAACAAGTTATATAAAATGGATCAATTCTTAGAAAAACGTATTCTAACAAAACTATCCAATATACAATACATAATTTTAATAGCCCTACACTATTAAGGAAATTGAATTTGTATTTTGATAACCTCCCAAAAAGAATTCTCTATGCCCAGATTGTATCATTGGAAAACTATACCAAATGTTTAAAAAAGAATTAACTATGAGTTCCATTTCTTCCAGAAAGTAGAAGACAAAGGAACATTTCCCAGTCTATTTTATGAAGCTGGTATTACCTTGATCTCAAACCACAGATAGTACGGAAAAAAACTACAGACAAGTATTACTTATGAATATATTAATAGATGCAGAAATAACAAAATATCAGCAAATAAAATTTATCAGTATATGAAAAGAATTACCGAGTGAAGTCTGTCAATCCACATAGGCTGCTGTATTAACAAGCTAAAGAAGAAAAAGCACATAATTGATACAGAAAAAGCATTTGACAAAATTCAATATCCATTCCTGATATCCATTCATGATATCAGGATTCATGATAGAGGGAAATTTCCTAACTCAATAAAGGACATCTACAAAAATCCTGCAGTTAACAGGACACTTAAATGATGAAAGACTAAATACTTCCCCCATGTGATTGGGAACAAAGCAAAGATCTCTGTTGTCACAACTCTTATTCAGCATAGTGCTGGAAATTTTAGCCTGTGCAATAAAGTAAGAAAAGAAAAGAAAATATATATGGATTCGAAAATAAGAAATAAAACTGTCTTAATTTGCAGATTACATGATTGTCTATGTAGAAAATCCCAAGGAGTCTACAAAAACCTCTGGAATAAATGCAAGGTATACATAAAGATATCAATTGTTTGGTTACATACTAACAATGAACATGTGGAAACCATAATTAAAAATACATTACCATTTAAAATAACTCAAGAAATATTTAGGTATAAATGTAACAAAATGTTTAGAACTTGTATGCTAAAATCCACAAAACATTGATGAAAAAAATCAAAGGTCTTAAGGGAGAAACATACTGTGTTCCTGATTGGAAAAGTCAACATATTAAAGATGTCAGTTTCCTCCAAACTGATATCCAGGTTTGATGCAAATGCTATTCCCAGCAAGATTTGTTGTAGATATAGACAAGGTTATTCTAAAATTTATATGGAAAGACAAAGAAACTAAAATACATAAAACAATTTTGAAAAAGTAGAATAGAATGAGAGGAATCATTCCACTCAATTTCAAGGCCTATTATTAATCAAGATGATTTAGTACTGGCAGAAGGATAGACACAAAGATTAGTGGAACAAAATAGAGTATCTAGAGATAGAGCCACACAAACATGCCAAGTGATTTTTGGCAAAGGTGCAAAAACAACTCAATGAAATAAAGATGGCCTTTTTAAACAAATGGTGATGGAGCAATTTGATAGCGTAAGCCAAAACAAACAAAACAACAACAAAGAACCACCCCCAACACACACAAAACATGAATTTCTACCTAAGTCCTATATCTGATATAAAATTAACTCAAAATAGATAACAGACTTAAATGTAAAACATAAAGATATAAAACCTGTAGAAAGAAATATAGAAGAATATCTTCCTAATTTGGGATAGAAAATAGCTCTTAGACTTGACACCAAAAGGACAGTTCATAAAAGGAAAAACTGATAAATTGAACCTCATCAAAATTAAAAGCATTTGCTCTGTAAAAGAGCTCATTAAAAAGATTTAAAGAAAAGCTACACACTGGGATAAAATATTTGCAAACCACATATCCAACAAAGGACTAGTATCTAGAATATATAAAGAACTGTCAACACTCAACAATATAATACAAAATCCAGTTAGAAAATGGGCAGAGGACATACACAAGATGTATCAATGAAGAGAATATTCAGATGTCAAATTGGTACACGAAAAGATGTTCAACATCAATAGTCATTAGAGATATGCAAATTAAAATCATGAGATACTACTACACATCTATCAGAACGGCAAAGATAAAAATTGCAACAACACCAAATATTGGTGAGGATACAGAGAAACTGGATTACTTATACATATGGTGGAAATATAAAATGGTACAGCCACTCCAGAAAACACTTTCTCAGTTTCTTAAACATCCAAACACGCAGCCAACCATATGACCTGGCAATTGCACTTCTAGGAATTTATCACAGAGAAACTTAATGTTTACATAAAAACCCAGATATGGATGTTTATGGAAGCACTATTTGCGATAGCCCTAAACTGAAAAGAATCTCACTGTCTTTCAACCTTATTCATTTTTATTGTTTTGATTTTTAGAGACAGTCTTGCTGTGTTGCCCTGCCCAGAGTGCAGTGGTGCAAATCATAGCTCACTGCAACCTCAAAAACTCCTGGGCTCAAGTGATACTCCTGCCTCAGACCCCCAAAGCAGTAGGATTATAGGCATGTCTAGCCCAGCCTTCATAATGTTTAAATAAACTGTCGTACATTCATACAGTGGAATACTACTCAGAAATATAAAGGAATGAATGATTGATACACACAATTTGGATGAACATTCAGAGAATTACACTGAATGAAAAGCCAGTCCCCAAAAATTGTATACTAAATGCTTCTGTTTATATGACATAGTGAAATTCAAAGTTATAGAAGTGGAGAACAGATTAGTGGTTGCCAAGGATTAATGAGAAGGTAGGAGTGAGAGAAACAGTGGGGGCTGGCTATAAAAGGGCATCATTTAAGATCTTTGTGGTGATGGAAACATTCTGTATCTTGACTGTATCAATGTCAATAACTTGGTTGTGATACTGTACTATAGTTTTGCAAGATGTTAATACTGGGAAAACAGTAATGGATACGTAGGCTCTTTCTGTAACATTTCTTACAACCGCATGATAATCTACAATTATCTCTAAATAAAAAGTTTAGTTAAAAAATATACAAGCACCACTTCTACAACATACCGTGTGTGCCTGCCTGTACTTCGTAACACCGAGGCTGCTGACATTGCATACAAAAAAAGAACAAAAGGAAAGCAAGTAAAACAAACACAACAACAAAACCCTGTTGCATAATTTCTAACACTGTGCATGACCATCTTTTACTCCGCAGTTATATTGCAGTTACTTTAAATGCCTCACATCAACAATTATCTCAACTGCTGATTCAATGTATTTGAATGTGGTTAGTCTACACTTGTGGCCAGGTGCTTATAGATGTTACAAAAAGCTACCTACTAATGGGAAGTTAAGAATTCTCATTTGAACAAAACTTTAACAATGAAAATGAGTCATCTTCTAACTACTGGTTAACAAACAATTACAGATAGGAATGTTAGAAAGCAGTGTAGATGTCTGGATCACTAATGCACAAAAATGGGACTTCATTTTCTGGTGGCTTAATGATTTTTGGGCCTGCAAGTTGCCTAGTAGCACCCAACACTGTGTTGCAGGAGTAATCATGTGTCATCTCTTGGGAGGTATAGAAATGACTAATACTGAAGTAGTGATGAGCATAAATTATGCCTTGAGATATGTATAATGCTGTAATGGAATATGAAAGTATGGTGATTTCTTTTGATGATAGAGTCATGGAGAAGACTGAGGTTTGTTGCCCACATTCATAATTGAAGAAACTGCTAAATTATACTTAGACGCCAATAAAAATGATGACTTTTTTTTCCCAACAAGGTCATAGACCCCTGCTATCAAACCCTGTGCTACAGTATGTTCAAAGGTTGCTAAGAGTGATCTGATAAAGAGGGGAAAATTAATGATGTAGGAGAGAGAGAGTCATAAATGTAGAAGAGAGAAGGCAAGAGTGTAGGATCCATAACACAAATGGAGAAGTGTTGACATTTCACAAGGGCAGGAACCTCCATCCGTGTTAAGAGGAGGGAACGCATGGAGAATGGGTGCAAATGTATATACCTTGCAGGATTTAGTAGCGAGAAACTGAGACCGCTACTTGATTGCTCCATTTTTCTAGTGAGTTACAAGGCAGGGACACTATGTCAGAATGGAGAGGTTGGGCAGGTTGTACAGGTGAAATAATCATTTTGAAAACTAGGAAAGTGAACAGATTAGAAAAGTGTATAGGATTGCAAGACATTGTTGAATAACCATGGATTTCCCATAAACCAGTTGGCAATTTTGAACCTTTTTGTTGAACAATATTCAGCTATAGGTTGCTTATAAGTCTACCAATATCTTGAAAACAATGTTTAAATGTCACAATGTTGATATAATTTCTAATTATTTATAATTATTATTTTCTACTTATTTCATAGTACAAGAAAAGAAGCTATAAATAGGCAATAAAATGATCAAAGGGAATATTACATATTAGGACAGAACAAATTAAAATGTATATAATTCAGATCTGGCTGAAACAATCAAAATTTATAACTAATTGCCAAATATAATCATAATAATTTTTCTTTTGACTATAACTTCAGCATTAGGATTCTTGAGGAGAATGGTCTTAAACATGGCTTAGGAATGCTTACTAATATAATCTATGTTTGTTTTATTTCAGTATGGACCAATATTTACAGTCTTTGCTATGGGAAACCGAATGACCTTTGTTACTGAAGAAGAAGGAATTAATGTGTTTCTAAAATCCAAAAAAGTAGATTTTGAACTAGCAGTGCAAAATATCGTTTATCGTACAGGTAAAGAATATTTTCAGATAGTCCATTCGAAATCCAACATTGGAATCCAGGAGTAGTTTTAGGTAAAAATTACATCCTCATTCCTCTATCAAGAATGATGAGGGTCCATTATTTTATTCTTGAGGTATGGGTAGAAGAGGAAAGAGTTATGGGTAGAATAGTTTGGCCATTGAAATGCAAATGAATGGCAGCCTAATACATTTAGATTTGAATTAGACACGTGAAAGTGATAAGGTTACCTCATTGATGTTTTCTTTAGAGAATATTTGGAATCTGTATCATGTTACAGCTTCCAAGATGTCACTAACTCTGTTCCACTGCTGTGTATACAGTGTTCTACAGGGTACAGCTCTTGGACTGGTTACATGTTACTCAGTCCCTGAAACTAGAATTCCATGGCTTAGTAAATCCTTTACAGTGGCATTTCCTGACAAATTTTATAGGGCTGTTATGGTCAATGGGAGCTTGACTTGCCCTTTCACAAATCCTCCATCTTCAGAGACTACCAGATTGTACAGTCAGCATGCTTCCAGTATGGCTGTCTGCCTTCATTTCTTCCTAGGCTGCAATTGTGTGTACTGGGGCCATGTGTCCTCCCTGGAACGCAGAGCTGGTTCAATTTGTGTCTGGTTCTTTTTTGTGCTTTCACAATGTTTTTGCTTGCTTCTATTCTCTGTGGCTTCTTTCTCTCTGTTTCCCTTTTTTCTTCTTTGGTTCCTTTTCATGTAACCTTTTGTGCATTTCTTGCCATTAAGACAAGAAAGTTTGTTTTAAAAGCTACCAGTAATCAATAGAATTATATATATTTTTTCTTCTTGTATGCATGATCATCACAACCTGTTGGTGAAATTATTTGATTATTTAGTGCTTCTTGATACTTGGACTATGGAATTTTAGATCAAATAATATAAATATTTTGAAGGCCTTTGATCTGTAGAGTCGCGTATCCCTTCAGAAAAATTTACTAAGTTACCTATCAGAGGTGTATGGAAATGATTGAGTTTTTTTCACCTGAGCCTCCTCTGGGGACTTTCATGTTTAAATATTTCATTGAACAGATGAAATATATTAATATTTATTCTTGAGTCAGCTTCCCATCCCTCCCATATAGTAGATGTATGCTACTATACATACAGAAGATGTATAGTAGCATACTATACATACCAGCATAGTATATGTATAGTAGCATAGTATACATACTATACTGGTATGGTAACATAGAGAAGATGTATGCTCAGGAAATCTAAAAACTGTTTTTCATTAACTTACACAAAATGTATCTTACACGTAATAGGATGACGAAATACAAAATTAAAACTTATTCTTTGAAAAAGTTACTTCAATAAAATGACAACAATGGACACAGGGGACTACTAGAGGGAGGGGGGTGGGCGGCAGGGGGCAAAGGTTGAAAAACTAACTATTGAGTACTGTGCTCATTACCTGAGTGATGGGATTAATCATGCCCCAAACCTCAGCATAACACAATATACTTGTATAACAAACCTGCACATGTACCCTTTGAATCTAAAATAAAATTCAAAATTTTTTTAAAACAGAAAAAGTTACTTCAAGGTCAATAAAACAAGATAAAATAAAAATATAAAGAAATGAGTAAACAATAAACCACAATTTCTAATTAGGAATGTGTGTTATAGAAGGAGCACGAATACTAACATAAAGAAAATAGTGGGCTCAAAGCTATTCATGGGGTTAGGAAAGGCCTCCTGGTGGAAGTAGTGTTCAAGAAGACACTTGAAGGACAAATAGAAATTTGCAGGAGAAGTTTGAGGCTCATAGGTATAAGTGTGTGGGATTGGGTGGGAGTAGATATGGGTATAATAAAGGAGAGAACATTCTGAGCAGACAGAACAGCCTCTGAAATGCTGGGATATGTAAAATATGTTTTTAATGTATCTGGACTGTAGATTTTGAGGGAGAAGGGCTGAAAATACCAGCTCTCTTAATCACCCATTTATAGATTATCCCTTAAAGTGAATAGATTTCCATCATCTCACAGAATACGTTGAATCTTTTTTATTTGTTTGTTTTGAGATAAAGTCTCTCTCTGTCACCCAGGCTGGAGTGCAGTGGTGTGATGTTGGCTCACTGCGACTCCAACTCCTGGGTTCAAGCGATTCTTCTGCCTCAGCCTCCCCAGTAGCTGGGATTACAGGTGCCCGCCACAGCCGGCTAATTTTCCTATTTTTAGTAGAGACAGGGTTTCACCATGTTGGTCAGGCTGGTCTGGAACTTCTGACCTCAAGTGATCCACCTGCCTTGTTCTCCCAAAGTTCTGGGATTACAGTTGTGAGCCACCACACTCAGTCGAGAATAGGTTGAATCTTTATCTACTTTTATTTATGGGAGGTGACCTTATGTACTGAGAGGACTTTGGCTGTAGTCCCTGCTGACCAAATAATAGTAGATATATATTGACTGTGTGTTTCAAGGAGTTGTTGCTTATTTTGAAAATAGTTTTCTTTGTTCATAGCATCAATTCCAAAGAATGTCTTTTTAGCACTGCATGAAAAACTCTATATTATGTTGAAAGGGAAAATGGGGACTGTCAATCTCCATCAGTTTACTGGGCAACTGACTGAAGAATTACATGAACAACTGGAGAATTTAGGCACTCATGGGACAATGGACCTGAACAACTTAGTAAGGTAAATAGACGCATTAGTATGATTTAGTCTTGCTTTTTGTTTTAAATAAAAAAATTGAAACCTATAGATTGGACTTCAAACATTGTCAGGTTGATTAATGAAATCTACCTAACTAGGCTATTAAGAGATTATTTTAATCTTTTAAATTATTTTTTTTTGAGATAGAGTCTCGCTCTGTCACCAATCTTTTAAATTCTAATTCAGTTTAGCATTTCTATTTTATGGTGAGCAAACAAGCCAATACAGTCATTGTAATACATTTGCAGTAATTTATCCTTAGTCATTCCATACATTTGTGTATAAACTACACGGATTTTCTTCTTATAATTTTCATACTTCCTGTAGAATTTTGATAAAACATTCAGTGCAATTTGCTATTATTAGAATGAGAGGACGTTGAGAGGATAGGGGAGAGAATGGAATCATAAAGTGGTGAAAAAAGTCCAGGAGATGTTTGTGTTACTTAACAAGTGGCTCAGGCAAAGTCAGTGTGGGCCTCAGGACTGAGCCCCAGGGTCCTCTATTAAGGGAGATCCCAAGAGACAGGGAAGAGCAGCAGACGGAGTCAGCCCCATTCTGAAGCTTTCTGGAAAAGTTAAAGTCTGGGCATGGGAGACATGAGAAAATTTCCCACATGCATAAAGAGATTTCGTAAGTTGAAGTTACCTGAGTCACTTTGCCATCTCAGCAGGAATCCTGGAATGCCCAAGGCAAGATTGAGCAGTTCAGACTCAGAATGACAGTGAACATTTTGTTAGAGGTCCAGTAGTAGGGGGTGGAGGGGGGACACAAAAACAACCAAATTTAAAAATGTGCTGAAGCATACCCAATATCTATAACAAAATGAAGATATTGAAATGAACAAAATATTCTTGGATATTTTTAAAACTTTGGGTGGAGGAAATTATGAAGGGATGGTAAATAAAAATTAAATAAACAGTATTAAGTGTTTTAAGGCATGTTAACAATATTTTATATTCTTTATCTTAAGTATGCTACAGTAATCACTTTATTCTCTTAATGGTAAAACTTATTGATGATATGTACTATATTTCAATGGGCAATAGTTTGAATTTATGGGATCCTGTGAGAAATTAGGGAATTTGGTGACTAATATTGCCCTGAATCTTTGTTGTTGTTGTTGTTGTTATTGTTGTTGTTGCTGTCTAAAGGCATGGACTATATCTTAGCTACTATTATTTGCTAAATAAATTATTGTTGAATTGTATTAGATCAGTTTATTTATTATCTCATATTTGTCAGAGTCTAATAAGCTTGTTTAGAAAGCATTTAAATATCTTCAGATAAATCAAACCACAGTTTCAGTTCCCCCTGTATTATCTTGACCACAGTAAGCAAATATCAAAACTTCTTAAGAGTGACTTTTTCCCAAGAGAATCTGTCACCTATTATCTGCTCCCCATATATTGCTATGAAATAATGCCTTGCTTTGTATCCTTTGCCTTTCTTCTTTGGTCTTCGGGTCTGACTTTTTGTGTGTTTCTGTCTTTGTAGACATCTCCTTTATCCAGTCACAGTGAATATGCTCTTTAATAAAAGTTTGTTTTCCACAAACAAGAAAAAAATCAAGGAGTTCCATCAGTATTTTCAAGTTTATGATGAAGATTTTGAGTATGGGTCCCAGTTGCCAGAGTGTCTTCTAAGGTAACAGTTGTTTCCTATAATTAATTCATTGACCAAGCTTATCTCAGCAATTCAACACCTCTCATTTTTCTGTTCTAAGTAGATGTAACAGCAGTTTAAGTGGGAGAGAAGCCGTTTCTTATGACCTGTTTGTTTTTGGTGTCTGTATGTGAATTGAAGGAGGACCAAGGAAGAGAGATGCTTTTCTTATTGTGATGAACAAAAACAAAAGAGAGAAAGAGATCGATGGGATTAAGAATTTATTTTGAGGTCTTTTATCCCATGTACAGCTTTTTATTATTGCACTCATTGCTACAGTTAAGATTCCTGCTAAATCGTCAACCTGAGCAGTCTCAGAATCAGACACTGTGCTCCTCATTCTCTCTGAGGCAAACATGGGCGTGGTTAAATGCATTTCTCACAGTTGGTTCAGACAAATGTTTGTAAAATGAGGCACATGCAAAGTAACTGCATGATTTTGAAATTTCTTGGCAGTGGCTCTATGTCTTTCTCCATATGGGTTGCTATAACAAAGTATCATAGACTGGGAGGCTTATAAACAACAGAAATTTATTTCTCATCGCCCTGGAGGCTGGAGGCCTGAGATGAGGGTGCCAGCATGGTCACGTTCTGGTGAGGGCTATTTCTCATTGCCCTGGAGGCTGGGGGTCTGAAATGAGCGGGCCAGCATGGTCATGTTCTGGTGAGGGCTCCTTCCGGGTTGCAGACTCCCAATTTTTCACTGCATTCTCATGTGGTAAAAGGGGCAGACAGACTCCCTCAGACCCTGTTCATAAGGTTAGTACTCCTTTTCATGAGGGCTGTAGCCTCAGAACATAGCTACCATCCAAAGACCCCCACCTCCTAATGACATCACCTTGGGGGTTAGGATTTCAACATATAAAGATTTGGGAGAGACACAGACATTCAGACCATAGCCTACGTAGACCATTCATCTACAATGGTGACTGTTCAGACAAGATTTAGAAGATGAGAGCCAGTTTGTTTTTCCCGGCTTAAGTCAGCGATTGGTTCTGTGCATTGGGTTTTCATCCTCCTGCAACTTACAGCAGCCACAGTAAAGGCAGACCAAGCAAGTGTGGGTTCTGCCTTCTTATTCAGTGCCAATCCAGTAGGACTCCAAAGTTTTATTTACAAAAGACACTAAAATGTAGTTGCTCTGCCTCCCCAGCTGTCTTTGTGGACTAATCATTCCGAAGGTAGACCTTCCATGAAATTATACCTGAAAATGAAGAATAAATTTGGAGAACTAATTTTAATTCCACAGACATCCCTTTTTTATGCTGTGACCTGTTATTCCTAAAGTGCTTTCCAATTAATTTCTATATATATTTTTTCTCATGTAGAAACTGGTCAAAATCCAAAAAGTGGTTCCTGGAACTGTTTGAGAAAAACATTCCAGATATAAAAGCATGTAAATCTGCAAAAGATAATTCCATGGTAAGTATTTCTTACCTTTCTTTTGCTAATGTAAAGATAGTAATAAATTATTGTTGTTAAAATATATTTTGCTAAAACACATGAGATTGATTAGATACCATTTTTGTGTCAACCACTGTACTGGACATGTTGAGATACATTATTTCACTGTTACATCATCACAACAACCTATGTAGAAGAGGTATCCTATTCCACATAAGAAAAAACCAGAGACAACGAGCAAAAAAATACAATTCCGATGTTCCGTATTGATTTCTGTGTTATCATACAGTTGGCTGTGTCAATAGCGACAGGTGAAACTAATGGCAAATTAGGAAAAACAAAGCTCTACAAAATAGGCTTTGTTGTTGATGCCACTACCGTTAGTTGTTTCTTCAGATGCAAGGAAGCAGAATAGTATAATTTAAAAAGCCAGGCACTAGGAACCTGTGCCCTAAGCGTTATTCCAGATCTGTGGTTCTTCAAATGTGGCCCATAAACCGACAGCACCAGCATCACCTGGGACTCAGTCAGAAACTCTGCAGTAGGCCAGGCATGGTGGCTCACGCCTGTAATCCCAGCACTTTGGGGGGCCGACGCAGGAGAATTGCTTAAGCCCAGGAGTTCGAGACCAACCTGGGCAACATAGCAAGACCTGGTCTCTACAAATAATTATATATATAAAAAATTAGCCAGGCATGGTTGCACACACCTGTGGTACCGGCTACTCAGGAGGCTGAGGTGGGAGGATCACACTTGAGCCTGGGGAAGTGAAAGCTGCAGCAAACCCTGATTGTGCCCCTGCACTCCAGCCTGGATGACAGAGCGAAATCCTGTCTCAAAAACAAACAAACAAACAAACAAACACCTCTGAGGTAGACAATCTGCTTTAACAAGCCTTACCTTTGGTTCAGATGCTTGCTAATGAATGGTTCTCACCTCTGCCTCTCATTAGAATCACTCTGGGAGCTTTTGAAAACTGTCTGAGGCCAGGGTCTGCCCACAGAGACTGGGTTTCATTTGGTCTGGACTGTCTAGGCTCAAATCCAGTCACTGGTTATGTAACCTTGGGCACAGTACCTAGTCTCTTGGCCTCAGTTTCCTCACCGCATAAAGTTGTGGGAATTAAATGATTTAATTTTTGTAAAGCACTGAGAACAGAGGACTGGATAGGAGCTTATCATTGTTATCATCATTTAAAAAAACTCTTCAAACATTTTTATATTTAAAGATGGCATCAAAAGTTTTTGTTTGTTTTTAGTTAAATAGCAAATATTATCACAAACAGCTTTGCTTAAAACTAGAAAGGAAGATGGCCTTAGGAAAAAGGACTATGTGAATGTTTAGGTATCTCCTTCCTGAATAAAGGGAATAGGAAGCCATACTGGAAGGCCCTTCATTGACAAACTGTGTTTCAGCTAATATTTTTGTTGTGTAAACAACCCAGACAAACACACATGTTCTTTGCATTATTTTCCAGGACTTAGGGGCAAAAGCACATGTATATAAAAGATGTATCGAGATAGATCTGTAATCTATGGGCCTAGCAAACAGAGTTTTTAAATTCCCAGTTAAAATTCCCTGCTAAGGCTGGGTGCTGTGGCTCACGCCTGTAATCCCAGCACTTTGGGAGGCCAAGGTGGGTGGATCACCTAAGGTCAGAAGTTCGAGATCAGCCTGGCGAACATGGTGAAACCTCATCTCTACTAAAAATACAAAAATTAGCCTGGCATGGTGGTGCGCGCCTGTAATCCCAGCTACTCAGGAGGCTGAGGCAGGAGAATTGCTTGAACCTGGGAGGCGGAGGTTATGGTGCGCCGAGATTGCGCCACTGCACTCCAACCTGGGTGACAGAGTGAAACTCCATCTCAAAAAAAAAAAAAAAGCAAAAAGAAAAAAAAAGTAAAATTCCCTACCAACAATACCTCTAGAATAGCATTTATTTTTCTTACTCTGAAGAAATGAGGTATTTTTAATCATAGGTACTCTTAACTCCCTATTTGTATTAGTCCGTTTTCATGTTGGTGAAAAAGACATACCCGAGACTGGGCAATTTACAAAAGAAAGAGGTTTAATGGTTCCACATGGCTGGGGAGGCCTCACAATCATGGTGGAAGGCAAGGAGGATCAAGTAACATCTTACATGGATGGTGGCAGGCAAAAGGAGAGAGAGCTTGTGTGGGGAAACTTCCCTTTGTAAAACCATCAGATCTCATGGGACTTATTCACCATCACGAGAACAGCACTAGAAAGACCTGCTCCCATGATTCGGTTACCTCCCACTGGATCCCTACCACAACATGTGGGAATTCAAGATGAGATTTTGGTGGCTTCGTAGCCAAACCATATCATTATTTGAATAAAAACAAAGTTTGAATTCTGCTGAAGCTAATCCAGTGTTTAAAACTTTAGGAGAGAATTCAACTTGAACATCCATGAGCAGTTTAACTTTATTTTTTTATGTATTGCGTCTCTGTTTTCCTCTAGCAGTGTTCACACTGAGCTTGTGTGTTTGTGTGTTTTGTGTGGCAGTGGCATTTTTTTTTCTTTTTTGAGATGGAGTCTTGCTCTGTCACCCAGGCTGGAGTGCAGTGGTGTGATCTCGGCTCACTGCAACCTCTGCCTCCCAGGTTCAAGCAATTCTCCTGCTTCAGCCTCCCGAGTAGCTGGGACTACAGGCACATGCCACCACACCCGGCTATTTTTTATATTTTTAGTAGAGATGAGGTTTCACCATATTGGTCAGGCTGGTATCAAACTTCTGACCTCGTGACCCACCTGCCTCGGCCTCCCGAACTGCTGGGATTACAGGCGTGAGCCACCGTGCCTGGCCGAGCTAATGTTTTTATATTAATATTAAAAAAAAGTGTGAGCTAAGAAGAAATTTAAAAGATTTTGTTGTCTTCAACTGCATAAATAGATTTCAGTGGCCTAGTGAAGCAGAAGACTGGGTAGAAGTTGAGTTTCATTTTTAAAAAATATATACACGCTTTATTGCATCATTAATGTAAAATGTGATTTCTTCCATGTTATTTTAGATATATCTTAAACTAGTGTTTTTCATTTAAAATTATTATTGTATCATAGAATATCAAAATAATGAAATATATCTATAGGATTTTCATGAGGTATAAACTTTGTCCTGTGACAACTTACATTATAAGTATAATAGAGACAAGCAGTAAATGAAATTCATATCTAAACTATTTTCAATTCTGCTAATCCATTATCACAAAAACAGTAATAACACATTAGCTAACATTTTTGGGGTGCTTACCTTGTGGCAAGCATAGTGTTACATATTTCACAAGTAATTTCTTATTTATTTTCACAACTTTAATACAAGGAAAACTGAGGATGTTAAATCCAGAAAGCTAGGGATTAGAGTAGTTAATCCCTTGACAAATTACATGCTTTAGTAAATAATAGCATCAGTCTCTATTTTATAATGTATTTTATAGGCTAGTGATTGAATAGTTTTTTTTTTCTGTGTCATAGTATCTGAATCAAAGCTACTATGCTGTGGTACAATGCAGTTCTCCAAATCCCTAATACAAGAGAGTTGTGATTTGTGTCTCTAAGGGGGCCAGTATAGCATAGTGGCTTAGAGTATGGGCTCTGGAGTCAGGGCTAGACTCACAGGGTTGGGATCCTAACTCAACCACCTTCAAGCTATATGTCCCTGGCAAAATTCCCTAACTTTATTGTGTTTCAGTTTCCTCATATGCATAATGGTGAAGATAATAGTATCTGCGGGGAACCACAGACACTGGACCCTATTTGAGGGTAGAGATTGGGAGGGGGGAGAGGAACAGATAAAAACAATTATTGTGTATTAGGCTTAGTACCTGGGTGATGAAATAATCTATAACAAGCTCCTGTGACACGATTTTACCTATAGAACAAACCTGAACTGTACCCCTGAACCTAAGAAAAAAAAAAAACCTGACAAATAGAGCCAGGGAAGGTCATGAAGAGAGGGTTCTCATGCTTGAATGTGTGATTTAGAAAAGAAAGAAAAGAAAACTCTACAAAAACCACAAACCTGCACAAAGACCATCACAGCCTACACAATAATACTTCTACAGGAACACCTATCTAGCACCTGGCCTGTCCAATATTGTTATTGATCTTTGTAGACAAGAATAATGATTGCACAACAATTATGTAATCCTTCTCATTTTTTCCTTTAAAAATTGTTGTCTTCCTTTAACTCTCTGAATACGCACATAGTTTACTATTGCATGCATTTTCCCATTGCCATGCTCTATTCTCAAGTAAACATCTTTTCTTAAAAATAAAAAAAAAAGATAGTAGTATCTGCATCTTGGAGTTATAGTGAGGAGTGAAATGGGTTAAATACTTGCAATACACTTAAAACAGTACTTGCCCTTAGCAAGCAGTGAGTTGATATTAGCTCCCATTATTTCTATCACCTAGACATAAGTTATTTAAGATTAAAAGTAGATGAGTAACTTAATGAAAATGTTACAGTGTCTGAATTTTTTCCCATGATGGAGAGCCGTCACTGGCAAAGACAAATCTGGGGAAACCGCCCGATGAAGAAAATACTTTAGTGGGATTTGTTTGGTGACTTGAGAACAACATGTCTTGAGATGGGTAGCCTTGGATGGGGCCCTGCCCTGAGCTGTCACTGTTCAAGTCAAATGTCCGTTCTCTGTATGGTTTTAGAGTATTGTGGTATTTGTAATATTCTGGCTTGGCAGTTCTGTCTCCCATGGTGAATGGGCTGAGAATCTGTATGGTGGATGGGGGTGTAGTTTTCTCCTGAATGCACCAGAGATGTGTGTTTCTCTATTGCTTGCATTTTGCTAAGAGCAGAGGTTTATAAGACAGGGATTCCAGAGCAGTGTGGAGGGCAGAGATAATAACACACAATTTGCCAATTCAGTTTGGTAAAGTAGAGATCCAAAGTGCATTTTACCCTCTGAAAGGTTTTATTTTAAGCACTTTTTAGGTACTAACTCATTTAATTCTCACAACAATCCTACGAGGTAGGTACCATATTATGAACATTTTATGGATGAGGACACAGAGGCACAGAGAGATTAAAGTAGCTTGTTCAAGGTCATCCAGCTCTTAAATAGCTGAGCCAGGATTTGAACAAATGCAGTGAGGCGGTCAAGCTCCAGAATCCCTACTCCTAATTACTATACTACAGTAAGGACATAAATCCCTTCACATGCCTCAAACTGCAAAACCTGGGAATGGCAGAAATGATATCTTTCATATTAAAGAAAAAGGCATGATCTCTTGTTTATTAACATCGATATTTGTCACATAGCCATGGTTTGGCAATGTTTATTTCTTTTAAACAGACATTATTGCAAGCTACGCTGGATATTGTAGAGACGGAAACAAGTAAGGAAAACTCACCCAATTATGGGCTCTTACTGCTTTGGGCTTCTCTGTCTAATGCTGTTCCTGTAAGTATATTAGTAAAGTATGAGTTACGTTGCTCTCCACTGTCCTTTCATCTTTTTTTCCTTCATTTCTGTCTTCCATTCTTTTTTCCACTCATCACTCATTATGGAAAAGAAAAAAACTACAGTGGATTTGGTTGTGAGATAAAAACCAAAACTGAATGCCTAATGAAATCTGATTAGGTTACAAAGGAGACGAAACAGATCTCAAGCAAATTCTGTCCTCTGAAAGGCAGTGTGTAACAGGATGAGGGAAAAGCTTGCCCTTTGGGGCCAGTTGTAGACAACATCTGTTTATGGAACACTTTTTGTATGTCTACCAATGTGCTCAGTATTGGTATTGAAAAGATGAATAGGGATTGGCCACATGCTTTTATTGGAAAGAGTAAGTAAATGGATAGTTTCAGGTAACTTGGGCTTGGATCCAGACATCCCAATTTGTAGTTGTAGACTGTCATGGTGGTAATTTAAATTTTCTGTGCCTCCATTTCCTAATAAGAGATAATGTACTATTTTACCTAATAAGGGTAAAAAAAGGGATAATGTATGTGAACCTCCCACTGTGGTCTTAGAACTTGGGTGCTCAATAAATGGTAATTCTCATTTCTCTACAAAGTTGTTATGAGGATTTAATAAGATAAGCCTAGCTGGTATCAATGAATATTAGCTCTTTCTCTCCATTTGTACCCATTCTCCTTCTGTGTGCCATTCCTGTTTGCATTGCTTAGCATTATGGTCCTACAAGCTTCCGCATGAATGGTGCTGGTGAAATTGGAACTTTCAACACTTCTAAAGAGAGGCAAGACTTAAAAAACTGTTTTTTGTGGGTTTTTTTGTTGTTGTTGTTGTTTTGTTTTGTTTTGTTTTTTTGAGATGGTGTCTCATTCTATCACCCAGGCTGGAGTGCAATGGCGTGATCTCGGCTCACTGCAACCTCTGCTTCCCGGGTTCAAGCGATTCCCCTGCCTCAGCCTCCTGAGCAGCTGGGATTACATGCGTGAGCTACTGGGCCCGGCTAAAAAACTGTTTCTTTTAAAATCTGTCTTGCATTAGATTAGAGCCATGAGATTTGTCTGTCACGTCATGTTCAGTGCCAACAGTTTCCTGGGCCAGGAGGTTCTCACATTAGCCTAAGATGCTACTTATATTATCTGAAATTAAAGGGTAACTTTTTAAATATACTTGTTTTCTACTAAACAGGAGGATTTAACCTATCCATGATGATATGTGTGGGCATTTTTCTTCCTTTTTCTTCTAACAGATAGAAATTAGGAAGATGTTTTAAGTATTATTTATTTAGCCTTACTTTTATAAAGGCCTAGGTTGTTAAAGGCTTTCTCAGTCATGATATTCTAGTTTCCCTTAACTTGTTGAAAAATTTACTGCATAAAGAGAAGGGATAGAAATTCTGGCCTCTTTTCTCAAAGGTATGTTAGCCAGTGGAATATACATTTCATCTGATATGGTCAAGTAAAAGTAGTCTAAACCCTTCCCCTTCTTTATGTACCTATAATATTCTTCTCTGGTTTTTCCTTAAATAATATTCTTGGAAACTGATTAAGCTATAGCAAAATTGAGAAACAAACATCAAAACAACTCTCAAAGTAGCAACAAAACAGGCACTCCTGTCAAAGAATTATTTTTCAATATCTTGTTAGAAACATCCCCCGGAAGAAAGACACACAAAGCCCCATTGATCTGACACAGGGGAAGTCGGTTCTTTGGAATTTGTTCTTGGCGCTGGTCTGAAAGGATTTAAATCATTCATTTCAGAAAGAAAGTGTCTGATGATTAGAGAATATTCCATCTCACTGGCTCTTGTTGGCACCTCCAAGAGGCAGCCTGGTGAGCAGGCAGAGATCCTGGAGAGGCTTTAGAGTCAGATCCAAAGCCAATTGCCAGCACTGGGTAACAGTGGGCCAATTGTTTAACCTGCCCAAGCCTCAGTGCCCTTATCTGTAAAATGGGATTAATGCTATACCTACCTTAAAGGGTTGTTGTAAGGATTATTTTGGTAAGAAATAGATTGTGGCTAATAGCACCTGGTTCAGCATAGGTCTTCAATAAATGCTAGTTTTCTTCCCTTACAAAAATTATCTCCCTAGTTTCAGTCAATCATTATTTTCAATGGCCCGTTAATACTGAACATAGGCTTCCAAATATTTGATGGCTCAAAGGCCCCAGAGTGGGAATATCCACTGCTATTCTGCTTTAGTGACCTTTATTGCTGCTGAGAATACCAGAAGCCCTACCAGAGGTGTAGGTGGTGGGGCCTGTCTTTTCCTGGAGCCCAGAGTATATCTATATCTCCTCTCTCCTACTTTGTACTCTGCCTCAAGGCCCATAGGACTCAGAGCTCAGGCTTCAGATGGGTTAGGCACTGGGTCACTAGGAGGCTCCATTGTGGCCCAAGATATTAACTATAATTTATGAAATTATTTTTATGGGAAAACCATTTCTAAGTTCCAAGAAATTTCTGACTGCCAAATGATTTTTTTAGAAGATTTCTCCAAACCAATCACAAAGCTGACATTTTACCTTTTTTATCTGCTGCATCTCTTACATTCTTTCTAAATACTTTCAGTAGCAATTGCTACCCCATCCCACTCTCAACTCCCACAGTATTTATTTTTTGTAACATGTGTTTGCTCTCTCACTGTCTTGTACATTTCGTTCATTTTTCTCCAATATGTATTCATATGCCCAACTAAATGTGAAAATACTTTGGACAGGAATTATCTCCCAACATATTTGTGTTTACCATGATCGGTAGAAGACTCTCTGGCATGGTATGAAGACTCCATCAAAATCTCTTTTTGAATAGATAAATCAGTACCAAAGAACACACTCAATTCATCTTCTCTTTGACACAGCAAAGATACAGAGTTTTCCTCCTTGCCCTTTCTCTCATTTGTTCTTACCTCTCCAAAACAATGGAATGACATTATGGTGGCTGCTTCTGCAGTTCAGTGAGCTGAGTGGCCCTTCTTCTTCTTGCCCATCTCTGACCTTGGACTTGAACTGTTTTACAAAATACTAATTGGTACTGTTGGGAGCAGTTTTCAACCCCTTTCCCAAATGTGGGTGCACAAAGACCTCAAAGTCACTTATTCTTGCTTATTGATGTAGTAATACATATAAACTTTTATTAACTATTTTATATGCCTTTTTATCTTTTAAAAATACTTTGGCTTTTTTAAAAATAGAAAAAATTTTAAAAACTGTAATCTGTTAAGGAAAAAGGAGACATTAAAAAAAAGTGGCTCACGCCTGTAATACCAGCACTTCGGGAGGCTGAGGCGGGCGGATCACAAGGTCAGGAGATCGAGATCATCCTAGCTAACACGGTGAAACCCTGTCTCTACTAAAAATACAAAAAATTAGCCATGCGTGGTGGCAGGTGTTTGTAGTCCCAGCTACTCGGAAGGCTGAGGCAGAAGAATGGTGTGAACCCAGGAGGCGGAGCTTGCAGTGAGCCGAGATTGCGCCACTGCACTCCAGCCTAGGCAACAGAGCGAGACTCTGTCTCAAAAAAAAAAAAAATAAATAAATAAAAGTAACAGCCATTTGTAGTTTAGCTAAATTGCTTATGTTTGTCATTTAAAAAGTAGTATCCAATTTTATTGAATCTCTAAAGCTATATTTAGGCACATACAACTATGAACATCCGTTTTGCGTAACTGAAAATCTAAGTAATATGGCTTGGCTCTGTGTACCCACCCGCATCTCATCTTGAATTGTAATCCCCACATGTAAAGGGAGGGACCTGGTGGGAGGTGATTGGATAATGGGGACAGTTTTCCCCAGGCTGTCCTTGTGATAGTGAGTGAGTTCTCATAATATCTGATGCTTTAAAAGTGTTTGGCCATTTTCCCCACCCCCTTCTTCTGCCACCGTGTAAGATGTGCCTTGCTTCCCATTTGCCTTCTGCCATGATTGTAAGTTTCCTGAGGCCTCCCCACCCATGCAGAACTGTGAGTCAGTTGAACCTCTTTTGTTTATAAATTACCCAGTCTCAGGGAATTCTTTATAAAGAAGTGTGAAAACAGACTAATACATTATGTCTTATCACTATTTTTTTCCCCAACATGAACTCTGACTCTTCAAGTAAGATGAAGTGAGTATGGAGTAGTTATTAATTGAATTCAGTAATTTAGCACTTTTATCTGTAGTTAATAGTAGAAAGGGGGCCTGAGTAGAGACAGGACAAGATAGTTCTCTGAGCATCTGTTTCATCATCTGTAAAAATGAACTAGAAAATCTCTAGGATAAATCTTTCTTAATCTGGATAACACTCCTGAAAGAAAGCCTCTAAATTGAGGACCCTTGGTTCCCCTATTCACATCGTTTATGTAAACAGTACCATATTTATCCTTGCACTATCAATTTAAAGTTAGAAAGGGAAAAATAATGAACAGTATTGAATTTGGCTTATTTGAGCACTTCTTTTCGGACAATTGCTCTTCCTCTTTTGACCACAGAGGGGAGTATTGGTATTATTTAAAGGTACATAATGTTACCTCACAAAAGAGACAGACTAAATTTAGTCAAAATATTGCATGAATCATTTCAGGACCAATTCTCCTAGATGAAATCTCTTTCATAATAAATGTATTTAGAAAAAAATGAAAGTGAAACCCACACTTCTTTGGATGATTTTATACAGGTTTTCTTTATTACGTAACCTAAGAATAGAAGCAAAACTATTTACCTGAGGAGGAAGTTAATTTTTAAGATGTAAAGCAGTATGATTTTATCTTGTAATACCACAACGAGGAAAGATATGAAATAAGTTTGAGTGGCCAAGAGAGAAAATGTGCAAATATACTATATTCAATAGCATTCAAGTGTGAAAGGACTCAAAAATTTTTTTTCTTTTATTTACTAATTCAGAGCCAAAAAAAGCCAAAAAAAAGGACTTTGTTTTTGACATTGAGTACTCTCATAATTTAGTTTACGGGATGGTTTCCTGCTGCATTTTCCTGGGCTTATTTAAAACTACTGTGTTTCAGTTGCAGAATATAAAATGTGCTAATTCACTTGTATTCTAAGGAAATTAAATCTTAAGAAATGTTTTTGTTTTGGATTAATATTCTTAAGTGTCATAACTAGTTGCTTCTGAAAATTTAATATATGCCTATATAATATTTTGTGTTACTCATTAGTAAAAATAACAACTTTTCTCATTTTTAGTGAAGATAGATGTTTAATCTATTTAAATTATATAGTTAAATTATAGTGACAAAATAAAAATTTAAATCTGGCTTCTTGGAGATATATTACATATCTCTTATTAATAATATCTAGTTGTTTTCAAAATATGCTTTCTACTAATGTGCTCTTAAGGTTAATTTAAACATCATCCTTTTTAAAAAATATATGTATGGCTAATACTAAATATGCTTTTGTTCACCTTCAAAGAAGTTCATATTTTTGATATATGTTTTTCTTTTTAAGGTTGCATTTTGGACACTTGCATACGTCCTTTCTCATCCTGATATCCACAAGGCCATTATGGAAGGCATATCTTCTGTGTTTGGCAAAGCAGGTACTAAACCTTATTATATAGGAAGACACAGCTAATAATGCATGTTTGTCACACATTATTGGCAAAGCTAAATACCTATAATTTTATAAAAATTCAACATAATCCAAAATTCAACATAATTTGTTATATATCAGGATATAAATTGATCAGGTAGAATCCTAGAGTTTAATTACTGTCAAGCATATTTTTGTGCAACTCCTTCATTTTCCAAATGATGAAATCAGTGCTATAGAGATTGTGATTTGCCTAATTTCCTTACTTAAATATATATACACCTGTTTGTTCTTCTAATGTCTTGGATCCTCACCTCAATTGAATGAATGTCCACAGTTTTCAAGTTCAGGATTTTTCAGATTTTATAAAAGTAATAAGGGTATATTCCATATATTACATAAGAGCCCTAATAGGACTGTAGAGGTCAGGTAAGGCTTGCTACCAAAGGATTATTAAAAGACAACAAACAAAAAACAAGTAAACAAAAAGAAATAAAAAAACCCTTATGGTTGTTAGAAATTTGAGGATTTAGGAGCTGCAAATAGGGATTGTTGCCTTGAACTCTTTAGTTCAGATGTCAGCTGTTTATTTATCATCTCTTTTAAAAAGCAAATACAAGCTTGAATAGAGAGTACTCAACTACTTGTTTATTCAGCATAATTTGACCAATCTGGGGAGTTGACTTTTTTAAACTTCTTAATATGTCGTATTATGTATCCTGATATAAAAAGAATAAGAAATGATAGGGTTTTCTTGGAAGAAAACAATATAATATTAGGGCAAAAGGTATGATGCCAGTTAATGGTTTTCCCTCTCCCTTCCATGATTACTGAAAATATTTTATTTAAAGTTTTTTTTTTTGGATTGCTTCTTATGGAGTTAAACCAAAAAGTAAACTGGCTTGGCAACCATGAATATCTAAGTAATATTGTCTGAGCCTTGAGTATGCGTCAGCAGATGCTGGACCTTATAGAAATGGTGAGCATCATTATCATTGAATGCCAACAATGCTAACAGGTTAGATTCTGGAAAGACACTGGTGAATATAAGAGAAGACAACTGGCCTTTGTGCAGCTTGCATCTACAAAACAAATAGAAAGGCACATGCCCACATGTCTACAAATGGAAAAAGGCAATGCACTCTTGATTGTCACATATTCTCCTTTATCATTTCCTTACTAGAGTCTTTTCCTGACTTAGGGTACTCCAAATTTGTGGCTTTAGGAAATAAAAGAGTAGAGAGGGGATGATGGGGATAACGTGGGGGGTCCTCTCTGACCCAAAGGCCACAACAGAAGTGTAACATTAATCTAAATTTCTACAAGGCTTGATTCTAGAACTCTTGAACCCAGTTCTAGTGGAGAAAGATTAAAACCTTTTTGCTTTTTCTATGTTATTGTTTATTTTTAAAACCCATTGTTCTCTTCTGACACAAAAAATGCTCCTTCGAATAGTACTACCACTGCAACAGCTACATTATATGGATGCTTTCAGTCTATAAGACACTACTGCAGAATTGAAAACTATTTATGAAAGACATCAAACTTTTTTTTTAACCATACTTATACAGAAGCTATTCAATAATCCATACATAAGATCTAGTAGCAGCTCAGGAATTTAAATGTTGTGAGAGGAGTCCACAGATCTTTGGAAGCTGATATCAAGGAAGATATCCATGTGTCCATACAAAGGATTCTGTCAAGGAAGGAACATTTAAGTACATTCGATTAGTCAGGATTCTCCAGAGAAATGGAACCAATTAGGATGTAAATAGATACATAGATAAAGAGAGAGAGAAAACTCAAAAGACATTTATTATAAAAAATTGGCTGACCTGACTATGGAGGCTGAGGAGTCCCATGATGTGCTGTTGATGCAGGCTCTCAGTGGATTGGATGGTGCACACTTACATTAGGGAGGGAAGCCTACTTTACTGAGCCCACGAATTCAAATACTCATCTGTCATCCAGAAACACCCTCACAGACACACCCAGAATAATGGTTAAACTGAATACCCCATGGCCAGTCAAGTTAACATATAGAATTAACCATCATCTAGGCATCATCTAATCTGTTGAGTTTTGTTTCTCTGGAGAACCCTGAGTAAATTTACCCACCCACATATAGGAGGGCAGTCTGCCCTACTCAGTCTACTGATTGAAATGCTAATATCAACTAGTAATACCCTCACAGACACACCCAGAAATAATGTTTAGTCAAATATCTGGGCACCCCCGATCCAGTCAAGTTACATGTACAAATTATCATCACAGGCATGGAACAGGAATCTGACTCAGCACAGCAGTTTTTCTGTTCTATGCTCTTGTCTCCCGCAAGATCACCATTTCCTTCTTGGGAAAGTCTTTTATGAATTTCCAATGCTGTATCTCTGTGGCTTCAACACTCACTTCTAGGCACTTTGCCCAACTTTCTTATAAAACAAATCTCAGGGTAAAAACTACTATTGAATACTTGCGAAAGGAAAGGGTCAGACTCATACCACTTTTCTAAAGGCAGTTAGTTCTTGAACTATCTTGATAGCTGCCTTTCAGCCTACTCTTGTGTTCTCTATTTGTTTACTTTAAAATGAAAGCTTTTTGGGGCTCCTTTGTGAAGATGCTTGCTTAGCCCCAATTATTTTGGGTGGTGCTTTTCATTATTCTACTTCCTCTAACTAATCCTGTACACCTTCTATCTAAGTCTTTATTATCTAAGTCTTTATTATCTTCCTAAGTCTTCATTATCTGCTTCTTCCTTTTCTTGTTTTACAGCTGTGTTTTTATTTTTTAATTGCACACTTTTTAATTTACTTTTTAGCAACAGGGTCTCACTTTGTCACCTGGAGTACAGTGGAATGATCATAGCTCACTACAGCCTCGAGCTCCTGGGCTCAAGTGATCCTCCTGCCACAGCCTCCTGAGTAGCTAGGACCACAAGTGTGTGCCAGCATATTGGGCTTCATTTTTTTTAATGGGACATTGGGGCAGAGGAAGGTAGAAGTGCGTTCTCAGGTTGTCATCTTGAGCTATAAGTTTGTGTGCATGTAACATGCATCAACTTATAAATAAAATTATATATATATAATCATAGATAATTAACATACCATAAAATTTATCCTTTCAAAGTGTGAAATGTAGTAGTTTTTAGTATATTTATAAGATTGCAACCATCAACACTGTCTAGTCCCAGAACATTTTTATCACCTTCAAAATAAATCCCATACCCATTAGGAGTCACTTTCTGTTTCCTTCTATTTCTAGCTTCTGACGACCATTAATTTACTTATTGTCCTGACACATTTGCCTTTTGTGGACAGTCCATATAAATGGAAACATATGATATGTGGTCCTTTGTGTCTGGCTCCTTTCGTCTAGTGTACAGTTTTATATTATAATGTTTTACATTAATTGATTTTCAGGTCTTGAAGCATCCATGCATTTCTGGAATAAATCCTGCTTAATCCTCATGTATAATTTTCTTTATATGTTGCTAGATTCAGTTTGCTAGTATTTTTTGAAGTATTTTTTTTGAAGAATCTATGTTAATAAGGAATATTGACTTATAATTTTCTTTTCTTAAAATAACTTTGTCTGGTTTTGGTATCAAGATAATTCTGGCTTTAGAGAGTGTATTTCTTCCTCTTCTAATTTTTGAAAGAGGTTATGAAAGATTGATATTATTTCTTCTTTAAACATATGGTAGAATTCACCAATGAAGTGATCTGGTCCTAAGATTTTCTTTTTGAGAAGTTTTTTGATTAATTCAGTCTTTCTACTTGTTACTGGTCTATTTAGATTATCTATTTCTTCTTGAGTCAGTTTTATACTTTATGTCTTTTTAGGACTATGTCCATTTCAT
This sequence comes from Homo sapiens, assembly GCF_000001405.40. NCBI lineage: Eukaryota > Metazoa > Chordata > Mammalia > Primates > Hominidae > Homo > Homo sapiens. The sequence continues at coordinate 46,621,565 of NC_000006.12, read as the reverse complement.
CTAGATTATCTAATTTGTTGGTATAAAATTTTTCATAGTGTTCCACACAATCCATTTTATTTCTGTAAGGGCACTGGAAAACCAAATATTTCATTCCTGATTTTAGTTTGGGTCCTGTTTTACCTTCTGGGTCATTGTAGCTACATATTTGTCAATTTTGTTTTCAAAGAACTCACTTTTTAATTTTGTTTATTTTAACTTGATTTTATTTTTCCTAGTGATTTTTGTATTTAATTTAATTTTGTTCTAATCTTTACAATTTCTCTATTTAGTTCTTTAGAAAAGATTTCCTTAGTTCTTTGAACATAATGAAAATATCTGATTTAAAATCTTTATTAAGTCCAGCAACAGTTTCTTCAGGGACGCTTTCTGTTGATTCCTTTTTTTCCTCTGTGAATAATCTATTCAGACAGTCTTCTACTTATAGTGGTTCAACTCTTGATTTTTTAACTTTATGATTGTGTGAAAGTGATACACATTCAACACTGTATTTTCTTATTTCATGTCTTATTTCATGTTTCTTATTATATGCCTTATAATTCTTTGTTGAAAACTGGACATTTTAAATAATAGAATGTAACAACTTTGGAAATTAGATTCTTCCCTTTCCTCAGGGTTTGTTGTTGTTGCTGTTTATTGTTCTTGTTGTTTGTTTGATTGTTTAGTTATTTTCCTTAACTAATTCTGTAATGTTTGCATTCTTTGTCATGGGTGGCCACAGAAGTCTCTGCTCCATTATTTAGTGATCAGGTATTAACTAGACAGATATTTCTTTACCTCAGTAATTTAGAAGTCCCCATTCTTTGCTAAGGGACTGTGTGTGCATGTTGGCCATGCCTTCAACACTCAGCCAAGCAGTTGACAACTCTGCCTTAGCTTTCGCTTTCTACCTGTGCCAGAGCCTCAAGGATGGGTGTACATGACAGCTTGTGGCCTTCTCATGTCTTTCCTGAACATGAGTAAAGCCCTGGGCAAATGGATGCCCTTCTAAATTCCTGGGAATTCATTAGACCTCTGCAAAGCCACTATGAACAACTCATTCCCTAGCCTTTCATTTTCATCTTGTTGGTTTGCCTGTTGTTTGTCCAACAGTTACCTACTGACTCAGATAGTTGCAAAGTTAAACAGTTGTCTTTAAATATTTTAAACCAACACCCCTGGAGGAAAGGCTTTTCATACTGAGTGAGCTCCAAGTCATGTCAAATAAAGACAGTCTTGCAAGTAAGGTCTTCTAGGAAACTGCCAAACTTGTCGCATAATGAGAATACTGTAGTACTGAGGTTTAGAAGAAGTTCCAACCTTGTTGTGCCCTATCTAGTGACTGTGGGTTGTTGATTTTCACTGTGAATGCAGACTTCTGGCTTTTAAGGCTTCTATGGAGATATAAAGAGGGGTTTGAGAATAGGGCAGGTTAAAATGATGTTAAGCTTGATGTTCTTATCAAGATTCAACTGTTTTTTTCTTGAATAGACATTCTTGAATTGCTGCAAAACTTTGGTTAATCTGTAGAATTCTAAAAACTTGATACTTAGAATTTTTACCAAATTTCTTATTGCTTTTAAGGAGGGAACTTTAGGAGATCCTTGCTCTGCTATTTTTACTGACATCACCCTGAAATATAAGTTTTAAAATTTCTTTGGAAAACCTCCCAGGCTTATGTGGATTAACCCTTAATTCATCCATTATTTTACTTGGCCCTCAAACTTATTTTTTGAGTGCTCACCATGTGAAGGCATTGTGTGAAGTACCAGAGCTATGAAGATGAGTAAAGTAACAGTCCATGTTCTTGCAGAAACTTATGAACTAAGTGCTTTTTATAAAAATTGAAGACAGGTTTGGAAGTATCCAGAAGATATTAGGAGAGAAAAAGGAATATTTACATTGTTTCTTTGGAGACATGTACCTACTGGTAAATTCAGTAAGATTCCTGTGCCTGGAACTCTTTCTCTTACTAATCTTTCAGTCAGCTTGAATGTCTCCTCTTCAGATAGATATTTTAGTCTTACCCCATCTAAAGTCACTTTCCCCAACTCTGCCCTTGGTGATTCTCTGACTTGTCTTACTCTATATTTCCTTAAAAGTAAGACAAGTTAGAGAATCACTAACTTTTAAAAATATTTTTTATTTGTGTATTTATGTATTTACCCCACCAAAATGCAACGTCTCCAACAACAGAAACTAAACATAGTTGGTCTTTGTAGTACCTAGCTGCCTAGAACTTAAAAATTATTCAACAACTATTTACTGAATGAGTTTAATGAACAAATGTAAGAATATATGGCTAGTTTTAAGAGATAAGTATCTTGGTCTAGCCTCTGTTTGCAGCTCTATCAACCATCCCATTTGACATTTTATATGAAACGAATGTTTTATATAAAGACTTTTTGACAGTTTTCTGCACTGAATTTTGAGTTAGCAGAACCCTATTGTATGATGGTCAGTCAGTTGGGAGCCACAAAAGGAGCTAGATCCTTTATTAGGATTTCCACAGGAAAGGCAGAGAAGGGACAAGTCAACAGTTTAGCATTAGCTAGTTTGAATAATCCCCAGGGGCTCTAAACTGTAGAGTGGTTTCTAGTGGCCTGATATCTGGCCCTGAGATGATTAAGGCAGAGGAATATTGCTTCTTGGGTTATCTGGGCCAGATAGAAGGGTGTAGTTCTAGATTGGTTGATTTGCATGTCAAAGGTATGCTCCAGGCTGAGTTCTGTGCCAACTGGAAGAACTAGCTTGCCCCGAGAGGGAGAGGAGCAATCTCTCCCCAGCCAGGAAGGTTTTCTGTTTCTTTTAAAGATGTTATACATTTAAGAAATATTATTTTAAAAAAATTTACACACCCACACAAATCATTATATACAGAAAATTAAAAAAAAATACGTAATACACCTAGTCCCAGCCAATATCTTATCAGTACTTTGAGACACTGAGTAATTTCAAGCCCAGTAATCCGTATGAATGGTAAATAATGTTAACTTTTCTCTAGGTTTTTGATCTCTGTAAAGCATTTTTTTTGCCTATGGTTTTATTTTGTTCCTTAATTTTGGGTGAAACATATATTACCAAATCATTGATGATCTGATAAAGAATATTTTTGCTTTGTTATCAAATTTTGGGGTATAATTCCTAGAAATTAGTCTTTTTGTTTTAAATTTTAATTGATAAGTTACTACACATTATTTCAATTGCCTGTCATAACCTCATAATGTAGTGTGGACACTAGGGTCAGACTGCCTGAGTTGAAATCCAGGTGGAGACACTTATTAATGGTGTATCTTTACTCAAGTTATCAAGTTCTTTAAGCCTTTTTCCTCTTTGGGAAGATGGTTAATAATAATCCTCATCTCGTGAAGTTATTAGAAGGATATAACACATGTAAATTAGATAGATAGCGTAGTACCTGGCAAATCGTAATTGCTTTGTAAGTCTTAGCTATGGCCAAAACTGATACAACTATATCAGTTATATGAAATTTTATAATCCTCCCACATCATGAAATTAGTAACTGTTGTAACTTTGAGTTTTTCTACTTCCAAATATTAGTCAGTGTTGTTTTTTGAAATAAGATAGTTTTGTTGAATGTTTATAGTCAGAAATGAATTACTTTCATATGAATTGGCTGTACTTTTGGTGGTGTCAAAATGCAGCAGAAATATAGCATGAGACTATTTATGTCTAATATTGCCCTACAAGATAGGAGTAGTAGAAACAGTAATAGTTAATAGTCAGCGCTAATTAAGTAGCAGGCCCTATTTTAAGTGCTTTCCTTGTTGGCTTATTTAATCCTTGGATCATCCTTCCTAAACATTATTGTTTGCCCTATTTTATGCACGAGGAATGTGAAATCCCAATTAGATAACTTACCTAAGACCATACAGCTAGCAAGTGGTAGGGGTGTGAGTTGAGCCTAGTTTGTTTGGCATGAAAGTTGACAATACAAATCAGCAAATCTCCTTGTTTCAAAATTGTACTTAGAATCCCTGAATTATGATGCTTCAATCCAATTTCCAGCTTTATTCTGTTCCAAGTTGCTTCCACTTTAATCTTCCTAAAGCATAGCTCTGGAGGTATGCTATATGTATACTCAGAAAATGTTCCTGGAGTAACATTCATACCCCTGAGCCTGATACCTGTGGCCATGATGGTAGGTTTGACCCACTTTTGCATGCAGAATCACAATCTAACCAAGGTAGACTTTGGAATACCCACTAAAAACACTCTGCATTTTGTTTCTGCTATGTATTAACATTTATAACACTGAATATGATTTAATTCTAATATAGTTATAAAACTTTACATATAAGTAAACTTATAGATTAGAGAAAAACATTTTCTAAGCCATTCACCTCATTTTTGATTCAAAAAATATGACTACCATATTTATAACCCAGTTGTTTTCCAAAACAATATGATGTGTCTGCCAAGACAATAGAATTACCCAAAGAAATTAAGGGCCACTTAACCAGGGCACTTTAACCAGAGCGATGGTCTGTAGTTTATGTAGACAATCATCTTTACTTGTTGCATACCTATACCTTCTTCTGACCAAGGCCACCTGGACATGTAGATCCCAACCCCCCTAATTACCTCTAAGATTTTGTTCCATTGATCGATCGCCAATCTCTTGGTGGGTTCAACTTCTCTTTCTCCACTGGCTCTTTTCTCTCTCTCTGTCAGATTGTGGTATTCAGTGCACACATCCAGTGACCTCACATCTCACTCAGAATGAAATCTAAAGCCTTCAAATGGCCTCAGAGACTCTTTGTCATCTGATTCCTGTCTAACTCAACGACCTCATCTCTGCCCTTTCATCCTTGTTTATTTTACCCCAGCCACACCCATTCATTTATTAATTCAGCAAATATTTGTTGCACTCCCGTTATATGACAGGGACTGCTTTAGGAACTTGGAAATATGAACAAAGTAAATATTACTTTTTTCTTGGTGCTTACATTCTTGTAGAGGATACAGACAATTAACAATAAATGTAATACATAAGTAAACTCTAAAAGTAAAAATATTAAAAGGTGATAAATGGGTGGGCATGATGGCTCATGCCTATAATTCCAGAGCTTTGGGATTGCTTGATGCATTCAAGACCATCCTGGGTAATATAATGAGGCTCCATCTCTTAAAAAAATTGTTAGCTGGGCATGGTGCCATGCACCTGTGGTTCTAGCTACTCAGGAGGCTGAGGTGGGAGGATTGACCTGAGTCCAGGAATTCAAAGTTGCAGTGAGCTAAGTTTGCTCCATTGCACTCCAGGCTGGGCAACAGAGCAAGATGAAGGAAGGAAGGAAGGAAGGAAGAAAGGAAGGAAGGAAGGGAGGGAGGGAGGGAGGGAGGGAGGGAGGGAGGGAGGGAGGGAGGGAGGGAAAGAAGAAAGAAAGAAAGAAAGAAAGAAAAAAGAAAGAAAGAAAGAAAGAAAGAAAGAAAGAAAGAAAGAAAAGAAAGAGAAAGAAAGAAAGGAAAGAAGGGAGGGAGGGATGGAGGGAGGGAAAGAGAGAGAAAAGAAAAGAAAAGAAAGAGGAGGAAAGGAGGGAGGGAGGGGGAGGGAGGGGGGAGGGAGGGAAAGGCTAGAGAAAATCAGGAATGTCAGGGATGGGGGAAGGTGGTATTATAGTATTAAATAGAATCAGTGTAAGCCCTAATTGGCAAAGTGAGATTTGAGCAAGGACTTTAAGATGTTAAGAGTTAGACAAGCAGATATCTAGAGGAAGAGCTGATTGGGGTCAGAGACAGCAGATGTGGCCTCACTGTGGGCTCACAAAACTCTTTGAGATCACCATCATGATGGCATTTCTGTTGGAAGATGTTTGTCCTTTTTTTTTTTTATTCCAGAGGAGAATGTGAGCACATTTCTAAAAAATGGTTAATATTAGGTTGGAAGAAGAGATTCAGGAAAAAGCTTTTCTTTCTTTGTCACATTATTCAAAGCAAAATTTGATTCAACTCTCAATGCGTGGATTTTTAAATAAAAAAAAGAGGATGAGCATTTGGTTTTGATTCAGAAAATATGACTACCATTCAGAAAATATGACACCAGTACACAGGTGTTCTAGTTAATTATTGCACTGTTTTAAAAAACTGTCATTAGACAAGTTTGAAGTATCATGAGAAAGGTGGGGAGATATCATTGTACTTAGTCTGCTTTTATAGAGTCTTTAAGCGAGGGGTCACTAGCCTGGGAATAGACAAGGAGTGTATTTGTATATATACACACAGACATGTGCATATATAAATATATGTTATGTTTATAAAAAGGTATATAGTTATAGTTATAAAATGTATTTATATTTATAAAAATATATGTTCATAATGATATAATATATTTTTTATACTCATATATATTATTTACAAACACACATATTGATACGTATCCATTTTTGGCCACGCAAAATCTGAACCCTATGTTTCAACAGAAACTTGCCTACCATAGTGGGCAGAAAAATGCTAGATTTTTGTTTTCCTTGCCTTCCTTGAAACTAGGATATTACCATGAAAATAAGACTTTGCCATTCAGATCTACCAACCCAAGACTTTGAATCAAGAGTTACTGAAATAAAGAAATGGAGACTAAAAAATTTTCCCTGGAAGCAACTGCAGGTATTGCAGGATGAAGTTTCTGGGGACACAGCGTCATTCAGTATCCTATGCCAGTGGCCACAATGCACTTGACATCAGTGGCAGTGTCATGCTTGCCAGACCAGTTCTGTGGCCTGATTTGGAGCAAGATTCCTGGCTATGCATCCTTCAAGCCTGGTTGTCCAGCCCTCTTAAAAGTTACATAAACTACTTAACAAACTTTTAATAAATTATTATTATTTTACTAAATCAGCTAGGTTTAGTTTCTGCTGCTTGCCTCTAACAGATCTTGCTGATAAAATATAGAAAGTGTAATGATCAGAATGTCCAATATGGAGAAAAAAGTAGAAGTGACAAAGTCAGCTATCAGGAAAAGTGAATGGAGCCAAAGGAGAAAATGAGCATACTCTCCTGTGGTGGTATAAGGGGTAAGATGAAGAAGAAAAGACACATCTATCCAGATTTTATGCTGTGATCAATGTACAGTGGACTTTTTACATTGGAAATGTCTGTAGGAAGCAGAAAGTCAGGTGAAAAGAGAACTGTGAAAGCCATGAATCCAGCCGGTTCTTGTGTGATGGAAACTCGGAAGGACTAGGGATATACTTCCATGACACCTCTCCTCTTTGTATGTCCTCTCTAAATATGGTAAATCAAGTTATTTGGCTGGTGCAAAAGTAATGGTGGTGTTTGCCATTAGTTTATTTACCTTATTTAGAGAGGATGTATAAAGAGGAGAAGATGTAATGGCTTCCATCACCACTGAGACATTTCTTCCTCCTGTAGAGTTTTATGTATTCTCAATATGGTGAATATTATTGTATCCACAGAGCTGAAGAATAAAGTTATCTATCTTTTTACTTTGACATTAAGCTATTTAGTATCACAGATTCCATTTTATTTATTTAAATATTTACATTTTAATTTGTTTAAGGAGGATTTCATCAGCCTACCATTATGGTTTACCTTTCTATTTTAATTAAAATATAATTTTATTTAAATATTTAGAGTACATATTTAGATGTGGTGGGTTTTTTTTTTTTTGCTTCTTTGTGTTTTGTTTTTTTCAAAATAACTACTAAAGTAATACCAGATTGTAAAAGATTAATTGACAGCGTAAGTACTCACACTTATGGGTAACTGACCTAAAGCAATCAAAGACATTAATGTTTAGCTCCTGTGTAGGCTGTGTTATAAAGTAATTTTCATTTCTAATTCAGGGCTCCCACTGTGAGAATCTGCCCATCAATAGAGGCTCATTCTTTCCTAAAAAAAAAAACAAACAAATAAAAATGTGCTGGAATTTTTTTCACTTTTGCATTTGACTTTTCCACCTATGCTTTTTAACATAGGATAGCATACACATGCACCCATTTTATTTTATTTTTTTGCTGATCAGTTTTACTTTGCCTTTATTTAAACAATAAATTAATAAACATTTTCTGTTAATTTGCAAGGAACCAGATTAATTAATAGAAATGCACCTGCATAGAAATGATTCCTATTTTACATAAAAGTCATGATTTATGCATCATAAAAGGCACATACAGAATTTTCATTGGATTAGAGAGTTAGCAGTTGGATTCATGAATTTCAATCTTGTCACTCACTAATTGTGTGATTGTGGATGAAAGAGAAACCTTGCTCAGAGCCAATCAACAGTGGTTTTTGGTACCACTGTGTTTTGATTTAGCAGCAATCCTGACTAGGGATATACCAACACTGTGGGATGGCCAGCGTCTGTTACCTGGTGACATTGACTTAGGTAGCTACACGTTATACACTGGTGAGGAAAGCGTCTGACTCTTCTCATAAATACAAACAAGTATAAACACTAGTAAAGTGAAAAGTGATATTCTAGGTAAACTCCATATTGTCTGCTTTATTTTAATTAGTTGATTAGTTTTACTTTATTGCATTTAAGCATCTGTATTTATTCTTGAAATCTTATATATTGTCATTGTTTACCCATATTATAACTTGTATGCAGCTTCCCTTCACTTGGGTGTGTCTCAGCACCATCTTGCCAACCAATAACAACCTTCTTGGAGGACTCCATCATGGCATATTGTAGACCTGAGTCCCTTCAGTGAACTTAAGCTCATGCTCACTACCCAACTGCAGCCTGCCAGGGCCCAATGGCTGATGGCCAAAGTTGTGTCTGTGACAGATTCTTGGCCCCTTGTGCGATGCATTGCCCAAAATAATGAAGAAAGAGATCAAGGAGCAGAGCCAAGGACGCTCCAGTGGAATTGTGAACAGAAGGAAGTTATTTTATTTTAAAAAATTATCTCCATTCCCACCAGTAGCCTGACATTATGAACCTAACACAGAGATTCGGGAGGCTATAGCTTATCATGCAGGAAATTTCTCACATAGCCTCATTTACCTTTGCTAGCCTAGCTTTTAAAATCCAAGAATGGACCCAGGAAATTGTAGATTATGGAGGAGCTTCTTACAAACTACTTCTCATTTATCAACCTTGAAGACCACATATAGATTACTTAAAAAAGTATTTATAAATGCAAGAAAGTTCATTTGAAACTATTCTTTCTACCCCAAATATACAGTTTGGCTATCTTCTTATTCCCTTGGCCTTGAAGATCAGGATGATGTCATTTTGGAACTCATAACTTGTGATTTTCCTATCTACTAACCTAGCCATAATGACTAGGGTGAGACTTGCATGTCTAATACCTGGCCCAGGAGAGATTTCTCAGGAAGCTTTATTTCTTCCACTGTTTTCTACCTTTAATACCCAAAGTGGGTCTTGTGATACCCTAGCTCAAGAGATTTTGTGTGAAGTCACTCTCTCCTTTTTCATTGCTTAGCTTCAGTGGCTGAAAGAGATGCCTCTGATAGCTGTAGATTATTTGATATCCCTGTTCATATTTATAAGCTTGGAGATAGGTTCTACTCTGGTGCCTCTCATTTTAAATCTTTCACTATCTTATTCTGGGGCAGCACTGTTGATCTGCTTTATTTGTTCTCTACATTTTTTCATTTAGACACAATTCTTTCTTCAGAGCATTCTGTTGGTGAATTTTTCAAACATTTGGATAATCTTTTTTTTATTCTTTAGGAAATACTAAGGTAAAAACTATTAAAGTCAGGCTGACATCTCTCCAGAGAACATAAACCAAAAATTTGGACTCAGACTCAGTACACTGGCTTTATACATAAGGGTATTTCTAGATCAAAATTTATTTCACATATTATTATCTACCCACTGTTATCTTCTTTAGGCAATATTCTCTCCCTTTTATTTATCATGTATTGGACTATATCCTTTATTCCTTGAAAAAAAATCATGATTATGAGGCATGCTCCATTTTTGTCCTCCAGTAGTTAGAGAAATTGATAATCTCTTTTTTAAAATATGAGAGAAGCACTTCTTAAAATAACACCAAATATTATTTTTCAGAGTAGAATCTTATATGGTTGACTTGGTATAGTGGCATTGAACTTCTTTTGACATGATAGAATGGGATTTGGGATATTTAATATGTGCACGTACTGATGGAAGAAAGAGTTGGGAGGGTCAGCCTGTCAATTCTCCTTATCTTCCATTGGATGTAATAACCTGTTCTCAGAAACGTTGCAGTCAGTCCTTCATATCTTTCGCACTCCATTGTTATCACTGCCTTTTCCAGGCTTTGCCTATTGTTATGAATGTCAAACTGAAACAGCTGAGCAGGATCTACTTCCAAAAGGTTATTACTTGTAATTTTTCAATAGGAATATGTCTTTGATAATAAAATCTTATCCTAAATCCTTCACATGCCAAAAGGCCATATCCATCCTTGTAAAAGTCAGAACTAGAGCTGAAGGCCAGAAATGACTGAGATGCTTGGAAGAAGCTGGTGGCTGGAGGAGGAGAGTAGAAACATGTGTGGTTTGCCAGGCTACTGCTACAATCCCTGAGGCCCCAGTGCTCATATTCCCAGAGTCCATGGACAATCTCTAGGCTTATTATTTGCTTTCCCCAGTCTGTATTCACCACAGATACTTTAAGCTGCTTTTTAAGCCTTCCTTCTCATGTTACATCTCTCCTTCCTATTCATTTAACTGGTATTTCTCTTGCATAAAGAAATCAGACTGGGGCAGGACCTATATGGAGGAAACTACAAGATTTTTAAAATATGTATGTTTTAAAACAATCTAAATAAAGAAAAAGGCATATCACCTTCCTGGATGGGAAGATTTAATATGAAAATACACTTTTCAGATTACTGTACATATAATGAGAATTCCATTTTTGGGGGAGTGTAGTTAGCTAAATGATTTAAAACTATATAGAAAAATAACTGTGATTATAAATAAAAATTATTAGAAATGTGACCAGGTGCCGTGGCTCACACCTGTAATCCCGGCACTTTGGGAGACTGAGATGGGAGGATGGCTTGAGACCAGGAGTTTGAGACCAGCCTGGGCAACATAGTGAGATTGTCTCTATGAAAATTAAAAAATAAAATTTAGTCGGATGTGGTGGCATGCATCTGTAGTCCCAGCTACTTGGGATGCTGAGGTGGGAGGATCACTTGAACCCAAGAGTTCGAGGCTGCAGTGATTTATGATAGTGCCACTGCACTCCAGCCTGGGCAACAAAGTGAGACCCCATCTCTTTGTATACGTGAAATGTAAATTAGTAAGGCCAGATTCACCCTAATTAAGGCCAGATTTTAATAAGTTATTAAAGCTTATTATAAAACTGCTATAACAAAAGAGTACACAATTGGCACAGGAAAAACAATTGATCCACATAACCCTTGTGTATCTTTTACCAATAAAAATCAACTTTATAATCTTCTCTTTCAAAACTAAAACTGTGGGTAAATAGTTTTTTTAAAAAATTGTTTCACATTGTCAAGACAAAATTTCCCAAACGATCTACATTTGGAAAGAATTAATATTCTAGAAACCTGCACTCAATGGAGAGAACCTATAAAGAATTTGCGGGGATAGCGGTGAGTGAAAAGACATTTAACTTCACAGCTACCATCATGATCTTTCATCTGCTGTCATCCCCTCTTCCTTGAATTTTCTATAATTTGACTTATTATCTTTCCCATAGATATTTTATCTTACACAACATGTATAATAATAAACGTGTGCAATTACAAAAGAGATAAAAGTTTTTTAAGAAACAACAAACCCAAATAGTAAATCATTTTTCTTTGTTAAAGCAATATTTGGGAGGTAATATAGAGTATTGATTTTTATATTGAATTTTTGAAGGGTCTCTCAGCACAGTAAGCTTACAAGTTGCTTGGAATGATAGCACAAGCCTTGTGTGTTAAAGAAGGCTGGAATAGCTTATATTTTACATATGTGTCCTCAGCTCTGGAGCTTCCCTGTGTGGACCTCCTTCTGTTTTTCCTTTCTTCATTTTCAAGAGGTTTCTGTGAGCTCTCTGACTGAGGCAACAAGACATAACTAATCTCCAGGGACCCATTCTACTCTTTTCAAAAAAGATAAATCAATTTTTTTGATGTTAGGAAAATCACATTTACTGTCTACTGATTTTAGGTACCCAATAAATTTCTTTTTTTTCTTTTTTTTTTTTTTTGAGACGGAGTCTCGCTGTCGCCCAGGCTGGAGTGCAGTGGCGCGGACTCAGTGGCGCGGACTCAGCTCACTGCAAGCTCCGCCTCCCGGGTTCACGCCATTCTCTTGCCTCAGCCTCCCGAGTAGCTGGAACTACAGGCACCCGCCACCACGCCCGGCTAATTTTTTTTGTATATTTAGCACAGATGGGGTTTCACAGTGTTAGCCAGGATGGTCTCGATCTTCTGACCTCGTAATCCGCCCACCTCGGCCTCCCGAAGTGCTGGGATTACAGGCGTGAGCCCACGGTGCCTGGCCCTAAAATTGATTTTTCTATTCGGTAATCAAAGATCAGTTTCACACTATTTCCTTTCAAAATTAAAAGAATAATTGTACAAAAGTGTTTATTGTTTTCTCCATTTAGAGACAAGTCAACAAATACTCGTCTCACAAAAAAATTCCCACAAATCTGTAACCAGCCCATTCTCGCTATCTATAAATAACTGTTATAAAGCCTGTTGTAGGCCAGGCACGATGGCTCACGCCTATAATCCCAGCACTTTGGGAGGCCGAGGTGGGTGGATCACCTGAGGTCAGGAGTTCGAGACCAGCCTGGCCAATATAGTGAAACCCCGTCTCTACTAAAAATACATAAATTAGCCGGGTTTGTGGCAAGTGCCTGTAGTCCCAGCTACTCGGGAGGCTGAGGCAGTAGAATTACTTGAATCCAGGAGGCGGAGGTTGCAATCAGCCGAGATTGTGCCACTGCACTCTAGCCTGGGCAACAAGAGTGAGACTCCGTCTCAAAAAAAAAAATAAATAAATAAAATAAAACCTATTGTGAATGGTATTATCTACTTCAGATATTATCACCTCCGTAAGAGTGAGTATATATTTTATTAAAAAATAGATATATAATTTTAAAAAATGGAATTGCTGAACATTACTTTTATTGAAGTTTTAAAAATTCCTGAAATGAAGGGAAGGATGTAAGGGTCTCTTTTTTCCCACTCTAGAATACTGACTATTGTAAAGTTTTATTTATTCTTTATCTTTAGCTTTGTCTCTGTTCTCTAAAAACTGACTTTGTAGAATCTTATCTGGAGGTCTCTGGTTGAGAAAATAAGCCAGAAATCTGAACAGTTACAGTTTTCTGCCCTTATTTTCTCACAGGAATTGTTGTCATTGCTTCATTATTTTTGCATAGAAGTCATACAAATGCTATATATTTTCCAAAACTATTGAATAATTTTCTGAAGTGACAGTATAAACACTAATTTTTTATAATTTGGTTTTTACTTTTTGAAGATATTACTATTGTAAAATTTGAAGAGTAGATGTATTGACCAAATGTTGATAGAAGTCATTGCTGAAGGTTATTGAATCAGTTTGTTTGTTTTTCATCTATTATCTCATGTATATTTATTCCAAGTTCATTCTCCTTCATGTGCACTATGATCTTTTGCACACACTTCAACTTTATATATTTTAAACAAGCTGTTCTAGGAATATGGAAAGGCAGCCTCTGAGAAGGAAAACTTAGTCATGACACAGAGGAGCAAACAGCACTGAGAATTCATGCTTTCAAAAGTAATGAAAGAGGTGGTGAACTGTGTTGGGGTTGCACTCTTTAAATCTTGGAAGGATTTTATTATTTGCATTTTTTTCATCTTTTCATTCTGATTTTCATTCTTGGAGAAGCACAGGGGTTTCCTCAGTATTCAACTCCACTTTGCAACCCCACCTTCTGGTTCAGTCTCCTTGAAATTATGTTTCCAAAGGTCTGAATGAGTTAGTAAATGCCTACCATTCCCCTTCTTTTCTGGCAAAACATGGATTATTTCCCCAAAGTTATTAGTTAAATTTTTAATGAATATTACTTCAAAGCTGTAGAAACAATTATATGTATATTTATTTATTTACTTACTATGTCTGCATGTATGCATGTGTGTGTGTGTGTGTGTGTGTGTGTAGGGGGAAGGGGCTTGAAATATTAAGGAGCTAGAGAAGCCATCTCTCAAAGAAGGACATCCTTTAGTGATTCTATTTGACTCATGTTCTTTTTTTTTTTTTAAGCCCAAGAAATTTTTGTGATTAATTTTGGAATTTAAGTTAGCATTCTTTCTGACTCCAACCCATCCTTCCAGGCTTAGTTGAAATTTCAGCCCTAAGTGAGAAGAGACACTTGAATTCTCTTATATGAAACTTAGAGATATTTATATCCAGGTATTTTTTGTGTGTGTTCTTGTTTCCAGGATCCTTTAAGGCAGTGGCCGTGTGTTTCTCATTCCCTTCTTGTCTTTGAGGAAGCAATGTGGCGTAGTAGCAAGGTTGAAGGCTTTCAGTATAGACAGACATAGGTTTGAAGGCTGCTCTGATACTTTCAAGCTTGTCTCCTTGAACATTTTAACCTCTCTGAGGCTCAGTTAGCTGGCAGATATCTATGAGGAATAAATGAAGTGATCCAAAATATTTGTGACATTAGATGGGCAATAAATTAGTTTTATTTCCTCCCTATCTCTTATAGCACCTATGCTTAGGCTAGCACATAACAGATATGGAGCAAATTTACATTGAGTGAATCAATGGCTAAAGTAATAGAATTTCAATTTGTTATAATTATTAACAAATATAACATATGTAATGTGTTATAATACACATCATTATGAGTATGCAATCCTAAAACTATGTATAATGTTTTATAAACTTTTTTTGCTATTTCTGAACGCAAGAATCATCATTTCTTTTACTTGATTTTCAACATCCTAAGGTTTGCCTTCATCATGTTTATGCCAAGAGTTAAACAGATGGTTTCTGAATTTTAGCCCAAATCACTCAGTTTCTTTATTGGTCTGTCATCTGTACTGGTCCCTGTCTCCATTAGACTGTAGCCCTTTTCATGATTACCTTGGCATTCTTCCAAGTGAAGCCTTCTAATTTTAGAGTCACAATGCTGGAAGAACAAATCACAGATGTGCATTGAAGTATGCACAGTATGGGTACGGAGCTATTTCTAAGAGTCATAGTAAAAAAGGTCTTTTACACTAAAGAATCATTCGAAAACTTAGTGTATTTCCTTTTCTTTTTCTTTGTATGGTCCAAGAATGCTACATTATTTTTCTCACATGACACTGACATTTGAGAAACTAAAAATATTTTATCAAAATATTTATTTTCCAAATGTAGGCTACATCTCTAATACATTTATAGGTCATAATTTTAAATGTTTTCAATTCAAAACAAGCTTCTGTTTCTATATTATTAATATAGAACGTTTTACCCTTTTTAACTTACTAAGAGTACTTTATCCAAAAATGTTTTTCTGAAGGAGGTCAAGAACTTCACCATTACTAGAGTCCAAACTTTTCCAAGACCAGAATTATGCAATATGTAGGTCACTGTGGAGTCTCTTGGATTTTCACAGATCTGATTTCAAACACAAACTGACCGTAGTTGCCACCTATCCTTGGTCAAGTAGAAAGATACTTCTTTTCGGCATCCTATAGCTGCAGTAAAATAAAATAGAAAAAAAGTAGAGGAATTGTTTGATTGATTTGTCCAGTGTAGATGCTGTAAATAGATTTTGAGAGAAAACAAATTTTTTGAAAAGTAAGATCTAGAATTTAAATTGTAAGCTACTGCTAATTTATTTATAATGTCCATTTGTGAAGGGCCCTAGCTTGCTGGAACCACCTTGGTTTTTAAAATAAAGGTAAATTGTTTGGACCCCATCTCAGGTTTCTAATTATCTTTGGAGGGAGAAATGGGAGAGGAGGCAAGAGGTAGAGGCTTGTGTTTTTTCTAGCCTTCTCTTGATTCCTAGTTCCTGCATTTGCTGATTTTGCAATTTCTAAACTCTTTCCCTTCTGCGTGTCTGCCACGTTTTCTGCATTGCATTGCCTCACTGGACATCCTCCAGCTCTTTATTTCCCAAAGTGTTAAGTTAATGTTAGCTGATTTTATTAAAATATTAAAAATATGGGACAAGGAAAGTAAAAATTACATTGCAGTCAGAAACAAAAGTCCTGTCTGCCAAAGAATTTTCCTTGACACTCTACTAGGTTATCAGTGACCTATCATTGAAGCTGGGCCCTCTCTCTTCTTGGAAATCCCCAGCTTTGTCTTCCTTACCTTGCACACTGGCAGCCCCAGTTGCCTTTCACTTCCTGTGCAAAGCTGCTCACTCTCCCTTTGTCTCACCATGGACATTCAGGGGTTCTAACATAGGACTTCATCTTCTCATATATACTGCTAGGCAGTGGTTTTCTTGCTTTCTTTTTCTAGAGTACATTCTAGAAGAAGCTTGTCCAACCTGAGGTCCGCAGGCCACATGTGGCCCAGGATGGCTTTGAGGTTTGTGTTTGACCCAACACAAACTTGTAAAGTTTCTTAAAACATTATGAGATTTTGCATGGACCTTTTTTTTTTTTTTAAGCTCATCAGCTATTGTTAGTGTTAGTATTTTATATGTAGCCCAATGCAATTCTTTCTCCTCCAATGTGGCGCAGGGAAGCCAAAAGATTGGATACCTGTATTCTAGAAGAATTTTGTATCCCCTCATAGATTTTTAAATTGATGTCTAATAGTTGCTATCTTATGTTTAAGTAATTGCAAAGGATATCATTCCTGGTATATTTTCTACATGTTCTTAGTCTATTTAAAATACATATCAAAAGTTACAGGTTTATTATAGTTCACTCAGTTATGAAAAATGGGTGCCATATAACCTAATTCTCAAAGCCAGTTCTTATTACCAAACTAATCATCCAATCCAATTTATCTTCTAACAGAAAAGGTCTGATTTCATTCTTTCAATTCAAATAAACATGTTAATATGTGTTGCTGTGACACTCATCTCACTTTTGAATTCTGATTCGTAGATCATCAGGTGGACAAACATGGTTTGTAAGCAAGGACTAGTGGACAAATAGGTGAAAGAAGACATGTCTGCTTTTGGTATTTCTTTCCTGTGCCTGTTTTACTTTGCTCTCAAGGGCTTTTCCCTTAGGTTCCATGTGTTATCTAATTGCCCTTTTGTTTGGCAGCCAAGAGATGTTTATACCTCAAGGAAAAAGCACTAGAGTAAAAATCGGGATAGCTGAGAGGCAAGATATTCCATCGTAAAGTCAGGAAAAGGTGATTGTATTGGGGAGATGGGAAAAGAGAATTGGGCCACAGTCTTTTATTCAACAGATCAGTTTTAGAAAAGAGTGAATATGGAAGTTGAGTATCAGGGAATTGATTTCCTTAACATTTGCTCTCATGTGCCCTCTGGGTATGTGAATATAATTCGAAGATGATTATAATGTATTCTAAACAAAGACATTTTCCTTATAAAATATAGACTACCTCTCAGGGAAAGAAATTTTCCTTGTAAAATATAGACTACCTCTTAGGGAAAGCATATTGTAAAATAAGCATATTTTACAGGGTTATCCAGATACTATGCTAGGCATTGTATACTTGACTTGGTTATATAAATGATATGTACAGCGAAGACTACATAGAATTTATAGTATTGTAAAATTCAAATGCTGGAATAAAATCTGGACTTCTAAGCAATAGGAAGTACAATGAGGAGCAAACCAGTAGCTTGTCCCCTTGATGTCCCCTAGGCAGGGGCAAACTTTTTCTATATAAGGCAGAGAGTAAATACATAGCCTTTATGGAACATAAGGTCTCTTTCACCACTCTGCTATTGTAGTGTGAAAACAGCCATAGACGTGTAAACGAGTGAGTAAACCAAAAAGTGTCTGAGACAGGTCTCAATCAATTTAGAGGTTTATTTTGCCAAGGTTAAGGATGTGCCCGGGAAAAAGGAATACAAAACCACAGGGACATTTGTGAGTCCTGCTTTTTCCAAAGAGAGTTTGGGGACTTCCATGTTCAAAGGAGGAAGAACAGGCAGTGGGGGAAAGAGGAAGGGGAGAAAAAAGGAAGGAGGGTAGATAAAAGGGGCAAATGCTTGCATTCTTTTGGGTCTTTGATCAGTGTTCACTGAATCCACATTTTACATGTGAAAGAGGTGATAGAGGAATAGTCAACTGTATATTCATCTAGCCCACAGAAAATGGTCAATTTATATAAGTAAACATAGAGTAGCTACCTGTGGAGACCTCTGGCCTTCTATCTGTAGCTATTTGCTTAGGAACAAAAGGAAAGGCAGTTCCAGCTTAATATTTCCCTTTGGCATAGTGAATTTGTGGTCCTGAGATTTTATTTTTCTTTCACATTTCCAATAAAACTTCATTTACAAAGTCAAGCAGTGAGCTGGATTTGGTCTGTTGGCCATAATTTGCCAACTCATACCCTATGCTATGGCTGCATACAGGGGAGAAGGAGAATAGGGTCCAATATATGTGGCTGCATGTAAGCTCCAGACTTTTGTAGGTGTAAAAATGATATAATTTTGAACCATTTATGAAATCCTGGCCAGTTAAAAATTCAATCATAATTGATCATCACATTATTTAGTTTTATTGTTCAGAAGAAGAAATAAAGCTCCCCCCCCCCATTTTATATTTAGTGGCTTTCAGTGTCAATATATCCAGTCAGGATTTCTGATTCAAATCATAATTTTTACCCACTAAGTGTATTTACCTACATTTTATAAAATAGAAAAGATAATTTAAAAATTGGCAATAATAACTGCTTTAAGCCTAGACTATCTAATAATAAAATCCAAGGATGTCTTCTACCTCTTTTAATTCAGCACTGTGGTTCTTTTTTTTTTTTTTTTTTTTTTTTGAGACGTGCACCACCACACCCAGCTGATTTTGTATTTTTAGTAGAGACGGGGTTTCTCTGTGTTGGTCAGGCTGGTCTTGAACTCCTGACTTCAGGTGACCCACCCACCTCGGCCTCCCAAAGTGCTGGGAATACAGGCATGAGCTACCACGCCCAGTCCAGCACTGTGGTTCTTAGAGTGTGGTACCTGGACCAAGAGCATCAGTATCACCTGGAAATTTTCCAGAAATGCAAACTCTTGGGCCCCACATCCAACCTATTGAATCAGAAACTTTTGGATCCCTGCAATCTGTGTTTTCACAAGCCTTCCACGTGATGCTGATGCATGCTTAAGATTTGAGAACCACTTCTCTAGTATATATCAGGTTTTTACTAACTCTTTTTTACTTAAAGATTTTTACATTCTCCCTCAGAAACGTCTTTCAAATTTGACTTCTCTACATACCTCCCATTGCTGTTACACAAATTAAAAGCTTCCTAATTAACCTCACCTTCCACCATTTTAGACATGCATTCATCCATCCATCCATCCATCCATCCATTCATTTATTCAATAAAAATATATAGAGTACCTACTGTATGCTGGACACTGTGTTAGATACTGGATATACATCGAAGAACAGATCTAACAAGATTCTGAAACACATGTAATCACATCCTATTTGGGGGATCCCGGGTTATTTTATATATTAATAGGAACTATAAGGGAAATAAAATGAAATAATAGTGATTAGGGAGATGTTAGTTGGGGTGGCCAGGAAAGGGTTTCTGCAGAGGAGAATTTCTAGCTGAGAGCTAAAAGGTGAAAGGGATCCAGCCTTTCAAACAGTTGGAAAAGGCAGAGGAAATAATAATAATAAGTAACCTGAGGACGGGCATGGTGGCTCACGCCTGTAATCCCAACACTTTGGGAGGCTGAGATGGGCGGATCACCTGAGGTCAGGAGTTGGAGACTAGCCTGGCCAACATGGTGAAACCCTGTCTCTAAATAATAATAATAATAATAATAATAATAATAATAATAGGTAACCTGAGATTTTGCCACATGCCAATTATAGTGGTAAGCGCTTTACACGTATTAACACTTTTAATCCTGACAGCAACCTTGTGGGCACGTACTTTCTGTATTTCCATTTTATATGTAAGCAAACTGAGGCATAGAGAGGTTGGATAATTTACAAAGGTCACATAGCCTCTAGGATTCAGTGTGAGATGGGACTAGAGGGATAGATACGGCTTTATTTGCCAAAGTGAGAATGTTGGATTTAATTCTAAATGGTATTGAAGCCATTCGTGGGTCCTGAGACGGTACTGACTTGGTCTTATTTACAAAGGGGTTGTAGAGGAGCCAGGTGGGAGTAGGAAGCATGATGAAGGCTGTCACCCTGGACCAGGTGAGAAATATTCACGGCTTGGACAAGAGTGGTAGCAATGGAGATGGAATGATGTGGATGGAAGTAGGATTTAGTTTGCAAATAAAAACAAATTTTGCTGATTGTTTAAGGGAGTTAAAGGGAAAGGAAGGACAAAGGAAAACTGTTTCTCTACACACAACACTTCTGACACCAAATGTGTGGGTTTTCCACACCAAACAATTCTCCAGTTCTCTTCAGATATCAACTGGGTGTCCTAGAACTTAATTCAATTCTGACACTAACTGCATGACATTATCACAGACCCACAGGTTAGGGGCTCAGTCCCGCAAGACTCTCCCCAACTTCAGATGCCCATTGAAATTAGTACAGCCCCAGGTTATTCACACTTCTGTCCAACTTGTCTACAAATCGGGAGTTTTCCACAACCACCTCTCTAGATTCGATAATTTGTTGTAAGGGCTCACAGAACTCAGGGAAACACTATGCTTACTATTTCTGGTTCATTACAAAGGATATTAGAAACTATACACATGAATAGCCAGATGAGGAAGCACATAGGGCAAGGTTTGGAAGAGTCCCAAGCATAGGAGCTTCTTTCTCTGAAGTTGGGTGTGTTACCCTCCGGCACATGCATGTGTTCACCAACCCAGAAGCTCTTTGAACCCCTTTATTGAGGGATTTTATGGAAGTTACAGTACAAAGGCATGATTGATTAATTCATTCTCCATTGGTGACTAGCTGAATCCCCAGCCCACCTCCCTTCCCCAGAGGCTGGGGAATGGGGCTGGCAGTTCCAATCCTCTCATCTCATGGTTGGTTCCTTTGACAACTAGCCCCTAATTTCCAAGAGTCACTTCATTAGCATAGTCAGGTGTAATCGAAAGGGGCTTATTTGCTGGGCAGGGTGGCTCACACCTGTAATACCAACACTTTTGAAGGCTGAGGTGGGCAGATCACTAGAGGTCAGGATTTCAAGACCAGCCTGGCCAACATGGCAACACCCCATCTCTACTAAAAATACAAAAAAATAGCTGGGTGTAGTGGCACTTGCTGGTAATCCCAGCAACTCAGGAGGCTGAATCGCTTGAACCTGGGAGTCAGAGGTTGTAGTGAGCCAAGATCGCTCCACTGCACTCCAACTTGGGTAACAGAGCGAGTCTCCATGTCAAAAAAAAGAAAAGAAAAAAGAAAAGAAAAGAAAAGAAAGGGGCTTATTATGTATGAATACCAAAAGATGCTCCTCTCTCCCCTATCATTCAAGAAATTGCAAAGGTTTTAGGAGATCTGTGTTAGGAACCACAGACCAAATATATATTTATTATATCACAATATCAAACAGAATTATCATGGATGATTTTTAGGTTTGAACTTGAGCAGCTGGGCAAACATTGTTACCATTTTCTGCGATGGCAAGACCAAGGGAAGAAAGGCTTTATTTCAGTGGGGCAAGTGAAGAGTTCTGTGTAGGCCAGTGTTGCTTTGAGATGCCTTTTAGACCTGCAAACAAAGCCAATGAGAAGCCAGCTGGATAACAATAATCTGGAGCTCACAAAAGGGATGAAGGCAAAAAATGTTATTGTGGGTGTCACTAGCCCACTGATGGTATTTTATAGAAAAGGGTTTGTTTGAGTCCCCCAGGAGGATAATGTAGAGAAGAGAAGAGGGCCCAGAACTGACACCTGGCAGTCTTGGGGTACATTCAGAAGTTGGATAGCGGGAAAGATACCTCCTGTCATCTCTGGATTCATCTGGTATGAGCAGACTGGAACCTCAGTGGAACACCCTTGGAAGAGAGGGTGGATCCATTACCAAACCGCCAAGAACCAGTGCGACAGCTTGTTCTGATCTGCATCTACAGTTGATTGACCTAGTCACTTGCTACACCAGACTCTATTTCACACTGAATTCCTGTTATCTGAACATGCTCTTTATTTTTGTGTATCTGATTTTTTCTTCAGATTTTTTTCTTCTGAAAAGCCTCTCTGACACCTCCCTCCCCCGTCTGGTCACTGTCACCGCTGTGCTCCTATAGCGAGTTGCACACTTTAATGTGATAGCGCTTATTGCATTAACCACTTTTAGTTCTCTGTCTTCTCTATCAGACTATTCAGAGCCAGAGACATGACCTACATCTTCATACTCAGCACTTGCAAACTACCTGTAGGGTCTCAGTCTCTGCAGATATCTACTGAACAAATAATGGAAGGAATTCCTCAGACCTGGCCCCCAATTCGTGTTGCATATGCAACCCCACACGCCAATCTCTAAATTTTCTCCCAATAAAGGTTTCAGGAAAAAGAATAACTTTATTAGCTATGGAGTAAAAGTAGATAGGAAGGTGTGGTTTCTAAAGAGTCATTATTAAATTCGCATTAATAGTAACGGTAATAATAAATAAAAAGTAAATCAGCACCACCTTGTACTGAACACTTAGTACATACCGGGCACTGCTCTAAGTTTGTGTGTCATTCATAAACTAATTCAAAAATTAGAACCTCAGGATTTCTCATTTTAACATTGTCTAGACAAAGCACTTATTCTTTCTTTAATTTTTCATCTTATAGTCTTTTTGATGGTAAAGATCTCCAAAACTTAAATTTCTTATATTTCCTTAGCACTTTATTCTCCAGTGAATGCCAAACATTTGTCTATTTGATTTAGCAATGATATCTGTTACATATGCAAAATCTCAGCCACTTTTCAAATAAAGAATTCTGACCATGGCTTTTCTAAATTATTTTTCCGAATTAGTTTAGAAAATGTTGGGATAGTTTGGGGAAAATGTAAACTAAGTAAAATGTATGGTACCCCTGTCTTTCCATGGTGTATCAAGACAGTTTTCAGTTGGTGATCATGTTTTAGTTCTTAATAACTACTCATAGATTATGCCATGTGCACGAAAGTTTATGCCATGTGCTAGTAATCTTCAGACATTAAAAATAGGGTTGGTTTGCTTTTTCGGAGGATTGCCTTGGAAATAATCTGTATCCTAATTTATATAGCTAGTTATCTTTTATGTAGCTAATGATTTGCTTGTATGGATATTGGTAGAAGACAGATTCCATGTTACAAAAAGTTTGAGAATAACAGTGTAAATAACTGTTTTATTGCAGGATTTCTCAAAGCCTGTAATACACTAATGTGTCCAGTGAATCACCAATAACATGTAGCATTTTTCGTATTTGGTTGCCCATGAACCTTTTTCCTCCTTCATACGTTTGACATCTTGCAAATATTTCATAGAACACAATTTGGAAAAACTGTGGCATTTAGGTTGTGAAGATGCAGAAGGCATACTTATTGTTTTCCAATCTTTGTTACGGAAAAGGAAAACCAA
The DNA here is from genome assembly GCF_000001405.40 of Homo sapiens. Classification (NCBI taxonomy): domain Eukaryota; kingdom Metazoa; phylum Chordata; class Mammalia; order Primates; family Hominidae; genus Homo; species Homo sapiens. The sequence goes on along the minus strand of NC_000006.12, from coordinate 46,597,976 downwards.
CAGTTTTGTTGGGCAATGCCTGCAGAGATTACAACAAAAATCCCATAAAAGTGCTTATCTCCTTTTAATATTAGATTGCTCAGATCTGAGCAAATAAGCCGAAGGTCTTAATTTAATACAGAATAGTGCTGTATATCACTGTTTCATTGTTGAGGTGTTAACACTCCCTCAGCCTAAGACAGGAAGTTTCCAATTTCTCTAGCCTCCGGATGTTCCAGAATGGCATTTAGGATCGTCTGTAGTATGGCCTTAGTGGATCTCTCACTGTTCCATCACATATGTCTCACCTTCTGGGCAAACTGGACCCATTGCCATTTTCTAAATGTACTCATGTTGTCTGCAGTCTTACTTTTGTTCTTCCTCTTTGCCTAAAATATCCACCCATTCACCTCCCTATGTTGAAGTTGGACCATTTGCTAATTTAATATATATATACTGGGGTTGACTCTATGCAAGAAACTAATCATATTTGTAGTTTTAGAGAAATATATTCATAAAATATTTTCTTTTTCATCTAGTTGGATGTGAACCCTATCTGCTTTAAACTACCTTAGCTGTGAACCCTATCTGCTTTTAACTACCTTAGAATATTTTACATCTTAGAAAATAGTTTCTTTGCCTACATGTTGTACTAGTCAACTGTGTGCTTGTCTCTTACCTCCTAGTAGACTAAGTGTATTGCAAGCAAGAGCTGCGCCTTAGTTATTGTAATACTGGTACAGCCTGTCTCAGCTCCTGGTCCCTACGTGGTACTTAAGAATCTGTCAGATTGAATGGAGTTCATAGGTTCCTAGACTCCACTAACCAAAGGTGTTTGCTTCTGACTCCTTAGGAATTCTATCTATACTGACAGAAAAGGTTTCCCAGGCAGCACCCAATAAACCTTTTCCTGCAAAATGGGCTTGCTTTTGAACACGCCTCATCCAGAGTCAAAGAGAGACATGGCTGGAGACCCTAGTTCTACTCTTACCCACTCATTCCCAAGATGGTCTGAAAGCAAATGTGAAAAAGAGAAATGCGTTGACTTAATTAAACTGACAATATTGTTGTTGACTTTTCTTAAGCAAATACTGTCAAAAACAAATTGAAAGCGCAGTTGTTTCAAGTAATTTTCAAAATGCAAACATTTTACTTGAAATATTGTTAACTAAACTGTCTAATTTGACTGAAAGTTCCTGCCATTACTTTAGATGGTACAAAGGTTGATGGTTGATGCCCTTCGTCCACCCCACCCCCTCCTTTTTCAGGTGCTTTCAGTCTAAAGATCAAATAAAGTATGCACATCACGTTAAGAAAGTTTGATGCACCTGTGTTTAGAGGGCATCTTCATTCTTCCAGCTCAGATACTTGTGCCCCATTGCCCCTTTTCCAGTTGTTTTTTTGAAATGAATGATTTAGGGGGAAAAAAAAAAGCAATTCAAAAGGGTAAAGGCAGAAGAAAAAGGCCGGATGGCTTCTCGTATCTTTTTCTTTGTGCTTTTGATGTCAGTCTTTTATTGCTTTTTACATAAGTGGAATGAGAATTTAGACAAGAAAAAGATGAGTAAAACCTTTCTGACAAGGACTGTCTTAGCTATTTGATAGCTATAAGACTGTGGGAACCTAAGTTGGATACCAATCCATCACATTACAGTAATCAACATTGGCTTAGTTTTTTGTGTCATACATTTTACCTTGTCAAGAGAAAAGTGATAAAGAAAAAGAGGCAATTAATGACTAAACCTGTAATAGGTAATAGTAATAGGAACACTTTACTTGCTGTCAGAGGCAACATCTAACCTCTGCTGATGAGCTTACGTGAAATCACTTTCTGACCTCTGTAGTCTATTTATTTCTCATTAAAAATTTTTTTACAGGCAAAGATAAGATTAAAGTGTCTGAGGATGACCTGGAGAATCTCCTTCTAATTAAATGGTGTGTTTTGGAAACCATTCGTTTAAAAGCTCCTGGTGTCATTACTAGAAAAGTGGTGAAGCCTGTGGAAATTTTGGTAAGCTTTGGTTTGGTTTTAAATGAATCAACCTTCTACAAAAAAAGTACACATTTTGCCCACATATATTTTTCAGGTTGACATATCTTGATTTATTTTTACTTGACAAATAAATATTTTATATATTTGTCTTGTACAACATGTGGTTTTGAAATATGTATACATTATGGAATGGCTAAATCAAACTAATTAAAATATGCATCACTTCACTTGCTTATCAGTTTTCTGTGTAAGAAGACTAAAAATCTATTCTCTTGGTAATTTTCAGGAAAACAATATGTCATTACTAGGAATAGTCACCATGTTATACAATAGACCTCTTGAACTTACTCCTCCTGTCTAACTGAAGTTTTGTATCCTTTGACTAATATCTCTCCAGGTCCTCCTCCACCCCTTCTTTACCCTTCAATCCCCGGTAACTACCATTCTACTCTATTTCTGAGCTCACTTTTTTTAGATTCAACATATAAGTGAAAATACACTTATATGTGGTTTGTCATTCTTCCTGGCTTGTTTCACTTAACAAAATGTTTTCTAGTTTCATTCATGTTGTCACAAATGAGAGCATTTCCTTCTTTTTAAAGGTTAAATAGTATTCCATTATGTATATATACATTTTATAAACATGGGAGTGCAGATATGTCTTCAACATACTGATTTCATTTCCTTTAGATATGTACCCAGTAGTGGGATTGCTAGATCATATAGTAGTTCTATTTTTAATTTTTTGAGGAACCTTCATACTGTTTACCATATGGCTATACTAATTTACATTCCCACCGATAGTGTGCAAGTGTTCCCTTTTCTCTACATCCTCTTCCACAATTATCTTTCATCTTTATGATATAGCCATTCTACAGGAGCAAGGTGATAGATCCTTGTGTTTTTAATTTATATTTTCTTGATGATTAGTAATGTTGAGCATTTTTTTATACCTGTTGGCCATTTGTATGCCTTCTTTTGAGAAATGTCTATTCAGATTCCTTGCCAATTTTTAAAAATCATTTTTTTTGTTTTTGTTTTTTACTAGTGAGTTGTTTAAGTTTCTTGTATATTTTGGATATTAACCTCTTGTCAGATGTATGGCCTGCAAAAATTTTCCCCCATTAGGTTGTCTCTTCATTCTGTTGACTGTTTCTTTGGCTATACATAAGCTTTTTAGTTTAATGTAATCCCATTTTTCTATTTTTGCTTTGGTTACCTGTGCTTTTGGATTCATATTCTCAAAAAATTGTTGCCCAGATCACTGTCATGGGGTCTTTTCCCATATGTTTTCTTCTGGTAGTTTACAGTTTCAGGTCTTACTTTCAAGTCTTTAATCTATTACAGTTGATTTTTGTATATGGAGTGAAATACAGGTCTAATTTCATTCTTATAAATGTGGATGTCCAGTTTTCCCAACATCATTTATTGAAGAAACTGTCCATTTTCTATTGTATGTTCTTGGAACCTTTGTTGACATTCAATTGACTGTAAATGTGTGTATTTATTCTGGGGCTGTCTATTCTGTTCTATTGATCTATGTGCCTGGTTTTATGCCAGTACCATGCTGTTTTGATTACTGTAGCTTTATAATATATTTTGAAGTCAAATAGTGTGATGATTCAGGTTTTTTCTTTGTTCAAGGGTCTTTTGTAGTTTCATATGTTTTTTCTATTTCTGTAAAAATGTCATTAGAATTTTGATAGCATATATTATGTAATTTCTTGAATTCCATTGAGCACAAAATGACCCTAGAACAGGTTATTAATAAGAGTTGTGTAGCAATGTTTCATTAATATAGATATTTATCTTATGGCAAGTACTTTAAGTAAAACATAATAACCCTTTAATAATCATTCTGGCCATCTGATTCTGAATCAGAATCAATATAATCCTATTTAAATCAGGCAGGTGAATTGAATGGTCTCTTGTCTACTGATTCAACCAACATGAATTTCTTAGCACCAATGAGCTAAGGAATTCAGGATGTGAAGAAAGTTATTTTGCATAGCTGGAAGACAATTTTAGGCCACAGATTACAGATATGGGAACAGATAACAGGAATATATTGGATAATCTCAATTTATATTAGGAGGCAGCAGCTGAGTGAAGGTGAGAGGATTTTCTATGGACAAAGTAGGAGGAAATTCTCAAGTGCACCATGAAAGGGTATGTGCACATGGCAGACTTATTAGTTAAATATTTGTGAATCAATATGGCATAACAAATTATTTTTTTTGAAATGATTTGACTTAGGGCCTGCATTATCCAAATGGATCACATTTAATCAGTCCTCTACTATTGTTTGCTTTTTTATATGCAGCTTGAGAGTGCTTGGATTCAAACCAAGGAAATTTTGTAATAGAACACAGATAAAAATCCAAATTTTGTAAAAGTTGAAACTTTTGCTTCCAAAGGAGACATGATTTATTTAACTGACCTTATGTAAATTAGAGTATTTAGTTTTTGTGGGATTTCAACAGTTCATACTTTTATTTATTTTTATTTTATTTTAATTTTTTTGAGACAGGGTCTCTGTCACCAAGGCTGGAGTGCAGTGACACAATCTCAGCTCACTACAACCTACAAGTAGCTCTTCCACGGTCTTTTAACCTCATGTATTAGTCAGGATTATGTTATAAAGGGAGTTGTAACTTTTGTTGGGGCTATTAACCTCCCATATTCTTTCAAAAGTAATTTTACTTATTTTGACAACTTTGCCAGAAGAGATACCCATGCTCAAACACATGCACACAGATGTATACTCTTGCATGCACAATACCCCATCTGCACAACCTCTTAAATGTACTACCGCAACTATCTAATATTCTCTTTGTATGACATTAATATAGAAACCAAAGTTTCAGCATAGTGTAAATCTGTCATTAAAATTTTTTTAACACTAATTCTTCACTTTTTATGCATCTAGAGAGTTTTCACATTTATTTCAGTGGTCACATAATAGTCCATTTTCTTGAAAGCATAAATATTTAGTAGTTTTTGACTCTTCAGAATTTAGATTGTTTTACTTTGTGGTTATGTTAATGTGGTAATTATTTGCATCTCTGTTGCCCATGCTGGAGTGCAGTGACATGATCTTGGCTCACTGCAACCACCACCTCCCAGGTTCAAGCAATTCTCCTGCCTCAGCCTCCCAAGTAGCTGAGATTACAGGAGTGTGCCATCATGCCCAGTTGATTTTTGTATTTTTAGTAAAGCCAGGATTTCACCATGTTGGCCAGACTGGTCTGGAACTCCTGACCTCAGGTGATCTGCCCGCCTTGGCCTCCCAAAGTGCTGGGATTACAGGCATAAACGACCACGCTCAGCTGAAAAGTTTTCTGTTTTAATAAAACACATCTACACAATTTTGAATTGGTAGCAAAGTCATCTAATATATGGATATAGTATACATTTTTAAACTAGTCCCTGTTCTTGCATATGTATGTGGCTTCCAATTTTTCACTTCTATAAACAGTGTGAAGATGAACATCCTTTTAGCTAAATCCTTGTATACATTACTAATTATTTCCTTAGTATAAATTCATACAATTTGGTTCTTTCAAGATTCATATGTTTTCAAAAACAGGTGGAATGTTTTTGCTGAACTGAAGTTTAACGATATGTTCCCAGAAATTTGTATTTTAAAACACATTTCACATGGGCTTATCTATGTTGAGTAATGACAGAGGCTCATATTTTCTCCTCTGTTGGGCAACTGGTCAATGTTCCTTTTTATGCATACTAGAAGTATTCTCCCACCACCCTTCCCTAAGGTAGTTCGAACAGGCTCTCTTTGTTTGCTTTTGCCTCTGTGCCCTTTCCTGGAAATGGAATGAATTGAAATGGACGAACACTCTCTACTTTCTTGGATTTACTGCATTCTTTCTTTCTCTTTATTATGCTACCTTTCTAAAACTCTGAAACTTCTACCTGTGTTCTCTTTTCAAGGTTTTATATGTTTAGTAGAAAAGTTTATCTTCAAGAATATCCAGAAAAGAGTAACAAAAAAGAGTATTGGAAAAGATGAGTAATTGAGAAATATTAATTATCCTTTAAAACCTGTTATAAAGCCAAAAGAATTAAAATGTTATGATCCCGGTGTCAGACCAGATGTTCAGATCAATAGAAATAACTGGAAAGATAACAAAGAATTAGCTTCCTTATACATAATAATTTAATGTAGGATAAGTGACTCTTTTAATAAATCAATGTAAAGGGAAGAAATTAATATGTGGCTTGGGATGACTGACTAAAAGTGGGTTTTTTTTAAACTTCTTAAGTAGAAGTTCTCAAACTTTTTGGTTTCATGATCCCATCACACTCTTCAGAATTATTGAAGATCCCAAAGAGTTTTTGTCTATGTCTATTTTAAATCTATCAATATTAGCTATATTTTAAATTTAAACTGAGAAATTGTTAAAATATTAATTTGGTGATTCATTTAAAATAACAAAAACCTCTTACATGCTAACATGATACATAGTTTTCTAAAACATTAACTATATTTATTTTATAAAAAGAAGAGGACTGCCTGATTTTAAGATTAATCAATGAAGCCACAAAAAGGATAAACAGATTTGAATGTACCATAGCAAAATTTAATGTCTCATTTTTTAAAAGTGTAACTCAAATGTGAATATAATGTAAACATCAATATACAACACAACTATAAATAATTTTAATATTTAAAGAACTGACACAAATCAATAAGAATGAGTGTCACATAGGTTAATCAGGACAGAACATAAAAGTTTATAGGATAAAATAAATGGAAAAACTCTCAAACATAAAAATGTAAATGTAAAAACATAAAAATGTAAACCTAAAACAACCATTAGAAATGTTAGATTACAGATAAAAGGGTAATGAAACTTACATTCTCATAAATTATAGTTAGAAATATATTTTGCTACAAAATTTGAGGAAACAGTTGAATAACATGCATTTATAGCCTTAAAATATGCATGTCCTGTGTCATCTGAACATCTGTGTTAACAGAATCTATGTGGAAAAATGCTGTGTGGAAGAAAGTGCTTATGGTGGCACTATTTACCACAGGAAAAAAAGTAGGGAATGATTACATTAATTATTGTTTAATGTACCCAATGGAAGATTAAACAGTCATTGGAGGAAGAAATATTCACCATGAATATACAATAAAAAGGGAAAACAGGTTATGAAGTTAAGAGAACTAAGAAAGATTAAATTGGTTATTCAGGAGGATCAAAACTATGTTTAAAGTTTAACAACAACAAAATATCTCCTATTAATACTAAGTAAACATACTGGAAAGAAATCTAGCTAGTTAATGACTGTCTTTGGGTGTCAGAACTCTGGATTTTCTTTTCTAGTTTTTCTGCTTTTCAGAATTTTCCAAACTTTTTGTAGAGATAAGTTTTTATCATACAAAAGAATATACTCTTTAATTTAAAAAATACTTATTTTGTTTTTATTTTTTTTCGGCACAAACACCAACCAAGCCTCTGGTTGAAAGCTAGGAGAAAAGGCTGTGTGCTTTAGACCTCCTGCTATAGATGTGTTGCCTCTGGACTCCTCCTTTCTCTTTAAGATTATGTATTCCTGGCACCCACTTAGCTCTGAGCACCTTTCTTGAATTACAACACAGAGTCCTGCCTTCTCTTCCTTTTTTAAAGAAAGCCCCACTTCTAGATTATCAGATGAAGCTTGTTTTGGCTTCACACCATCCAGGTGAGGTGGGCTGGCCAGGCTCAATTCTGTCTACCTGAGAGATGCAGTTCTTGCAACACACAGAAGTTGTAGCTTCCCTTTGCTAGTGATCTGTGTTCTCATTCTGCAACTGTTTTGCCTCCCTCTTGATCTTTCACTTCATCTGTCATGTAAGTAAAGATAGGGACTGTTTAGGCTGGGCGTGATGATGTCTGCTTGCTCAGAGGGTTTCTTGACAGAACCAGCTCCAGCATTCATTCCTTCATGCTATTTATCAGTCTGGCAGTTGCTGCTGCTGCAACAGGCACCTCTTTCTTGTCTCCTCCCTGTTGCTAGTGGTAATTCTGTTACTGAGGACCTGTATGAAGTTCTCCTCCCTTTGCTAACCTGCTTTATAGGCTACAACAGTCAGCAGCCTCCAAGTCATGATCACAGGTCAACAGCAACTTAAGAGGACTTTGCGGTGGGAAGGGGAAGGGCTGTGGTTGTCCTGACTGAAGGCCCATCCCTGTGCTGCCCCCAACCCTGCTCTCAAATACACATCACGGCCCTCTGTGGCTGATTCCAGAGTCAGTAATGACCTCTCTAGCCTCAGTTCCAATGGAAGTAAAACAGACAGGATTGGGATCTCACAGGTCTCTCTATTTTAAAATGATAGAAGGTACCTGCAAAAGCTTCACTGTCTTCCCAGTCTTGGATTTGAGTCTCTCCAGCTCTCCCAGTTCTGAAATTGCCAAATCTCAAGCAATACTCAGCTGCCACTAGAGCCAACAGGGGTTCTCCTGGGTTAAAAAAATGATGACATCCCTACCCATACTCCACTCATAGCTACCAGTAAAAGACATATTTTTATTTTTCTTCGAGACAGAATGTCACTCTGTCTCCCAGGCTAGAGTACAGTGGCACAATCATAGCTCACTGTACCCTCAACCTCCTGGGCTCAAGCAATCCTCCTGTCTCAACCACCCAAGTAGCTGAGACTACAGGTGCACCATCATCCCCAGCTAATATTTTTCATTTTTTTGTAGAGACAAGGTCTTCCTATGTTGCCTAGGCTGGTCTCAAACTCCTGAGCTCAAAGGATCCTCCGACCAAGGCCTCCCAAAGTGCTAGGATTACAGGCATGAGCCACCACACCCAGCAGAAGACATGTTTTTAATTGTAAGGTGTTTATGCTTTGGATAAGTAAACCTAAAGTAAAAGTTTTTCAAATATCTTGAGGACATTTCAAAATTATACACGGTTAAATAGATGTGGCTTATGATGATGGGCAGTGGGAATTACCTAATAAAATATCTCTACCTTAGTAAAGTTGGTAGCTATCTAGCAATTATAAAACTTGGGAGATCTCTTTGTCCTGTGATTCCTGAACATGGTGATGATAGGGAGATTTTGTGAAATGGGTTTTAGTTCTTTGTATAGTTTATAGATCATGAAAATCTGTTGTCATATGAATCAGGAAGGATAATGTAGACTACCTGAGGAAACACATTGTTTATCCTCATTTCCACAAGCACTGTGACCCCAAACACAAACCCAACCAAACAAATACACAACACTTGCCTTTTCCTGTGTCTTCCTAACCAGTCGTTTTTCATTTGTTTCTTTCCTAATAACCGGTGCTGGACTGAGGAAAGAAAAGTCCACTGCCCCTGCTCTAACACTGTCATTAGTATCCACAAGAACAGGACATCCTCTGCCCCTCTTCTCAGTGCTACCATGGCCATTGTCCCTGTCTCAGAGTCCAATTTTTCTGTTTCATAACCTGAGCCTCCACTGTAGTTTCTGCCTTCAAGAACTCTGGCCACAAACCCTAATATCAAACATCAAAAGGTACATTAGAAGGGACTTATACTAGTTTCTAAAATTTTGACATTTAGCTAATATTTCCTTCCATATAACTGAATATATGTACATGTGAATCAGAATTATATAATTTCCTCTATGTAACCAAATATATGTATATGGAAATCAGAATTATATAGATACTATATTATTAGATTTTATATTATTTATAATTAGATATTATATAATTATATAGATATTAAAAATTAGATTTTCTCACATTCAATTATAAAAGGTATATCTTCACCACAATATAATTGTAGCATCATTTTTAGTGGCCCAAATTCTCTTTAAAGTATATTTCAAAAAAATGATTTGCAGCTGATTTTTCTGTTATAGAATTACATCATTCCTTCTGGTGACTTGTTGATGTTGTCTCCATTTTGGCTGCATAGAAATCCAAAGTATTTTCCTGAGCCTGAATTGTTCAAACCTGTAAGTTATCTCTTTCAGTATATATTATTCTTTCATTTTAATTTCTTTTTATTTCAGAAGGGTAAATTCAGAAATTAATTAGGACTATATAATTAAGCAGCCATATTTCTCTCGTAACTAAGAACAAAGTTGACTACAAAGTACAGAACAGATTTGCAATATAGATAGTGCAACATTTACAAATCAGTTAGAAAAGTTTTTGTAGTAAACTTCTCTAACTTTAAAATACATTTTACATGAAACCAGAAGGGCATGTTCAAGTGAATAAGCCTGTTTTTGATAGAAGACTTATTTCATGTTCTTCAGGCAATTGCTTCTGTCATTGGTTTCCAAGGAGTACAAAAAAATACAAATAAAGCAAATTAAAACCGTGATCTGCTGTTTCTTAGAACTGGAAAGTTACAGGGCCGAACAGAATGTTAAGAGGTCATTTAGTCTGTTCTCTGCCTTTAGGTAAAACTGTCAAAAATGGCATCCAGATGCATTCATTCTGCATCCCAAGCTTTTTCTAACAGGCAGGGATGTCAGTGTCTTACTACTAAATTTATTACCAAGAGCAATTTTATGACGGAGCCTGAGACCTTATTATAAATATTCTTCCTCTTCTTAGGTCAATTCTGTGGTTGATTTACCTTATCATTTACATTTACCACTTAACAGAATTTTTTAAAAACCTTTTTATTTATAAGTTCATGTTCCAGAAACACAATTGTGTCTAATATTAATAACAGGGTGGAAAAAATTACCAACAACCCTGCAACTTTATATGCAAGGATTAGCTGTACAAGGTCATTTTTAGCCTAGAGAAATAAAGTTAAGCTTATTTATATAAGGCTGATTTGGAAAAAAAAATGTTTTCTTCCCACAGGAACGTTGGAAAAAGGCAAATTTAGAGAAGCACTCTTTCTTGGACTGCTTCATGGCATTTGGAAGCGGGAAGTTCCAGTGTCCTGCAAGGTCAGTGAGACAGCTGGGCCACATTTATCCAGAAAGTCTGCAGAAAGATGATGGCTCAGAGGGGAACAACTTTGGCTTAATCTCTTTATATATATATTTAAACTATAGGGAAATCCAGAAGAACACATTTTGTCTGGTTTATCTGTGGTCCTGTGCAGTGTCTCTCTGGGAATATCTAAAGTGGCTTCTGATAGAAGACCTTATGAGAAGAGAACATTACACTTGCCAGATGCCACATCAAAGCAGCGTTTATGGTTCAAATTGTCAGCTTTCACACAAACATAATTGGAAGTGGTTTGAGTGCTACCTTCTTTAAAAACAAAGATAGAATTATATTTCTTTCACTATGACATTGTCATGGATATTTGCTAGGGTTCTAGAAAATCTTTGGCTTGGAGCATAGCAGGCACTTACTAGGTGGTTTTTGTCTATGGTGTTAGTTTGGCTTGTGAAAACTTTCTTTTGATACCTTTTATAGTTAAATTAATCTGGCACCCAGCCCTCCTCCTCAGTGTGATACCCTGTTCTAATGCAAGTGTCCATTGTTTAATGAAAGTTATTGTTATCTTTATTTGTTCAAGCAGAAAAGGTTTTTGAACATCTCATCTGTGCCAGGCCCTCTTCTAAGCTTCAGAGAGCACTGAGGAAGACCAACATGGTCCCTGACTTCATAGAATTTACAATCTACATTAAATATGTCACATTTCTTCATTGGGGATGATTCTGTAGGGGAAATGTCAGTACCTGTTTATGACAAAATCTCACTCAATAAATGTAGAAATCCATTAAATTTTTATATTTAAAAAATTGTAGTTTCTTGAAGTCAGTCCTCTTCATTATTTGAACAATAATGCCAGTCCATATTTGCAGTTATTAATTGCTCCGCAGTATCCATTCCATCCTTCCGTTCTTCATGTGTTTAGAGTATTAGTATGATTTTGGTAATTTACGCTTCCCCTAAAATAGTATTAATCAGTCATAGCCAATCATGGAAATTCTATCCTCATTTTAGGCATTATTCTAGAAATCTAAGCCTAAGCAAATGGGTGCCTGGTGTTTTGATGAGCTGCTTGTCCTGAGGTAGGAAGTTGAGCTAAACTGGCCAAACAGAGTGAAAGGAGAGACTTCTTCAGGATGAGGCCCCGTTCATCCTGTCCCATTGGATATGAACAAGGAAGCATGCAGCCTCAGATGTTACTAGCAGCAAGTTCAAGAGGAATAAGCTGTATGATGGTGCAGTCTGTAGATGGCAGAGCAGAAATATAGTAGGAGCCTGAATCCCTGGAATCTCAGTAATATTATTTTGTCGCTGAATTCATCAGATTTGAGGAGCTTGTCTACTTCCTGTTATGTTAGATAATAAGTGTCCTTACTTTTTAAGTCACTTTTAGTTGAGGGTTCCATTGTTTGGAGCTGAATACCCACCATATACTGACATACCCACCATAAAACTCCAAAGCTGAACATTATAATTGAGTATCAGTTACTTTAGGGACATCATATAACACACAACAACATTAGCAACAAAAACCCATCATGCTCATCCTGCCTCTCATATTATTTTCACTTTAGAGAAGCAGTTCTTAAGCCAATAACAAATTTTTTGTTTTTGTCACATACCAAATGTCAATGTCCTAAGAATAGTTCTTCTAAAAACAATAGATGCTACTTTTTTCAGGTTTCTTTATATCACTATATCTAGCTATCTGTCTGTCTATCTATCTATCTATCTATCTATCTATCTATCTATCTATACCAATAGCAACTAAATAATTTATTGTAATCATCCTTGACCTGGAGCTAGCAGTATTTTAAACCAATGACTGAAATGTCTTGCAATGAAGTGTGTAGTATGGGCCAATGGTCAAGGATTACCTGTTGACTATTGTTTCCAAGAGGCGCTATTACTACCTTCCATGATGACATTTGAGGCTAACAGACATTTTTTTGAGTTTGAAAGTAATTGGTATAATAAAGGGAACCATGATGCTGTAACTCAATCAATAGTATCTTCTTTAGACAGAAACTACGTATTTTTAGAGCACGCTGAGCTCTTACTCTGTGCAAGGCAGTGCTCTGGCTACCATAGGGGCTTTGAGCATGAGTAAGACATGTTTCAACCCACATGAGAAACAACTTAGTAGGGGCAAAGTGGACATTCAATTAATAAATAACTGCAAGGATTTCTGGTCGAGAGATGCCAAAGCGTCACACTGAGCTTCAAGAGAAAGGATATGTCTGGTCAAGATGCTCTCAGAAGATTTCCTGGGGAAAGTGGCGGGAGACCTTTTAGCTTGAGACAACAGAATGAGCAAAGGGTTACTAAGCACAGAGGCATGTGGCTTAAGGCCTTATGGTTTTACTGTTACTGGGACCAGATTACAGTGGTGAGAAGTAAGGCTGAAAATGTACACTGGCCCAATTGAAAAGGCCCCTTAATACCTGATGTATGAGTTTGTATGCAGCTCACATGGCACTAATAAAGAACTAAAAGGTTTTGGGCAGAGTGGATTCATGTGAAGCATGACTTAGGTTATATGGTTATGCTAATATTCTATGTGTGAGACAGGGAGTGGTAGAATCTACCAGATTTGGAAGATGATTAGAAGCGGGGGTCAGGTGAGAGGAAGGCTTTGAGGTGGACTGTGGCTTTAAATCCAGGTGTCTGGTAGAGGTGGTGGAAATACAGAAATCAGGAATGAGAGAGAGTCTGGGAGCAAGATCTGAAGTTTTCCTTTGAAAGTAGAGTGTGTCAAAATATATATATCACTTAACCAAAATCTACCAGTTAAATATAAATGTTGAATACATGTGACCTATTTAAGAAACCTCATCAAGTTTAGTTTTCTACTGTTTCTGTTTTAAAATGTCCTTAATTTTGTCTTATTACTTATTACTTATTTTAAACAGCCAATGCATGAAATGTTTTGTTTCTAAAGAGAAATAAAATAGCAAATTGTTCAGGAAAGCAAATGACTTCATTTGGACAATGTATACCAAGGTAGATTTTTTTTGCACTAGAAATTTAATCCCACAAATCCTTAGTTGTAATCCCCAGAAAATTGCACTCGTTCTTGATTTGTGTTCCAGGCGCCAATTTATTTTCTCATGCACCAAATACTCAGTGAGTCAGAGAAAGTTGCCTGTAATATGGCTGATGATCAAAGTTCATCATGAACACACACTCTTATGGCCTTGCAGCTGTCACTTCTTGGAGTTCAAGCCACTGAGGTGGTATGAGAACCCCTCTCACAAGCAAACACAGAAGGTTCTGCTGATTTAAGTCAGTATGTACTCGGTGCTGCCATGGGATAACAACCAAAAATCAGAATGGAAGAACTGTGGTTCCTCTTCGTATTCGTGGGGGTTCTGAAAGTAGGTTTGGAGCAGGATCCCACTGCGAGGCACTTCCTTGTAGCACATGGAAGAAAATCTTTCTAGTAATTCTACTACTGGAGAAGTCTGGTGATTTATTTCTGTTTTGTTTTGTTTCAGAAAAACAAACAGGAAAGAGCAGCATGAACCACCAGACTTCTTCAGAAATTGTAGCTTGCAAAGTGAAGAGTCTCATTATAGCAGACAGTCTCACATTAAACTATACGATTTAAATGGAGGAATAAGACGGAGGGTTTTCAGTGTGGAGGAAAACTTCTTTGAGTGAGCACCTCTGAGAGTTGATGATCTTAGGGATGTGCTTGCTATACCTGTCCCCTGGAACACACACCAAAACCAACAAGCTTGATTTTCCTTGGTTCTAATTCCTGCAAGAGGATGCCTGATTTGCTGTGTCATTGTGCAAATTGATATGGCTTAAACTCCAGTGTAAAACAACAGCCCTGATCTTTGGCAAGATTAATCTGCTTATAAAGGCATGCTTGGATAAGAAGAGAGTGTAATAAGAGGAAGGCTGCAATACTTGAGAAGTTAAAATGAAGCATGGATTCCTCAGGAATAGAAAGTGTGATTTTTACTTTTTGTGTATGTTTGGGTCTTTCATGTATTCTAGGGAGTCCTAGGCCACAAAGTCATGGGCTTGTCTTGAGTTCCTAATGAAAATCTCACATCTATTGGAAAATTAATTAAAATCAGAGGTCCATCTAATAGTAATTTAGTAGTACTGTTTTTAACCAAACATCTCTTGAGCATCTAGTATTAATACAATTATTCTTTTATTTGATAACTATTTACTGAGTGTGTGCTATGTGTCAGGTTAGGGTTCTGGGAGTTATCATGGAAAACAAATCAGATGAAGCCCCTTTCCTTTAGGATGTTATATTCCCACCCAAGTCACCTTGTTAAAAACTGGGAAGAGTCAAAGACTCATAACATTTCTGAATTGGTTATAATGTGGTTGGGGAAATGAGACATAGCCATATGAAAAAAAAAAGCCCTACTTAACAGCTTAAGATGGCACATGACAAATGCCAGAAGACTCAGATATGTAACAACTGCCATAAGAATTTGGAGGAAGGGGGATTAGAAAAGGCTTTTGGACTAGATTAGAATAATCAGTAAACAACATAAAAGAAAGGTCAGCTTCCTAAGATGCAGCAGTATCAAACTTCAAGGGAAGAAAAAAAATTAAGTGCTTATAGGAATATAATATACCTATATGTTAGTGATAGCAAGGCGATGATATATTTGGGACTTATGATGCTCTGAGCACATCTTTTTCTATATATTTATGTTAAAGATAATGCCATTTTAAAAGCTGTGCCTTATATAGTAAAGTATCTGCACACTCTTGTATTTGAGAAGTGTTATTAGTAGCTTTCTCCCTTTTATACTTAGAAATAGCTGATTGCTTTTAAGGAGTGAGCAAATTTAAATCCCCATAAATTTAGTGACAAGTTAAAAATCCAATTTATTCTGAGGAATTTGTTCCATAAACAAATGCATCCCCTCAACTCTAGTTGTTAAATATAATTAAAGGAATTGTATTTACTTGTATAATTGTTTCCTAACATTTTCACAAGAGTGTGCACATATCCTGGAGAGTATATAAAAGAGGGTTAGGAATGAGGGTGGGAAAGGTGAATGTGGCTAATTCTGAGACTCTGAGCCAGGTTATCAGAATCCTTATTGATTTTTAGCCATGCTTCTCTCTTCTCACTGCTTTGCAAAGGAGCAATGAGTCACTCAAAGGAGCATAGAAACCATTGGCAAAATTGCAGTCATTATTTTCCTGGCCATTTCATTTTGATACTTCATTATGAAGCTAAGACATAAGTATGTCAAGAACAGAAGAACAGAAACAGCAATTCAAGAGTGGTCTTTTTTTCTTTTTCAACTTTTATTTTGGGTTCAAGGGGGGTACATGTGCAAGTTTGTTGCATGGGTAGATTGAGTGTCTCAGGAGTTTGATATACAAATGATTTGTCAACCAGGTAGTAAGCACAGTGCCTCACCCCCCTCCCATGCTCCACCCACAACAATTCCCTCTTTGTGTCCATGTGTATTTAATGTTTAGCTCCCACTTGTAAGTGAGAACATGCTGTATTTGGTTTTCTGTTCCTGTATTAATTCATTTAGGATAATGATCTTCAGCTGTATCCATGTTGCTGCAAAGGACAGGATTTCATTCTTTTTATAGCTGCACAGGATTTCATGGTGTTACTATGTACCATACTTTCTTTTTCTTTTCTCTGTCTCTCTCTTTTTTTTTTTTTTTCTGAGACAGGCCCTGTTGCCCAGGCTAAAGTGCACTGGCGTGATCATAGCTCACTGTAGCTTCAACCTCCTGTGCTCAAGCATCCTCCTGCCTCAGCCTCCTGAGTCACTGGGCCTACAGGCACATGCCATAGTGCCCAGCTAATTTTAAAAAAAATTTTAGTAGAGACAAGGTCTCACTATGTTTCATAGGCTAGTCTTGAACTCCTGAGCTCAAGCAATTCTCCCACCTTGGCCTCCTAAAGTGCTGAGATTACAGGCATGAGCCACTGCACCTGGCCCCACATTATTTTAAATCCAGTCCACTGTTAGTGGGCATCTAGGTTGATTTCATGTCTTTGCTATTGTGAATAGTGTTGCAATGAACCTATGAATGAATGTGTATTTTTGGTATAATCATTTATATTCCTTTGGGTATAATGGGATTGCTGGGTTGAATGGTAGTTCTAAGTTCTTTGAGAAATCTCCGAACTGCTTTTTATAGTGACCGAACTATTTTACATTCTCATCAGCAATGTATAAGCATTCCCTTTTCTCCTCAACCTCACCAACGTCTGTTATTTTTTGACTTTTTAATGATAACCGTTCTGAATGATGTGAGACGTTATCTCATTGTGGTTTTCATTTGCATTTCTCTAACGATTGGTAATGTTGAACAGTTTTTTATATACTTGTTTCCCATGTGTATTTCTTTTTTTGAGAAATGTCTGTTCATATTATTTGCCCATTTTTTTTAAATGGGGTTGTGTTTTGCTTGCTGATTTAAGTTCCTTACAGATTCTGGATATTAGACCTTTGTGAGATGCATATGCCAAATATTTTCTCCCATTCTGTAGATTGTCTGTTTACTCCGTTGACAGTTTCTCTTACTGTGCAGAAGCTTTTCAGTTTAATTAGGTCCCACCTGTCTATTTTTGTTTTTATTGCAATGGCTTTTGGAGACTTTATCATGAAATCCTTGGCAAGGCCTATGTCCAGAATGGTAGTTCCTTGATTTTCTTTTACAGCCATTAAAGTTTTAGGTCTTACATTTAAGTCTTCAATTCATCTTGAGTTGATTTTTGTATACAGTGAAAGGAAGGGGTCCAGTTTCAGTCTTCTGCATATGGCTAGCTAGTTTATCCCAGCACCATTTATTGAACAGGGTATCTTTTCCCCATTGCTTGTTTTTATTGCTTACTTATCCGATCTGATGTTTTTAAGTGTGCAGCTTTATTCCTGGATTCTCTAATTTGTTCCATTGGTCCATATGTCTGTTTTTGTACCAGTATCATGCTGTTTGGGTTACTGTGGCCTTGTAGTATAGTTTTAAGTCAGGTAATGTGATGTGTCTAGCTTTGTCCTTTTGCTTAGGATTATTTTGGTAATTTGGGCTCTTTTTTGGTTCCATATGGATTTTAGAATAGTTTTTTCCAATTCTGTGGAAAATGACTTTGGTAGTTTGATAGGAATAGCATTGAATATTTAAATTCCTTGTGCAGTATGACCGTTTTAACAATATTGATTCTTCCTATCTATGAGCATGGAACACTTTCTCCATTTGTTTGTGTCATATCTGATTTCTTTCCTTGGTGTTTTTTAATTCTTATTTTAAATATATTTTACCTCCCTGGTTAGCTGTGTTCCTAGGTATTTTATGTGGGTGGCTGTTGTGAATGGGAGTGCATTCTTGATTTGGCTCTCAGCTTGGGTGTTGTTGGTGTATAGAAATACCACTGATTTTTACACATTGATTTTGTATTCTGAAACTTTACTGAAGTTATTTATCAGTTTTAGGAGATTTGGGACAGACAGTAGGGTTTTCTAGGTATAGAATCATATCGTTTGTGAAGAGAGATAGTTTGATTTATTCTCTTCCTATTTGGATGCCTTTTATTTCTTTCTCTTGCCTGATTACTCTGGCTTGGACTTCTAGTACTAGGTTGAATTGGAGTATGAGAGTTGGGCATTCTTGTCTTCTTTCGGTTTTCAAGGGGAAGGGTTCCGATTTTTGCCCATTCAGCATGATGTCAGTTATGAGTTTATTGTAGATGGCTCTCATTATTTTGAGGTATGTTCCTCCTATGCCTAGTTTGTTGAGGGTTTTTAACATGAAGGAATGTGGAATTTTATCGAAGGCCTTTTCTGCATCTATTGAGATGATCATGTATTTTTTGTTTTTAGTTTAGTTTATGAGATGAATCACATTGATTGATTTGTTTATATTGAACCAATCTTGTATCCAAGGTAAATAAAGTAAACAAAGTAAGTTTTATTTACTCTAAAGTAGACTTTATTCCTGGGATACAAAGTATGGTGGATTAGCTTTTTGGTATATGGCTGAAATCAATTTGCTAGTATTTTGTTGAGAATTGTTGCATGTATGTTATTCAGCAATATTGGCTTGAAGTTTTCTTTTTTCATTGTCTCTGCCAGATTTTGGTATCAGAGTGATGCTGTCCTCATAGAATGAGTTAGGGAGGAGTCCTTCCTCCTTGACTTTTTTGAATAATTTCAGTACCAATAATTTCAAGATTGGTACCAGCTCTTCTTTATGTATCTGGTAGAATTCAGCTGTGCATCCTTCTATTCCAGGGCTTTTTTGGTTGTTAGATTATAATATAATAACGAGTTTTGATTCCATTTCAGAACTCATTATTGGTCTGTTCAGGATTTCAGTTTCTTCCTGGTAAAATCTTCGAAAGCTGCATGTTTCCAGGAACTTATTCATTTATTCTAGGTTTCCAAGTTTGTGTGCATAGATGTGTTCATAATACTCTCTGAGGGTTTTTTAAATTATTTCTGTGGGATTGGTTGTAATATCCCCTTTGTCATTTCTGATTGTGTTTATTTGGATCTTTTCTCTTTTTTTTTCTTTATTAATCTATCTAGCTGGTGGTCTATGAATCTTAGTTATTCTTTCAAAAAACAAAGTTTTGGTTTTCTTAATCTTTTGTATGGATTTTTGCGTCTCGATTTTTGCATCTCAGTTTTGGTCAACTCCAGTTTTGGTCATTTATTTTCTTCTGTTAGCTTTGGGGTTGGTTTGTGCTTGGTTTTCTAGTTCCCATAGGTGATATTAGATTGTTAATTTGAGATCTTTCTAACTTCTTGTTGTAGGCATTTGGTGCTGTAAACTTTCCTCTTACCACTGATTTAGCTGTGTCTCAGAGATTCTGGTATATTGTATATTTGTTTTCATTCATTTCCAAGTATTTGTTTTTATTTCTGCCTTAATTTCATTCTTTAAAGTCATTCAGGAGCAGAGCAATTAATTTCTATCTAATTTTATGGTTTTGAGAGATGTTCTTGGTATTAATTTCTATTTTTATTGCACTGTGGTCTGAGAGTGTGGTTGGTATGGTTTTGGTTTTTTGAATTTGTTGAGTATTGCTTTTATGACCCAGCATGTGGTCAATCTTAGAGTATGTGCCATGTGCATATGAGGATAATGTATATTCTGTTGTTGGGTAGAGTATTCTGTAGATGTCTGTTTGGTCCATTTGGTCAAGTGTTGAATTTAGGTTCTGAATATATTTGTTAGATTTTCTGCTTTGATGACTTGTCTGACACTGTCAGTGTGTTGTTAAAGTCTCCCACTATTATTGTGTGGTATGTAAGTATCAATATAAGCCTCTAAGAATTTTTTTTTATGAATCTGGGTGCTTCAGCATTAGATTCATGCATATTTAGGAAAGTTAACTCTTCTTGTTGAATTTAACCCTTTATCATTAGGTAACACCCTTCTTTGTCCTTTTTGAGCATTGTTGGTTTAAAGTCTCTTCTGTTTGAAGTAAGAATAACAACCCCTACTCTTTTTTTATTTTCTGTTTGCTTGATAGATCTTTCTCTATCCCCTTACCTTGAGTCTTTGGGTGTCATTGCATGTGAAATGGGCCTCTTGAAGACAGAATACAGTTGGGTCTTGTTTCTTTATCCAGCTTGCCACTCTGTGCCTTTTAAATGAGGTTCTTAGCCTGTTTATATTCAAGGTTAATATCAGTATGTGAAGATTTGATCTTGTCACCGTGTTGTTCACTGGTTCTTAAGTAGACTTGATTGTGTAGTTGCTTTATAGTGTCAGTGGGCTATGTACTTAAGTGTGTTTTTGTGGCGGCAGATAATGATCTTTGATTTCTGTTTGGTAGTCCCTTAAGGACCTCTTGTAAGGCAGGTCTAGTGGTAATGAATTCTGTTCACATTTTCTTGTCTGAAAAGGATTTTATTTCTCCTTTGCTTATGAATCTTAGTTTTGTTGGCTATGAAGTCCTTGGTTAGAATTTCTCTGCTTTAAGGATGCTAAATATACACCCCCAATCTCTCATGGCATGTAAGGTTTCTGCTGAAAGTTTCATTGTTAGCCTGATGGCAATTCCTTTATACATGATCTGCCCCTTCTCCATTGCTGGCTCTAAGATTTTTTCTTTTGCATTGACTTTGGAGAATCTTATGAGCATGTCAACCTCTCTAGTGAAGTTGAGGAAATCTTTGTGGACAATATCCTGAAATATGTTTTCCAAGTTGCTTGTTCTCTCTCCATCTTTTTCAGGAATGCCAATAAGTTGTAGGTTTGGTTTCTTAACATAATCCCATATTTCTAAAAGACTTTGTTCATTTTTATAAATTATTTTTTCTTTATTGTTGTCTGCCTGCGTTGATTTGAAGGAGCTGTCTTCAAGCCCTGAGATTCTTTCCTCAACTTGGTTTACTCTGTTATCAGTGCTTCCAGTTGCATTCTGAAATTCCTGTGGCGAATTTCTCATTTCCAGAAATTCAGTTTGGTTCTTTGTTAAAATGGCTATCACATCTTTCAACTCTTGGACCATTTCACTGTTTTCCTTGGATTGGGTTTCAACCTTCTCCTATATCTTGATGAGCTTCCTTGCCATCCAGATTCTGAATTCTATATCTGTCATTTCAGATATTTCAGGCTGGTTGAGAACTATAGCTGGGGAGCTAATGTGGTAGTTTGGAGGTTAAAAAATGCTCTGGCTTTCAGAGTTGCCAGAATTCTTGCACTGGTTCCTTCTCATCTGTGTGAGCTGATGTTCTTTTAATCTTTTGGATGGGACTTTTTGCTTCTTATATTCTTTGATACCTGATATGGTTTGGATCTACATCCCCACCCAAATCTCATATTGAATTGGAATCCTTCGTTTTGGAGGCGGGTCCTGGTGGGAGGTGATTGGATAATGGAGATGTTTTCCACGAATGATTTAGTACCATCCCTCTTGGCTCTGTCCTCATAATACTGACTGAGTTGTTGTGAGATCTGGTTGTTTAAAAGTGTGTAGCACATCCCCCATCTCTTTCTTGCTCCTGTTCCTGCCACGTAAGAAGCTTGCTCCCCCTTTGCCTTCCATCATGATTGGAAGCTTCCTGAAGTTCGGCCATATCCACCCCATCAGAATCAGAAGCCACTATGTTTCCTGAACAGCCAGCTGAACCATGAGCCAATTAAACCTTTTTTCTTCATAAATTACAGTCTCAGGTATTTCTTTATATCAACGTGAGAATGGACTAATACAATGCCCTTGAGGATTTGGCTGTGGTATAAGTTGGATTTAGTTGACTGGCTTCATATCTGGATATTTTCAGAGGCCCAAGGCTCAGCTCATCACTCCTGGACTGGGTGTTCTAACCCAGGAGGGCTGGGAGCAGGCCCACAGCTTTGTTCTGGGGCCCCTTGAGATTAAAGCACGGGCTGTGCTGGAGCGTTTGAGGTGTTTCCAGTCTGTTGGCAACAACACTTGACTGGAGCTTCTGGCAAAAGTGCTCTGGCAGGGCAGTGGTGGGCCCCTGTGTGCATGTATTCCAGTGAGGTGGGGACAGGGGGATGCTATGAGTGAGTGCACATCAATGTGGGAAGGCTGCAGGTGGGTGCACACTGGCAAGATGCAAAAGTGCTCCAATGGGTATGCAGCATCTGCCAGTGAAACAACTCGTGGTGGCCATTGACAAGCACTTTGGCTGGGCAATTGAGGCTGGGCTGCATGTGGTTGCAGCCAGGCAGGGACCCTGAGAGAGGCCAGCAGACTGGGGTGTGCTCAAATCAGACTGCATGGACAAGACAACCCCACTCTCTCCAGGTCCAGCAGCTAACAAAGGCTAAAGTCACCTAAAGGAGTATGGTGAGCCTTGTGGGATGAGTGTCCATGGCCATGCTCCACTATAGACATTCCCATGTCAAACCCTCTGGGCTCTTTCCAGGCTGGAATTCTGTTTCCACCAACTCTCCAGGCAATTATCACTAGCAGCTCAAATGTCATGGGAGTTGTGGGATCTCCCATAGCTAGGATCTCAGAAGCCCCTGGTGAAGGTGAGCCACTCCATGCCTATTTCACTTACCCTTTCTTTAGGAGGCTCTTGGGCCCAGAAATGAGTCCTGGTGCTCGGCAACCCCCTGCAGTGTTCCCAACTTTCTCTACTTTCAGCCTATGGTCTGTGTCCTTTTTGTGTCCACTCTCCATGCCTTCTTTCCAAAGACTTGTTCAGAGTATGCTGGTCTCCTTGATAGTCTAGTCTCTTTCAGTGGGAGAATTTCTTCCTGGCTGTATCTAGTTGGCCATCTTGGCTCCCTAAAAAAATTAACAGTGATTTTTGATACTTAGACCAAAGTGATTCTAAAACAAACTGTGTTTATTTCTGAGCAAAAATTTCAGGATGACACCCTTTTCCTTTATTTACAAAATAGATCTCCAGCCCCCATCCTGTGCACAGAATACCTGGGCAGGATATGTATCTATGGAGAGAAAGAAAGGCCACTTAGGGTTGGATATCCCTTTTTTCTCCCATGGACTTTCTCATCTCATCTTAACTGAATGACTGCTCTTTAATAAGTTAGGTATCTCTAATGTTCAAAAGAAATTTCATTCCTAAGAAAAGGGGACTAGAATTAAAACTGCTATTTTACAATATTGTCCATAGGTTATTATCTCCTCATCACCTAATTCCTTCTCCTCGCTTTCTAATAGTTTTAATTTTCACTTGGATATCCATGGGGATTCTGAAGCACTGATTCCACTCCCAGCTCTGTAGAGATGGAACACTTCCCTAAGACAATCAGCACATGATGTCCCTGCCCCCTCTCTCCTTTACGATAGTGATTAGTTTAGGTATTGGCAGATGTTTTAAGCAGGAAAATTAACTACTAGGGTTTCTATTGAGACCTCTGGGTCAAAAATAATCATTCCTTCCAGGATCTTCATAAAGACACATTTGACCCCAGAAACTGGTGCAGCTATTTTGAGACTAGAAAAGCAGACAATATTATGCTGAAGCTGATAACATAAAACAGAGCAGTAGAAGGAAACTGACTCCATGGCAACATCACTGAGCTGCTGGAATGATCTCTTCCTGAAGCCAGCATGAGCCACAGGTTTTTCATATACATAAAGCAATGCATTTCCTTCAATATAGAAATCAGTCTGATGTGTGTTTTCTGTTCCTTGCAACCAAAAGTATCCTCAGTAATGTAATTCCCTTAAAAGCAAGAGTTTTCTTTCAAGAATTATTGAACTCCATGAAATCTTGTATTAGCACTTCCTAATCATGTAAGTTAATTGCTTTCTAAATAACCTGTGCTTTTTTAAAGGGCTTAGCTTCATTTACTTTGGTTATATCAGTTAAGACTGTCAAATGCCTGTCTCAGACACTGATGACACCCACTGCTATAGAATTATGGCCCTGTTCTCCAGGTGCCATAGATGTTCTATACACTCCTGAGCCCAGGACTCTGGCTCTGATGTTGCTCTGATCACCTATGTGCTGAATACTGGGACCACCACTGCCACAAAAATGCCTGTGCCCTGGAACCAGTGCTACTGTGGTTACCAGCATGCCCTTGTGACAGACTCAGCACCAAGAGGATCCCTTTGGCTAGGACTCCCCACAGTGTCATAGGCGGCCCCAGGAAAAAGAATAGCAGGAGGACCACAGCAATCTTTGACACTAAGGCCCTCTAAAACTTTCATCACTACTGCTGCCTTCAAATACATCTACAACCTTGGCCACTGAGGACCCCCACAGTCCTGTCAAATATTGATTACAGCTGATGGAACTGCACAGACTATGCCACCACATCCTGTTCACTTAGCATAGCACTCACCCACAAATGAAAGTATTTCCCCACAAATCCAGCCCATCAGTCTTGAAGAGATGACTGCTACCTCAAATGCACAGATATCATTGCAAGGTCATAAACACATACACAAAGGAAAAATGACATCACCAAAGGACCACTATAATTTTCCAATGCGAAACCCTAAAGAGTTAGAGATCTGTAAGCTTCCTAAACAAGGAATTAAAAATAATTATTTTAGAGAAGCTCAGCAAGATACAAGAGAACTCAATAATATCAATCATAACAACAATATATGAATAAAACTGGAAGTGAAGCAAAGAGATTGAAAGATCAAAAGAAAGCAAACATAAATCCTGGAGCTGAAAAATACAGTGAATCAACTGAAAAAATGCAATAGGGAACTTCAACAGCAGACTCAACCAAGCAGAAGAAAGAATCTCTGAGATTGAAGATAGGTCTTTTGAAATTATCCAGACTAAGGAGAAAAAAATTGAAAAGAGTAAAGTAAACCTATGGGACTTAAGGGACACTAATAATGAAACCAATGTATGCATCATAAAAGTCTCAGAAGGAGGATTGAGAAAGGGGAAGAAACCTTATTTAAATAAATTATGGCTCAAATTTTCCCGAACCCTGAGAGAGATATGGACATTTACACCTGTGAAACTCAAATGTCTCCAAACATGTTCGACCCAAAGAGAACTTCACCATGACACCTTATAATCAAATTGCCAAAAGTCAAAGACAAAGAAATTTAAAAGCAGCAAGAGAAAAGTGACTTGTCACATACAAGAGAACCTTTATAAAACTATTTTGGACTTTTCAGGAGAAACTTCACAGGCCAGAAAAGAATGGGATGATATATTCAAACTACTGAAAGAAAAAACATTCTGAAAACCAATGATATATCTGGCAAAGCTGTCCTTCAAAAATGAAGGTGAGATAAAGATATTTCCAGACAAACAGAGCTGAAGGAGTTCATCACTACTATACCTGCCTTATAAGAAATGCTAAAGGTACTTCTTCAAGCTTAAATGAAAGGACACAAATTAATAACATAAAAATGCATGAAAGTATAAAACCCACTGGTCATGGTAAATATATAGTCAAAATCAGAATATTATAATCCAATAATGGTGTTATATAAATATGTTTTTAACTCCCGAAAAAAATATTAAACACAAAAGTATTAAAAATAACTATAGCTACAATATTTTGTTAAGAGATAGATAATATAAAAAGCAGTAAATTGTGACATCAAAAACATATAATGCATGTGGGGGTAGGAGAGAAGTAAAATGTAGAGTTTCCATAGGCAAATGAAGTTAAATTGAGTGCACCCTTGGATAGGTATGCAGTACAGTGTAGTACTGGTTTTATTAGGTTAAAATATATTGCTATAAGTATGTTTTCTGTAAGACTCATAGTGACCACAAAGCTAAAAGCTATAGTAGACACACAAGAGATAAAGAGAAATGAATTAAAGTATACCACTACAAAAACGAATCATATCAGAAAGGAAGATAGCAAGAGAGGAACAAAAGAACTAAGGAACTACAAAACAGAAAATTTTTACAAAATGGCAATAGTGAGTTCTTACCTATAATTAATTACTTTGCATGTAAATGGATTGAATTATGTAGTCAAAAGTCACATAATAACTGAATTGGTAAAAAAAAAAAGCAAACAAAAACAATACCCAGCTATATATTGCCTATAAAATGCTCCCTTGAGGACACATATAGGCTGAAAGTGAAGGGGATGGAAAAAGATATTCCATGTAAATGTAAACCAAAAGACAGCAGAGTTAGCTCTGATTAGACAAACTAGACGTTAATTCAGAAACTGTAAAATAAGACAAAGAAGGTCATTATATAATGATAAAGGGATAAATTCATCAAGAGGGTAAAACAATTGTAAATATATGTGTACCCAACATCAGAGCACCTGAATATACAAAGCAAATATTAACAGAACTGAAGGGATAAATAAATATCAATGCAATAATAGTAAGGGACTTAAATACCCCACTTTCAACAATAGAGAGATCATCCAAGCAGAAAATCAATAAGGAAACATGGGACTTGAACTACATTTTAGACCAAATGGACCTAACAGACATATACAGAACATTTCATCCAACAGCAGCAGCATATACATTCTTCTCAAGCACCTATGTCTAGTGCTATGACAGTCTTCAAGATAGGTCATATAGTAGACCATAAAAAATTTAAGAAAGTTGAAGGCATATCAAGTGCCCTTTCTTACCACAGTGTTATGAAACTAGAAATCAATAACAGGAGGAAAACTGGAACATTCACAAACATATGGAAATTAAACAACATACTACTGAATGACAATGGGCCAAAGAAGACATAATACTTTGTTTACATTTTGAGACAAGTAAAAATGGAAACATATCTGATATGGTATGGATGTGTGTCCTCTCAAAATCTCATGTTGAAATGTGATCTTCAGTATTGGAGGTGGCCCTATTGGGAGGTGTTTTGATAGTGAGGGGAAATCCCCCATGAATGGCTTGGGGCCTTTCTATGGCAATGAACTACTGCAATATCTGATTGTTAAAAAGAGTTTGGAACCTCTCCCATTTCTCTCTTGCATTCTCTCTCCCTGTGTTGCATGCTGGCTCCCCTTCACCTTCTTCCATGACTGTAAGCCTCCTGAGGCCCTCACCAGAAGCAGATACTGGCACTATGCTTCATGTACAGCCTGCAGAACCATGAGCCAAATAAGCCTCTTTTCTTTATAAATTCCCTAGTCTCAAGTATTCCTTCATAGCAACACAAATGAACGAACACAACAACATACCAAAGCTTACAGAATGCATCAAACACAGTTCTAAGGGGGAAGTATATAGTGATAAACACCTACATTAAGAATAAAGAAAGACCTCAAATAAACAATGTAAATTTACACCTCAAGGAACTAGATAAAGAAGAACAAATGAAGCACAAAGTTGGCAGACATATGGAAATAAAGCTCAAAGCAGAAATAAATGAAATAGAGACTAGAAAAACAATTTAAAAAGTCAACAAAAAGGTTTTTCAGTTAAAAAATTAAGTCTTGAAAAATGATATATCTTCTGGTAGACTGATGAAAAGAGACAGAAGACAAATAAATCAGAAGTGAAGGAGGACAACAGATAACACATAGGATCATAAGAGATTACTATGTGCATTTAAATAAAACCAGTTAGATAACCTAGAAAAACTAGATTAATTTCCAGAAACATAAAACCTACCAAGACTGAATTATAAAGAAATAGAAAATCTTAACAGACCAACAAGTAAGGAGATTGAATCACAAATTAAAAGTCTCCTATCAAAGAAAAGCCCATGAACTGTTTCCCTTCTGAATTTTACTGAACATTTAAAGAATTAATACAAATTCTTTTCCAACTCTTAGAAAAAATTGAAGAGAGAACACTTCCAAACCCATTTTACAAAGCATTACCCTGACACAAAAGTCAGACAAGGAAACTACAAGAAAAGAAAACTACAGGTCCATATTCCTGATGAACATAAATGCAAAGCTTCTACAAAAAAAAATACTAGCACCTGTATTCAACAGCAAATTAAAAGGATCATACACCATGATCAAGTAGTATTTATCCCTTGGATGCAAGGGTGGTCCAACCTATGCAAATGAAGAATGTCATATACCACATTAACAAAAGGAAAAGCAAAAATTATATGATTATATCAATGGATGCAGAAAGAGCATTTGAAAAAATTTATCATCTTTTCATGATAAAAAACTGTCAACAAATCGAGTATAGAAGGAAAGTACTTCAACATAATAAAGGCCATATATGACAAGCCCACAGCTAACATCATACTCAATGGTTAAAGATTAGAAACTTTTCTCTATGACCAGGAACAAGACAAGGATGCCACTTCTGCTACTTGTATTTGACATAGTACTGGAAGTTGTAGCCAGAGCAATTAGGCAAAAAAAGAAATAAAAGAAATCCAAATTGGAAAGGAAGAAGTAAAATTATGACTCTTCACAGATGATATGATCTTATATGTACAATCCACTGCCCCCAAAACACTGTTAGAACTAATAAATAACTCAACAAAGTAGCAGGATACAGTATGAACACACAAAAAATCCATTGCATTTTTATATACTAACTGAACAATCTGACAAGGAAACTATGAAAGCAATCCCATTTATAATAGCATAAAAATGAATAAAACAATTAGGAATTAGCTAAACCAAGAAGGTGAAAGAGTTATACACTGAAAACTATAAAACATTGCTGATAGAAATTAAGGACATAGATAAATAGATACATATCCCATGTTTCTGGATTGGAAGACTAATAATGTTAAAGATGCCAGTGCTACCCAAAGAAGTCTGCAGATTCAATGTAATCGCAATGATGTTATTTTTTTTTTGGCAGAAATAGAAAAGCCTATTCTGAAATTTATATAAAATTTCAAGGACCCCAAGTAGCCAAAACAATCTTGAAAGAGAAGAACAAAATGGAGGACTCTCATTTTCTGATTGCAAAACTTACTACAAAGCTGCAGTAATTAAAACAGTGTGCTGTTGACATAAAGATAGACATGTAGACCAATACAATAGAATAGAGAGCCCAGAAATAGACCCTGGAATATGTGGTCAAATGATTTTTGACCAAGATACTAAGACCATTCCATGGGAAAGGAGCAGTCTTTTCAATGAATGGCGCTGGGACAACTAAATATTTACATGCAAAAGAATGAAGTTGGACTCTTATAACCTAATACCATACACCAAAATTAACTCAAAATAAAATAAATACTTAAAACTATAAAAATCTTAGAAGAAAAACAGAGCACAAGCTTTATGACATTGGATTTGGCATTAATTTTTGGATATGACACCAAAGGCACAAACAACAAATGAAAAATAGACAAAATTGGACTTTATGAAAATTTAAAAATTTTGTGCATCAAAAGACAGTATCAACAAAACAAAAAGGCAACACACAGAATGGGATAAAATATTTGCAAATTACATATCTGATAAGGGTATTAGTTTCCATTATGCATAGAGAACTTCTAAAACTCAACAACAAAATAACCCAATTCAGAAATGAGCAAAGAACTTAAATAGACATTTCTCCAGAGAACATACACAAATGGACAGTAAGCACATGAAAAGATGCTCAACATCACTAATCATTAGGGAAATGCAAATCAAAACTCCATTGAAATACCACCTTATACCTGTGAAAGTTGATTATACAAAATGAAGTCATTTATGTCATACCCAACTAAAATGAGTCAAGAAGCCATGAGAAAAACACTAAGGTTACATACACCTGTTTTTTTTTTAAAAAAAAATGTCTTATAAGCTCAATCCAGATCTGCATGGACCTAACCATAATTTCAAGACTGCAAGTCCCACCTGGCAACTGCTGAAACTCACCTATCAGAGCTCACTAGCTCTTGTAAGATGCTGCCAGCACCAGTGAACTTTCTCTCAAAACAATTTGTTTAACCTTCCCTTGCCCCAGTAAACCTTAACCATTTCTTTGTTCTGTGAGCATAACAGAGGCCACCCTAGTCTGTGTGTGTGCCCTGAATTGCAGTTCTATTCCTTATATATTCCAAACAAAACCTCTTGCTTAGAGATTCATCTCTATATATTTTTGAGTTGGCATATCCATTAGAATGACTACCGTAAACAAAGAAAATAACAAGTGTTGGTGAGGATGTGGAGAAATTGGAACCTTTGTGCATTATTGGTGGGAATGTAAAATGGAACAGCTGCTATGGAAAACGGTATGGCAGTTCTTCAAGCATTTAAAAAAAATTGCCATATGATCCAGCAATTCCACTTCTGGATATATATCCAAAGGAAACAAAATCAGTATCTCAAAAGAAGTATTTGCCCTCCTAGGCTCATTGCAGCATTAATCACAATAGCCAAAATATTAAAACAACCAAAGTGTTGATTGATAAATGGATAAAAAAGTTATATATATATATATGGAATATTTTTCAGCCTTACAAAAGGAAATCTTGCCATTTGCAACAACTTGAGTCAACCTGGAAGACATTATACTAAGTGAAATCAGCTACACACAGAAAGACAAATCCTACATAAAGTCATCTATATGTGTAATCTAAAAATTTGAACTCATTGAAACAGTGAGTAGAATGGTGGTTACCAGGGGTTGGGGGATTGGAGATATCAGGCAGAGAGTACAAGCTTTCAGTTACAAGATTAATAAGTTCTGGAGACCTAATGTACAGTATGGTCACTATAATTAATAATAATGTATTGTACAATTGACAGTTGCTAAGAGAACAGATCTTAAATTTTCTCACCCCCCCACTTCTCCCAAACACACAAAAGGGTAACCACATGAGGTGACGGATATGTTAATTAGGTTGACTGTGGTAATCATTTCACAATGTGTGTGTATGTGTATATATGGGTACATGTATATATGTGTGCATATATGTATGTGTGTGTATATATATATATATAATCATCTCATTTTGTGCTTTAAATATATATATAATTCTTATTTATTTATATTTTGAGGTCAATCTTATCTCAATGAGCTATAAATAAAATAAGCCATAAGATCATTTCTATTTTGCAAGTACTTAAACTTAATTAAGTCAGTACTATTCCTTTGCCCCTTTTCCTTAATAAGAAGCTGATATAGTTAGGCTTTGTGTCCCCACCCAAATCTCATTGTGAATTGTAATCTGTATAATCCCCATAATCCCCATGTGTCAAGGGAGAGACCAGGTGGATATAATTGAATCACAGGAGTGGTTTCCCCCATGCTGTTCTCATGATAGTGAGTGAGTTCTCACGAGATCTGATGGTTTTTATAAAGGACTATTCCCCCTTTGCTCACACTTCTCCTTCCTGCCGCCTTGTGAAGAAGGTGCCTTCCTTCCCCTTCACCTTCTACCATGATTGTAAGTGTCCTGAGGCTTCCCTAGCCATGCTGAACTATGAGTCAATTGAGCCTCTTTCCTTTATAGATTGTCCAGTCTTGGGCAGTCCTTTATAGCAGTATAAAAATGGACCAATACAGAATGTTTAAAAAGAGATAGCCAAACTATTAGCTCATAGCTCATTTGTATGGAAATTTTATTTCTAGGAGGAGTAACCATAGGATCACCATTAGAACAATCCTGGCTGCAGTCAGGAAAACAATAGCTCCAGAGCATGCACTCCTAGTAACAGCCACTTATAATCTTCCTAATGAAACAGAAAACAGTATGTCAAATCGAGAAGGGCTGAGGTTCTCCAGTTCTTCATTCTTGCTGTCCCATCTGCTCTTGTGACTGAGCATCAGTGAGTTTGCTGTCAGATGTGCATAGAGGCCAATACCATGGCACTGGCTTTTGAGAAAAGAAAACTTTTATTTCAAGTCAACTGGCAAGGATACAGGAGGAAATGCTCAAATCTGTCTCCCCAAGCTGGAGGCTGGGGTAGGTTTCATAAGCATAGGGTAATGATGTGTGATCTGATTGGATCTTAACAATGAGGTGATGTCGGGAAGCATGATCTGACTGGATCCTGCCATGGGTGATGACAGTGCTCTATCTGATTGGATCCTGGATCCTGCAATGTGGTGTATGCTGCTTAATTCAGTCCCTGCTCCTTGGTCCAAGCACTTAATCCCTCTGTGGTTGCACAGTTGGTTATCTGGGCATGCCCTGGTTACATGACCTTCATCCTGGGGGTCCATGGCAAATGAAAAGCAACTCACAACATTGTTACATAAACGTCTACACCAGATTCGTTTGATGTGTTTACACTTTCTCATCTCCTTTTTTTATTTTATTTATTTCCCATTTTCTTCTTTTTTTTATGTTTTCTTCTTTTCCTTCTCATTCAGCTTACCCTTATCCCTTTCTTCTCTTCCCATTTTGTTCTTTTTTTTCTATATTTAATATAAAACATCTACCTTCCCACTCTACCAGATTATGCTTTCACCAGTATTCCCAATCAAAAGTTTGGTACCCCAGACATAATGTTGCATGTATAATGGAGATATTCTTTATAATTTTAATGTTGTGTGCTAAAATTAAAAGGTTTGGCAAACTGCATCTTCTAACATATTTTTTTTTCATCATTTTCCTTGACAAGTTCCTCTAGATCAGTATTCTCAAAATGTGGTCCCCAGACCACCAGTATTAAGATTACCAGGAAACTTGTAATAAATGCAAGTTCCTGGGCCCTGTCCCAGATCTCCCGACTCAGAAACTTTGGGGGTGGGGCCCAGCAATCTGTTTTAACAAGCCCTCCAGATGATTCTGATGCACTAAAATTTGAGAATCACAGGTGCTAGATTATTTTGCCTCCTGCTACCATATTGATTTTATTTTCCTAAAAGATTTCTCAGAGGGATGAGGTTGCCATACTTCCGCTTTAACTTGATAGCTGCGCTTCAATGAATGATGCCTATGACACTATGTCTGTATGCTACCTTCTCTGAATTCCGGGGCAAGATCATTCTATTTTCATAAGCTGCAGCTGGTGGCAACTAGGAATATACTTCAGACCTCTTGCTCCTGGCAACAGTGATAGCTTTCCAGCACATGCTGGCATTACCTACAATGACTTCTAGGAGGAAAAAAGAGAGAGGTGTTCTCTTTAAAAGTGACAGAGGTATTCAGTCTCAAAATCAAGACATCTAAAATTAAAATCATCAATTTTCCCCAATACTAGCATTCCTTCAGTACTCTCTCTCCTTCTATCACTGCTCTCTTAGACACCTGGGTTTTTGGAGTTATCCTTTACTCCTCCTTCCTTCTGGCCTTCTGTGTACATTCTCCACTCCTTTAAAACTAGGTCTCCTCAGCCAGGTCCAGTGGCTCACACCTGTAATCCCAGCATTTTGGGAGGTTGAGATGGGCGGATCACTTGAGGTTAGGAGTTTGCGACCAGCCTGACCAATATGGTGAAACCTCGTCTCTACTAAAAATACAAAAAAATTACTTGGGTGTAATGGTGGGTGCCTATAATCCCAGCTACTTGGGAGGCTGAGGCAGGAGAGAATAGCTTGAACCCCTGAGGCAGAGATTGCAGTGAGCCGAGATCACACCACTGCACTTCAGCCTGGGCAACAGAGGGAGACTCTGTCTTAAAATAAAATAAAATAAAATAAAATAGAATAAAATAGAATAAAATAGAATAAAATAGAATAAAATAGAATAGAATAAAATAGAATAAAATAGAATAAAATAAAAAAAATACAAAATAAAAAACAAACTAGGTCTCCTTCACCTCAGCATCAGATGACTATTATCATTGCCTAACCCTTCTCCCTGACTGTATTATCTCTTATTTCAATCCATCTTACTCACTACATACAGATGAGTTTTCCTTAAATAATAATCTGATTGTCACTCTCTCATTGAGATTCTGGTGCCACTACCTGCTGACCAAACTCATTAGCCTAGAACTCCGGGCCCTCCATAATCTGACACCAGCCTTACCTTTCTAAACATCTGAGAATGTCCTCCCCAGAGCGTCTACTTGCTGTTCCTTACTACAGAGTGTCCACTCCTCCCCTTGCCCATGTTTTCTGCTGGCTCTGGAATGCTCTCACTCAACAAGTCTACTTATTTAAAGGTTCTTTTGCCCTCATGGTGTAGCTCAAGTTTCACCTCCATATAAAGTCAGTGTTAATCATGCCAGGTTGTAGAGTGCTCTCCAGACTCCAAATTTTGTTTCCCTTGTTTCTACCTTCATCTATATATTATTGTGACCTCTTCCATCTCTCCATGTGCATTGCTAGCATTGTGTTGTGTCGGTCTTGGTGTTCTCAATGCCTGTGTAGCATTCCTTAATGAAGTATTTAAATACAAATGCAGAAAATACGCAAGTACCAAGTATTTAAAAAATTTTCAACATGTTTCTATTTTAATGAGCTTTATTAGTAGATGTGTAATGTTGTTCTTGTAAGTGTAAAAGATAAATCTGTCATAAACAATGTGCCTCATTATTTTCACTGTTTTGACATTAGAAGTATTAAGAAAACATTACTTACCTGAACATAGCTTAGCTTGCTTCTGAAGAGCTTCTGTAAAAATACGAATTTACAAGGCCCGTTTTCTTTGACATAAAAAGCTTTCTATGTCCTAGGTATGTATATGTCAGTTTCTGGTATTTTACACATTGAACAAAATTCAGTGACATAGTAAAGGCTTTAAAAAACAGTATTTTTTTTTTTTTTTGCCACTGTAAAGAAAAAAACTTTAGTGGTGAATTGAGGTAATTCTATTAGAATATCCAAATATTTGGATTTGAAGAAAATTCAACTTTTCCTTTAAGATATCAAAATCTTAATGTAATATAAATATCAATACTATCTTAATAGCTAGTTATTAATTTAATAACTAAACTAACACTAAAAAGTAGAAAAGAAAAATATTAAGCCACACAAATTCAAAATGTACATTATGAATTGGCCAAAAGCCTGAGTATTTATCTTTAAGGGAAATGTAGTTTTATCATTTTTAAGAACATCACATAGACTAAAATTAATTAGGGAAATTCTGCCTTATAGATTGTAACAGAAAATTGTTTTAATACATTGGTAAATATTATTTCTAATCTTTTTTTGAAATTTTTTATTATTCATTCTGTTCCTCATTCTACTTTCTCTACAGATTTTTTCTAACATATTTTTCAGCTTCAAACTTTTAAAAATTTATTTATTTATTTGTTTATTTTATTTATTTTTTAATGGAGAGGAGGTTTCACCATGTTGTCCAGACTGGTCTCCAACTCCTGAGCTCAAGTGATCCACCTGCTTCAGCCTCCCAAAGCACTGGGATTATAGGCATG
This sequence comes from Homo sapiens, assembly GCF_000001405.40. NCBI lineage: Eukaryota > Metazoa > Chordata > Mammalia > Primates > Hominidae > Homo > Homo sapiens. The sequence continues at coordinate 46,562,502 of NC_000006.12, read as the reverse complement.
AGCCACCATGCCTGGCCTTTAAAATGTATTTACTTTAAATGACAAGTAAAAATTATGATGTACTATATGATGCTTTGAATATGTACATGTTGTAAAATGGCCAAGTTAAGCTGTTTAAGATAGGCATTATGTCACATACTTTTTTTTTTGAGGTGAGAACACTTAAAATCTACTCTCTTAGTCTGGACACAGTGGCTCATGCCTATAATCCCAGCACTTTGGGAGGCCAAGGTGGGTGGATCACCTGAGGTCAGGAGTTCAAGACCAGCCTGGCCAACATGGTGAAACACCATCTGTACTAAAAATACAAAAGTTAGCCAGTTGTGGTGGCAGGTGCCTGTAATCCCAGCTACTCAGGAGGCTGAGGGAGGAGAATCACTTGAACCCAGGAGGCGGAGGTTGCAGTGAGCCAAGATCGTACCACTGCACTCCAGCTTGGGCAACAGAGTGAGACTGTCTCAAAAAACAAACAAACAAACAAACTACTCTCTTAGCAACTTTCATATTGTTATTAACTGTAGCCACCATGATATACAATCAGTATATTGAACTTATTCCTCCTGTCTAACTGAAATGTGTCCCTTGAATAACATTTCCCCAACTCCCCTAACCCCAGCCTTTGGTAACCACTATTTCTAATTATTTCTAATCAAAATATGCACGGTATTTCTAAAATGTTTAATATTGTGCTCTTAACTTATGAACGTTGATCTTGTTTGCATTTCTCATTTGCTTAGCAAATTATTTTAGGGATCCAGGAAGTATTTATTGAATACCTCCTATATGTTGTAATAAAGCTTCGAGAAACCCCGTTTCCACACCTAGATATAATTGTTCAATCAGCACAATCTATTGAGGGGCACTTTCGTTATTAAAGTCCCAACACTGTCACATGGCACATTCAAACCCCCCTTGAACCGGCTCCTCCTGCACTGTCCAGCTTCATCTCTCATCACCTCACCTTCTGCATGGAGTCAACAACTTGCAGGTCCCTAGATACTATTTTTCTTCTAAGTCTGTCCCTTGGAATGGATTTTCTCTCTGCCAAGTGTACCTTCTTCACTTGCGCAGCTCCCATACTGCACCCTCAAATTGTTGACTGTCTTTTTCGCTTGTTGCAGTGCCTCTAGGGACTTGAGAGGAAGAGTGGCAGGGGCCTTTTATCCCAGGATGCTGAACTCAGAGAAGTTGGAAATCACTGCACTGGTCAATAGCAAGCTTATATTAGAGAAGGGCTTAAAACAATGATAAGGAGATAGGATTTATTTGAATAAAGCAAGGAACCTACAAAACTGTTCTATAATTCACAAATACAAAATTAGCCAGCATTTTTTCTAGAGCTGCCAAGTAAATATTGAATGCTAGGAAGTCACTACTTCCTAATATTCTACCAAACATGAAATGCCAACTTAGTTATTTGAAAAAGTGAGCTCATTTAATTTACTTGTAGGAAGAGAGCTAAGTACTGAAAAGAAGTGGTTACTTTATGTAAGTGGGAGCTTGATGTCTAATTTCACATATTGGTGCTTTTTGCCTTCTTTCCATTTGATAGGCTGGCTCACACCTTCCATGAAACACTTTATTTATGGGGTTGCAGACACACCACCTTCCTTTATTATTCTACCTTTTGGCCTGCTTCTTTCCCATCTCCTTTGCTCATCTTCCTCAATTTCCTGACTTCCAAATTTTGGATTACCCCAGGGCTCCTTCCGTAGATTTTTTTTAATCAAGTTTATTTAACTCACTCTGTAAGTGATCTCATACTGCCCCATGGCTTTAAATAATTGTCTAAATAATGATGACTCTTATATTTATAAATCTTCTATCTCTGACCCTGAATGAATCCTTCCTAATCATGGGGCTCATTACTTAGCTTCCATTCAACATCTTCTTTGGATATCTAAAAGGCACTGGTCTATAGAGAGCTGTACTTAAGTCCAAAACTGAGCTCCAGATTACAATTCCCTCAACCTCCTCTTCCTTCAATCTTCCCCATTTCTGAGGTAAACAACAGCTGTATCCTTGCATTTCCTCAAGTCGAAAACTTTGGAGTCATCCTTGATTCCTTTATATTCTTCACATGTATAATGTAAACCATCAGTCCATCCTACAGAATATATCCAGACTCTAACTATGGCTTACAACTATTTCTACCATCCTGTTCTAAGTCACCACTTTCTATTGTCTGGAAAATTGTAGTGGCTTTCTTATCACTCTTTTCGCTTCCATTCATCTCACCCTATATTTTATTCTCAGTGTAGCAACTGAAGGATCCTTTCAGAGCTTGTCATACTTCTCAAAACTGTCCAGTAGCTTCCCATCTCAATACTAGCCTTCTCATCATTTCTCATTCTTCTAACTCTGGATTTTTGCACCTTTTATGGCTCACCCTCTTATTTTATTCTAGGGTCTGATAAAATGTCACCTCATCAGAGAGACCTTCCTTCTCTAAAATATTTTAGCCCACACCTCCATCAACTTTCTTTCCTGTTCTTATTTATTATTCTAGAATGCATTCTACTAGAATTTAAGCTTTATGAGAACATGAATATTGTTTTTGTTTACTGGGGTGACTTCAGTGCTTAGAAGTATATAAAGCACATAAGGACACAATAAACATCGAATGAATGAATGAATGAATGGGGGTCTTATTTTATTGTTAGAACTCTTAGTGTATAATCTAAGTGTCGCTTTACTGTTCCCATAAAAGTCACTTTTTTTCAAAGGAGAAGAGAGAAAAGACAGGTGTGTTACATTCACAACCTAGTTATCCATTTAAATTTGACCCTTGGTGTTCTGCAGTCTTTGCTGAGCTCCCAGCTCCTCCACGTGCTACCACCCACAGCACTGAAAATGAGATGCTGCTTTTTTCAGATCATCTCCAGCAGAGGGATGAAAGTGAGGCTACTCATGCTTCCTGCCATTATATCACCTCTTTACTTTCCACTGCACTATCACACAAGATAGTGTAAATGTGTCAGTTCTTATGGAATTTTTAGGGTAAGCAAATTACAGCATAGGTAGGGAAATATTAAAATTGTACATAAAATGTTTATTTTCCTATAGTCCTAGAGAAAAGTACTTAAATTGAGCACTTCACAGAAGGTTCCTTTTTCCTAACCTTATATGCCTTTACATGGCAATGTGTTTGTCTCTTTTGCAAAATAGTCACAGAGCAGCTGCCCTCCTTTTAGTCTCATCCCTCCTCTGAGAAGCTGATTTTTCTCCAAGATATATCACCACCCTTCCTCCCTAGGTCATTTCTCAGTCTGAGTATAGAGTAACATGAGGGGCTTTAGCAGGACTGTCCATGGTTGTCCTTGGGACTTGAGTTCCTCAAAACTGTTCATTGCGGGCACAGGCACACTATGTTCCTTAAGACCTGCCCAAATATTAATTCTTTTAAATTTTCTACTGAATGAATGGTTGATTGTCATTTCAACATCAGTCTCTTTCTCTCTTTTACACAATTCCCAAAGACCATCACCTTTTTTTTTTTTTTTTTTTTGAGATGGAGTCTTGCTCTGTCACCAGGTTGGAGCGCAGTGGCGCGATCTCGGCTCACTGCACCCCCTGCTTCCCAGGTTCAAGCAATTCTCCTGCCTCAGCCTCCTGAGTAGCTGGGATTACAGGTGCGTGCCACCACGCCCAGCTAATTTTTCTATTTTTAGTAGAGACGGGGTTTCACCATGTTGGTCAGGCTGGTCTCAATCTCATGACCTAGTAATCCACCCACCTCGGCCTCCCAAAGTGCTGGGATTATAGGCATGAGCCACCGTGCCCGGCCGACAATCACCTTTTTTCCTAATGCATGCTATAATCTAAATCCTTACGGAGAAAATTAAATATTTACCCCCAGATTACTTAGGCTGATCTCTCTCATGGTAAAATTAGTGCATTATTAGAAAGAACAGTGATATAGTTTGCCTCTGTGTCCCCACCCAAATCTCATGTTGAATTATAATCTCCACATTTGGAGGAGGAGGGGCCTGGTAGGAGGTGATTGAATCATGGGGGTGAACTTCCCCCTTGATGTTCGTGATAGTGAATGAGTTCTCACGAGATATGATGGTGTAAAAGTGTGTGGCACTTCCCCCTTTGCTCGCTTTCTCTCTCCGGCCACCATGTGAAGAAGGAGCTTGCTTCCCCTTCACCTTCTGCCATGATTGCAAGTTTCCTGAGGCTTCCCAGTCATGCTTCCTGTTAAGCCTGCAGAACTGTGAGTCAATTAAACCTCTTTTTTTTTCATAAATTCCCAAGTCTTAGATAAGTTCTTTTCACAGTGTGAGAACAGATGAATACAAACAGTATTAGCTCCCTTTCTTTATACCTTGACTGCTTATTATTTTTCTTTCTATTCTTTAAACACATTGTAAGTCCTTTGGCTTGCATTGTTTCCAGTGAAAAGTCTATGTTAACTTTTAATGTTTGTTGTTCTTTATGGTGTCTTTGTTTTCTGGCTACTTAATTTTTTTAATCCCTGGGTTTATTTATTAATTGCAATTTGATTATGATTCACATTAGCATGATTTTCTTTTTCTTTTTTTCTTTTTTTTTTTTTTTTTTTTTGAGATGGAGTCTTGCTGTCTCCCAGGCTGGAATGCAGTGGTGCGATCTCAGCTCATTGCAAACTCTGCCTCCGGAGTTCAAGCAATTCTCTGCCTCAGCCTCCGCAGTAGCTGGGATTACAGGCACCCACCACCACACCTGGCTAATTTTTGTATTTTTAGTAGAGATGGGATTTCACCATCTTGGCCAGGCTGGTCTTGAACTCCTGACTTCATGATCTGCCCTCCTCGGCCTCCCAAAATACTGGGATTACAAGTGTGAGCCACTGTGCCTTGCTTTTTTTTTTTTTTAAAGACAGAGTTCTGCTCTGTTGCCCAGGCTGGAGTGTAGTGGCACAATCTTGGCTCCGTGCAACCTCCTCCTCCCTGGTTCAAGCTATTCTCTTGCCTCAGCCTCCCAAGTAGCTGGGATTACAGGCACACACCACCGTGCCCAGCTAATATTTTTGTATTTTTATTAGAGACGAGGTTTGGCTATGTTGGCCAAGCTGGTCTCAAACTCCTGGCCTCAGGTCATCTACCTGCCTCAGCCTTCCAAAGTGCTGAGATTACAGGCATGAACCACTGCACCCAGTCGGCATGATTTTCTTTATATTTCTTCTGCTTGGGGGTCTTGATCTGTAAATTATAGTTTTCAAAAAAATTTGAAAATGTTTCACTATTACTTCTCAAAATATTTTCCCTGCTTGGTCATCTATATCTCTAATAACATGTATGTTAGACTTCGTTATTTTATAAGTTAATAACCTATTTATTTTTATAGGCTTTTATTCTGTGTACTTCATTTTAGATATTTTTCTTTGTTATGTTAATTAAATTCCATTATCTTTTCTTTGGCAGCATTTTACCATCTGTTAATCCCATCCAGTTTATTTTTCATTTAAGATATTGTATTTTTCATTGCTAGAAGCACAATTATTTTTAAAATATCTTATCTTTCTCTCCTCATCATGCTGTTCTTTTCTACCTTTATGAACCTGTGGAGTATAATAACTATTTTTAATATCTGTCATTTCTGGGCCTATATTTTTTCAATGGGCTTTCTCTTGGATTGAGGTCATTTTTCTGTTTTGTTTTTTCTAAGCCTGTTAACTTTTGAATAGATGGCAAGACGTAAATGTTAAGTGCCATGGATACTGGGTTGTGTTGTATTCTTTTAGTTTAGACCTCATTATGACATGCAGTTAGTTGCTTAGAAAAACAACTTTGCAAAACTTGTTTTTAAGCTTCAGTAAGGTAAATCCAGAGCGCCATTTAATGTAAAATAATCTAATCCCACTACTAAGGCAATACCCATTTAAGAGCTCTAGCTAATGGTCCATGTGCTGTACAATGGTGAGACTTTTTCTTGTGTGAACACAGCCTCCATGTCTTGTGTGAGCTCTTGGCCTTATTCAGCTTCTTGTGCTTTGATTTCCCTTTTGTGGTTCTTTTTCCGTCTCAGTAGTTTTCTCTCACACATGCAGAGATCAGTACTCTGCCAAATACTCAAGTAGACTCCTATCTAGATCCCTGGAATACTCTTGTGCGCTCTCTTTCTGTGAAACTCCTTCTTTTCTGATACTCTTCTCTACAAATTTTAGTCTCTTTAGCTTGCCTGAACTTGGATCTCTGTCTGCTGAATTAATAATACTCTCAGACCTGTGAGTTTTTTCTGTCCTTGCACTGTGGCCTGAAGACTGCCAGAAGCAGGAAACCGAAGCAATCATGGGTTTCGTCTCATTCTTTACTTCCTCTGGAGATCTTTGTCCTACACTGGAGTTTGCCCCGTTTTTGAGTTATTTAAGGCAGGAAGATAACACCAACTTTTGTTACTTTATCATGGCCAGGAATGGAAATTCCAATTTGTGAAAAGTTTGACAAAACCTTAGTTGTGAGACATTCTGAACCTTTATGTGAGTTAGCAAAGTTGTTTTTTCTTAGAAACATTGCTGACTTTGATCCAAATCAGTAAATATTAGCCATGTCCTATTTCATAGACATGGATACCCTTTTAGAATAAATTATCTTTAGCATTTGCAAGTAAGTAGGGTTAAATTTGCATCATAAATATTACTGAATAATTGATGTGATATTCAGATGGATTATAGCCACACCTGGAGTGCTCCAGATTTCATTTGAAATAAAATACAGTCAAGATGTTTCAAGAACAGTAGTGCAGAAAAATCTAATTATTTGATATGAATATGAGATCATTGATATGTATACATTCACTCATTCAATCAACAAACATTGATGATTTAAAGATAAGACATAGTTCCTGCTTTTTGTGAAGGCTGTAGTCTATAAGGGAAGACAGACATGCAAATTCTAGCTGTAATATAGTAAGATATAGTAGGATTGTAGGATAAAGGCATTAGTTAAGGGATATGTAAAGTGCCACAGAAATACAGAGACAGGTGGAAAGGGCAGGAAATTGAATCTTCTCTATGGAAGGCATCACTTTCCATCACTATTCATTTATTCAGTTAACATTATTAGGTACTAATAGTGTGCTGTGCACTGTGCTAAGGCCTCATAATACAAATCCTCCTCTGGGAGAGCCCTGGCTAACAAGCAATCACAATGTGGTGCAGTAGCAGCTGTGGCTAAGATGTGACCAGGGAACCATGTGGTGGAGAGGAAGGGCACTACAGCCTGGAGGACAGTTATCAGGAAATGCTTCCAGAGGAGATTGAGCCTCAGAAAGGGAAAGGCTTGTGGCACAGAGCATCATCATTCAGAGAATGTCAAGTAATATAACGTGGCTAGAGCCACATGGTGTCAAGGGGGAGCTCTGGGGGAGAGGAGACTGCAGAGATAGGTAAGGGGCAGATCTTCAAGGGCTGGCTGTATTCTGCTGTGGTGTTTGAAAGATTGCGTGTGTGTGTGTGTGTGTGTGTGTCTGTGTCTGCGTGTGTGTGTAATGAGGAGATAGTGAAGATATGTGTTTTAGAAAGTTTACTCCAGTGGTAGGGTAAAGGACAGAGTAGAGGGAAGTGAAACTGGAAGCCATGTGGAAGGTAAATTGATTCAGTAATCCAGGAAATAAATGATGAAGAACTACACTGAGGGAGTCATGGAGGGACTGGAGATAAGGGGTTAAGGAGGAGAATTAAGAGCTATTTAGGAGAACCATAAAAAAAGGACTTGGTGCCTAATTGGATATGGAGGGTGATGGAGAGGATTTAGTCTATGACAATGTTCTGTCCCGTTGGACTAATTGTATTCATTAAGGGCTATGCTTCCTAAAAGGTTTCCCTATCCTGCAGAGAGTTCAAAACAACCCAATGGGACACAGGGAAAAATAACAGAATTCTATTTATACTTTTTTCAGTTTTTTAGTTTCTATTTGTATGTGTCTTAGAAAATAGTCTCTAAACAGTGTAGTATATGTGCATAATTTAAAATAAATGAGTATCAATATATTGTAGGGCATGCTGAAATATTTTATTATCAAGAGTGTGTGATCAAAATGCTTGGGCACTCTTAGACAAGGAGTGCAAAAGGAAAAGTGGATTTAGAGGTCCTGGGGAATTTGATGTTCCTGTAGAACATTCAGGCAGTAATTTCCAGTGGGCAACAGGATCTAGACTTAGGTAGGACTGTCCAATAGAGCCTTCTGTGATCATGGAAATATCTTAAATATACACTGTCCAGTATAGTAGCCTGTAACCACATGCAGCTTTTGAGCACTTGAAATATGGCCAGTGCAACCGAGGAACTGAAATTTTCCATTTTGCTTAATCTTAAACTTATTTATTAAATGTATTTAAATTGAAATAGCCACTTGTATCTAATGGCTATGATACTGGAAAGCACAGTCCTAAAGAGAGAGACTTGGGACTGTCATTTATTGAGAGCTCCCACTGGCTCAGCACTTTATATACATTTTAAAGCAATTTAATCATCCCGCTACCCTATGGAGTAGGTGGTATTAAGAAAGAGTTAAGTTCTTACTCTGTCCTTTAAATAGGAAAAGAGTATATTGTAAAGAAGAGCATGTTTACTCTGAAATATGTATGCTTTCTAGATATTCTCTGTTGGCAGATATTTATACATCTTTCACAATCAAGTAACAATTTTATTCGTTTCTTCCAGGTGGTTTGCTCTGTTAGAGGTTCAGATGTGTATTATTTTAATACTTTATAAATATGACTGTAGTCTTCTGGACCCATTACCCAAACAGGTAAGTGTTTTCAGAATTTTGAGTATCATGACTACTTATAAATATGACATAACCACCCCCACTTCCCCCAATTTTGATTACTAGAGATGAGCTGACATTTCCTCACTTAGGCCTGATCTTAACAGGTGCCTTAGATTGAACCAGACTGAGAAGATACTCGGTCTCCTTAATTCAGGATCTAATCTATGTACCCAATTACTACCTGACTGGGACTTAATAGCAGTCTTTCCACCACTTCCAGTGTTAGGAGCTCTTCATTGCACTTACCAATTTGAACACTTTTCTCTGAGTTAAATAAACATGGCGCCCACTTTGCCCTTATTTTTCTAGAAAGGAATGTCTGTGATCCAAATGTGAACTATTGTTTTTAATGCAAGTCATAACCCTTGGTCCATCTGAAAAGGAACAGCATGGAAAAAAACTAACCTAGCAGTAAAAACAGTGAACAGAAATGAAAAGGTCATGGTTTTATTCCTACCTCAAACTATTGAATATTCAGTCATTTAAGTTTTCTGTAGATCTATTCTCATAGATCAGTGGCTCTCGAATTGGTGTGAGCATCAGCATCACTAGTAGGGCTTGTTAGAACAGACTGTATAAAGGTGCTATTTATCGCTAGAATTTCTGATCCAGTAGGAACAGGGGAGGGGCTACAGAATTGCATTTCTTTCCTTTTTTTTTTTTTTTTTTTTTGGTTGGGGGGTTGTTTTTTATTTGTTTTTGAGACAGAGTCTCCAAACACTGTGAGCTGAGTTCAGTGGCACAATCTCAGCTCACTGCAGCCTCCGCCTCCTGGGTTCAAGTGGTTCTCATGCCTCAGCCTCCCTGGTAACTGGGCCTGCAGGCGCACACCACCATGCCTGGCTAATTTTTTGTATTTTTAGTAGAGATGTTGTTTTGCCATGTTGGCCACGCTGGTCTCCCAAAGTGCTGGGATTACAGGCATGAGCCACAGCACCTGGCCCAGAATTTGCATTTCTAACAAGCTCCAGGTGATGCCGCTGCTGCTGCTGCTTGTCTGGGTGCCACACTTTGAGGACCTCTGTTGTAAGAAATAAAAGGAAGTTCAATTTAAATCCAAATGTTTGGAAATCATGTGAAAACTTTGGGTAAAGGGTGCTATTTAAATTGGGGCTGAAGCTCAGAAATTAAGGATTGCAATCTCAGAGCTATTCACATAGCGTTTTGTGCTTTGATTTACTCTTGATATAATAAGGCTAATGTATGGAGAGATAAATAAAACTCTTAGGTGACATTTCAATAGGAATTATGTAAGTGCGTAAGTGACACAGAAAGTATTTTATTACTCACAAATATGCACATTTCAGCATTTCACTTGATTTCTTTTGCACTTCTATTTTGAGGACGAGTAACTTATCGGTGATGAAGAGCTCTCAGAATCTTACAATGAAAGGGAACTCAAAACAACTCTCACAAAGGGTCTCAGCTACCTGCTATATTGTTGACAAAATGAACATCAGGGTCAGGCTTTATGGACATCAAATACTAGTTCCTGATCCACTGAGTTGAATGTCACAATTTTGCTCAAGGTTAAACTCAACATCCAAAGATTTTCTCACCAGCAAGAGGACACCAGAATGCCTTTTCAGGTGAAAAGGATGGCATTGGTTAAAACCATGGAGATTAGTAATTTTGACCAATTCCTTAAGACAGGATTTTTCCTAGCATTTTCTCCTAAGAATTCTATTATCTGTATTTAATTTCTTATACTATTTTATATATGTCCTATTTATGTTTTGACACCACTGAGAACACTTTTTAAAGAAATGTTCTCTCAGGTTATAAAAAGTACAAGTCTGAGTGAATTCCCATGATCTCAAAGAGCATTTTATCTCACAATTCTTATTCTAGAATGAGAAACATCAATTAACTTTATTTAACTATTGAACTTGTTTCAATAAATTATAAAATCAGGTGACCAGAAAGTACAGGAAATGGCCGTCAAATCACCAGGCTCTTCTAGGAGAAGGCAGGGATGGGTTGTCAAAGCATGTCCTGAACACTCTGTTGTCAGGTGCAGGGGAAATCAGTGGACTTGGAAACCAACTCCCCTGAAGGAATTTACTTAACATAGTAGAAAAAATCAAATGCTAGAATCTCCAATTTTAATTTTGCAACAGCCCAATGTTTTATTTTACCTCAAAAGGCCTTAAATAATGTAGTGTTAATTCTCTTCCATTATGAATCAAACAAAAAGGAAATACTACAAAGTTTAAGGATCTGTGGTCAGGCAGCAGTGTCCTGATGCTAGCAGTGAGGGCTGTTCCATTTTGAGCATTAAGGAAAAGTCAACTTTAATTCTCTTGCAAAAGCAAGCACATTTTTGCTAACACAATGGGTTTTTATTTCTTTGTATGGTTGTTTTTTTTTTTTTTTCATTTTACTTTTGGGGTTCATAGAACCTTAGGAAATCTCACAAAATGCATGGATCCCCTTTGTAGAAAAGTGCATACTTCTTCATACACACAAAGTTGTGGATGCAATTTCAGTGGGTTCGTGGAACCCTGCAACTTATTCTTTCAACTCTCCAAAGAATCTCCTTGCTAAAGAGCCCATTTTGTGCCCTATTTCATTCAAACTTGAAAATAGACTGATTCTAAATTGGATCCACCTCATCTTTCCTCACTCCTCATCTTCCCTCAGCCCTCATGGTTGACAGAAAATGTTCCTTTTCTTTTTTAATCCCCTAAACCTCAAATATCTCTTTGTATTATTTACAATACGCTGACCTCCCCTTGACCCTACACAGTTTCATATCTTATTTCTAACTCGGGCGAAAAAAGTCAGAATATTTGGAGCCTACAAAGTATCTTTATGGGGGCGATGGAGTGAGACTCCTCTCAAAAAAAATATATCTTTATGGAAAGTCACGATCATGAATACGCTATAAGTGGCTCACATCACCAACTCCACATCATTCTTTAAACACCTGTAACCTGCAGTATGGAGATCTCACTCAGCGATTCTAAATGAAGTGTCACAGTTTTTGAGCCAGAATTGTAGAAAGAGCCTTATTTGTGGTAACCTCTTTAGCCAGATAAAGCGAAGGGTGGCAGGCCTATAGCCTTCAGGTGTGTACAACTAAAGAGATTGTTATTAGAATAAGGAATTGTATTCTTTTTCTTCTGCCTGAATGGAAGGCTAAAGTTGATGTTGGATATTGTGAAGTTCATTGATGCAAACATTTCCCAACTTGAAAAACCTAAATTTTGTACTTTTTAGAGAAGATTACAATGGAATAAACCTTAGGTCTGAAACTGTGGACTTATGTCTCTTAATTTCTATTTCTTCTGCATTTCTGTTTTTAGAGTTATCTCCATTTGGTGGGTGTCCCCCAGCCGGAAGGGCAATGCCGAATTGAATATAAACAAAGAATATGACATCTGTTGGGCCTCACAAGGACCAGGGCCTTCTGGAGGAGTGGCACTACCCCACCTGGCAGCACCTAGACCTGAGCTCTACAAAAACACACTGCTTCACTTTGTTTTAGGACTTAGTTCAAGAACACATTCAAATGGTGCATGTGTTTGGTATCTTCAACAGTAGACCAAGAATCTAACATCACTCTCAGTAATATAGAGACCGGAATACATGGTTTATAGGAAATGATCAAATGATCCAAAAAAACTCCACATTTTTTAAGAAGTTGGAATTTGATTTCATGCATAACTGTATTAAAACATTAAATAGAAATAATGTCATTTGAATGAAAATCTTATCACATTAAATTCACTGTGAAGGCAGCATACTTAAATTTTTATTTTGAAAAGTCTAAAAGGCTTAGATTTTTAAAATTTAATAATTATTTCTACAAATTTTCTATTTTTCTTGAGGTGATTCTCAACTAGCAATTGGAACTCCTAGGCTCTATTAACATAATTCTTTATTGTAAACGTATCTAATGCTAAAAGTAATAAAATGGTAGTTTTCTGAGACCTGTGAGGACAGGAATGGTGTCTTACATTCATTTCTACACTTTATTATGCTCAGGATTGCACCTTCTTTACAGAGTATATTCAATAAATGTATGTTGATTGATGTATTGATTTATATTTTAATTAACCTGGAAGCATTGTTTTGACTCAAAGTGTTTGCAATTATAGTTTGGCAGATACCATATTTTTGCTAATGCATAGAAACACAAATATAACGGTATGCCAAGACAAGTAACTGTAGTGGAATCTATTAAAGACTTATAACTGTCAAGTATTTACCATGAAATCCAGAAAAGAAATCTTACCATGTTCAGGAAAACATATGACACTAATAACAGAGTGAACACTTATGTCATAATTTATCTTCCAGTATTATATAAAGTGCTGCTTGCCTCTCTTATTTCACAGTGAGGAAGCTTTGTGTGGTGCATGTTGTTCTTCTGTGGCTTATTTGCTTCCCTGGGCTAGAATTATCCCATGAGGTTGATAATGATTGCTTAGTCATCCATTTCCTACTAGCAAGCACATGACTCCCTAGGAGAAAATTAAGTACTTTGAGGTGCATTAACTCTTCCAGACTAATGTAGTGATTTTGAAGCTGAGTTAGTAGCTCACAGCTTAGCTTACAGGCTCAGGGATCTGGAGTCAGAAGGAGCTGAAGAAAGCAGTTCAGAAGTCCACAACATCTCTGAAAGTTGCAGACTATAACTTGGCAGGTTCTACTGAATATGGCAGGTGCATTTTGAGGGAAGGTTTCTTCTCCCAAACAGCTAAGGGTCGCAATGAAGCACTGTATTTGCATACAGTATCCACTTTAGCCAAATTTGCAGTCACTCAGAGCTAGTGTTTAGCTGCTTTTTCTTGCTCAGTAAGGATGAATGTTGGCTGACAAGTTTATGCACTTTAAAAAAGAATGCAGACACAGGAGATCTGTTGACCTTTGGGATAATGAATAGTTAAGAGGAATATACTTGGAAGTCCCATATTTCATTTTGTTTCCCTAGCCTGGGGTTTTATATTATATATAAGTATACATTCAGCATAAATTCTCATGTGTTAACTGGGATTTTACTGAAAGCAGAGCCTGAGATAGGACTTGTGTGCAGATAGCTTATTTGGGATGTTCTTGCAGGTAGCATAAGTGAGGGATCAGGAAGAGAGTAAGTCATTATTAAGGTTCTGTTTTTGAGGTAGGTGTTAGAGCATCAAGAGCTCAATTTCACTGGGATCACCTGAGAATAATATATAATACTTCCTAGAATTGTCCATATTAAAGATAAGAAGTAGAAGCAATTATTGACTGGCTTCTGTTTCCCATTTATTAATGATTACCTCTGGGGATGTTAACCCTGCACTTCCAAGCTACATTTGTTTGTGGACTGAGCAAAAGTATCAGGTGGAAAGGGAAGGAAGTGAAGGCAGAAGAAGGACGATAAGAAGAAGCAGTAGGAGGGGTAGGCATCCTTGAGGCTGAAAAGGAAGTGTAGTGGGAATAAATGAGTGAGAGCTGGGAGGGTAGAAGGTAGAGAAAAAACTGTCTCAAATTAAAAGTTTAGAGGACAAACAGGTGGGGGATGACAGTGTTAATGATGAGCACGTGAGGGGTTGCCAGAGTGGGGGTTAGCTGAAGAGAATGGAATGATGAATGTTTTGATTATCTTTTAATATGAAAGTGAGATCACCTATATGCAGAACATTGTCGTGGAGATAGCCATTTTGGCACTTGTGATAGTAGAAGTTGACCTTCCTTTTCCTTATACAAAGGAAATAAATTGGCATAGATTATAATTTAATTTATACTTTACATACTGAAACAAAATAATTTATGTATTTACTGACAGAACTGCAGAGGTAAATGGTGGTGCAATTGAACATTTGTAATTAAAGCAAGAAATTAGGGAGGAAGGCCATTAAAACTTAAAGTAGGAAGTTCCCTGCCAAAACATAAGTGTAAGCATTAAGTCAGAGTTTGCACTCATTTATAGGGAAGTCATTTTAAGATTTTATTGACTGACTGATTAATTGATTGAGACAGGGTCTCTGCTCTGTTGCCCAGGCTGGAGTGTAGTGGTGCCATCAGGGCTCACTGCAGCCTCAACTTCCTGGACTTAAGTGATCCTCCAGCCTCAGTAACCCTCCCTCCCCCTGTCCACTCCCAGTAGCTGGGACTATAGGCACATGCCAACATGCATGGCTATTTTTTTTCCCATTCTTTTTGTAGAGACAGGGCCTCTCACCATATTTCCCAGGCGAGTCTCAAACTCCTATATGAAGTGATCCTCCCACGTCAGTCTTCCAAAGTGTTGGGGATATAGGCATGAGCAAGATTTTAATATGGAAAAAAAAAGAGAAGTAATCACCCATGGCTGCTTAACATTTTTTTTTAATTTTTAATTTTTGTGGGTACATAGTAGGTGTATATATTTATGGGTTACATGAGATGTTTTGATACAGGCAGGCAATGCATAATACTCACATTATGGAGAATGTGGTATCCATCCCCCTTACGCATTTATCCTTTATGTTACAAACAATCCAATTATACTCATAGTTATTTTTAAATGTACGAGTAAATTATTATTGAGTATAGTCACCCTGTTGTACTATCCAATAGTAAGTCTTATTTATTCTTTCTAATTTTGTGTGTGTGTGTGTGTGTGTGTTTACTTATTAACCATTCCCACCTCCTACCCACCCCACCCTCTGCCACCATACTCTTCTTCCCGGCCTCTGGTAACCGTCCTTCTACTTTCTATCTCCATGCGTTCAATTGCTTTGATTTTCAGATCCCACAAATAAGTGAGAACATGTGATGTTTATCTTTCTGTGCCTGGCTTATTTCACTTAACATAATGATCTCCAGTTTCATCTATGTTGTTGCAAATGACAGGGTCTCATTGTTTTTATGGCTGAATAGTATTCTGTTGTGTATATGTACCACATTTTCGACTATTGCAAACAGTGCTGCAACAAACATGGGAGTGCAGATAATCTCTTTGATATTTTGATTTCCTTTCTTTTGGGTGTATATTCAGCAGTGGAATTGCTGGATCATATGGTAGCTCAATTTTTAGTTTTCTGAGGAATCTCCAAACTGTTCTCCATAGTGGTTGTTCTAATTTACGTTCCTACCAACCATGTATGAGGGTTTCCCTTTACCCCACCTCCTCGCCAGCATTGCCTGTCTTTTGGATAAAAGCCATTTTAACTGTAGTGAGGTGATTTCTCATTGTAGTTTCAATTTGCATTTCTCTGATGATCAGTGATGTTGGGCACTAATTCATGTGCCTGTTTTGACATTTGTATGTCTTCTTTTGAGAAATGTCTATTCAAATCTTTTGCCCATTTTTTGACAGGATTATTAGATTTTTCTCCTATGGAGGTGAACTCCTTATATATTCTGATTATTAATCCCTTGCCAGATGGGTAGTTTGCAAATATTTTTCCCCATTCTTTCTGTGGGTTGTCTCTTAACTTGGTTGATTGTTTCCTTTGCTGTGCAGAATCTTTTTAACTTGATGTAATCCTATTTGTCCATTTTTTCTTTGGTTGCCTGTGCTTGTGGGGTATTACTCAATAAATTTTTGCCCAGAACAATGTTCTGGAGATTTTCCCCCAATGTCTCTTTGTAGCAGTTTCATAGTTTGAGGTCTTAAAGTCTTTAATTCATTTTGATTTGATTTTTTATATGGTGAGAGATGGTAGTCTAGTTTCATTCTTCTGCGTGTGGATATCCAGTTTTCCCAGCACCATTTATTGAAGATATTTTTTTTTCCCAATGTATGTTCCTGGCACCTTTGTCAAAAATGAGTTCACTGTAGGTGTGTGGATTTGTTTCTGGTTTCCCTGTTCTGTTCCACCTGTCTATGTGTTTCTTTTTTATGCCAGTACCATGCTGTTTTGGTCACTATAGCTCTGTAGTATAATTTGAAGTCAGGTAATATGGTTCCTCTAGTTTTGATCTTTTTTTTTGCTTAGGATAGCTTTGGCTATTCTGGGCCTTTTGAAGTCCATATATTATAAATTTTAGGATTTTTTTTTCTATTTCTGTGAAGATTGTCATTGGTATTTTAATAGGGATTGCATTGAATCTGTAGATTGCTTTGGGTAGTATGGCCATTTTAACAATATTGATTCTTCCAATCCCTGAACAAGGAATATCTTTCCAATTTTTGATGTCCACTTCAATTTCCTTCATCAGTATGTCATGGTTTTCATTATAGTGATCTTTTGCTTCTGTAGTTAATTCCTAGGTATTTAATTTTATGTATGGCTATTGTAAATGGAATTACTTTTAAAATTTCTTTTCCAGTTTATTCACTGTTGACATATAGAAATGCTACTGATTTTTTATGTCGGTTTTGTATCTTGAAACGTTATTTAATTTGTTTATCAGTTCAAATAGTTTTTTATGAAGTCTAAGTTTTTCCAAATATAAGATCGTATCATCTGCAAAAAAAGGATAATTTGACTTCTTCCTTTCCATTTTGGATTCCCTTTATTTCTTTCACCTGTCTAATTGCTCTAGCTAGGACTTCCAGTACTCCATGTTGAATAACAGTGGTGAAAGTGGTCATCCTTTTCATATTCCAGATTTTGGAAGAAGGGCTTTCAGCTTTTCCCCATTCAGTATGATACTAGCTGTGGATCTGTCATATATGCCTTTTATTATGTTGAGTTATGTTTTTTCTTTGTTTGTTTGTTTTTGAGACAGAGTGTTGCACTGTCACCCAGGCTGAAGTGCAATGGCACGATCTTGGCTCACCGCAACCTTCACCTCCCAGGTTCAAGTGATTCTCCTGCCCTAGCCTCCCGAGTAGCTGGGATTACAGGCGCTCACCACCACGCTTGGCTAATTTTTTGTATTTTTAGTAGAGACGAGGTTTCACTATGTTGGCCAGGCTAGTCTCGAATGCCTGACCTCATAATCCACCTGCCTGGCCTCCCAGAGTGCTGGGATTACAGGTGTGAGCCGCTGTGCCCCACTGAGGTATGGTTTTTCTATATCCAGTTTTTTGAGGGTTTTTTTTTTTAATCATGAAGGGATGTTGAACTTTATCAAATGCTTTTTCAGCATCAGTTGAAATGATCATATGGTTTTTGTCCTTCATTCTGTTGATATGATTTATCACATTGATTGCTTTGCATACGTTGAACCATCCTTGCATCCCAAAGATAAATCCCACTTGTTCGTGATGAATAATCTTTTAACTGAATTGTTAAATCTGACTTGTTAGTATTTTGATGAATATTTTTGCATCACTATTCAGCAGAGATATTGGCCTGTAGTTTTCTTTTATTGTTGTGTCTATGTCTCTTTTTGGTATCAGGGTAATACTGGCCTCATATAATGAGTTTGGATGGATTCCCTCCTCCTCTATTTTTCAAAATGTTTGAGTAGGGTTGGTATTAGCTCTTTAAATGTTTGCTAGAATTCATAAGTGAAATCAGCAGGTCTCAGGCTTTTCTTTACTGGGAGACGTTTTATAACAATTTCTATCTCATTTCTTGTTATGTTCAGGTTTTTGGTTTGGTCTGTTCAGGTTTTAGATTTCTTCTTGGTTCAGTCTTGGTAGGTTGTATGTGTCTAGAAATTTGTTCATTTATTCTAGATTTTCCCATTTATTAGCATATAGTTGCTCATAGTAGCCACTAATGACCCTTTGAATTTCTGCAGGATCTGTTGTAATGTCTCCTTTTTCATTTCTGATTTTTTTATTTGTATCTTCTTTTTTTCTTAGTATGGCTAAAAGTTTGTCAGTTTCATTTAACTTTTCA
The DNA here is from genome assembly GCF_000001405.40 of Homo sapiens. Taxonomy (NCBI): domain Eukaryota; kingdom Metazoa; phylum Chordata; class Mammalia; order Primates; family Hominidae; genus Homo; species Homo sapiens. Next base: position 46,544,032 of record NC_000006.12, on the reverse strand, counting down.
AAACAACAACTTTTTGTTTCATTGATCTTTTGTATTGTTTCTTCATTTCAATTTCATTTATTTCTGCTCTGATCTTTATTATTTCTTTTCTTCTACTGATTTTGGGTTTGGTTTGCTCTTGCTCTTGTAGTTCTTTAAGATGCATCATTAGGTTGTTTATTTGAAGTTTTTCTTTTTTTTATGTAGGCATTTATAGCTATATACTTCCCTTTTAATACTGCTTTTTCTGTATCCCATAGGTTTGGGTATGTTGTGTTTCCATTGTTTCCATTATCATTTGTTTCAAGAAATTTTTGGTTTCCTTTTTATTTTTTCATTGGTGCACTGGCCACTCAGGAGCATATCATTTAATTTCCATGTATTTGTATAGTTTTCAAAATTCCTATTGTTATTACTTTCTAGTTTCATTTATTGTGATCAGAGAAGATTCTTGATATTATTTTAATTCTTTAAATGTTTTAAGACTTGTTTTGTGATCCAACAAATGGTCTATCCTTAAGAATGATCCATGTATTAAGGAAAATAATATGTATTCTGCAGCCACTGGATGAAATGTTCTGTAAGTATCTATTAGGTCCATTTGGTCTATAGTGCAGATTAAGTCTGATATTTGTTGATTTTCTGTCTGGAAGATCTGTTTCATGTTGAAAGTGAAGTGTTGAAATCTCCAGCTTTTAATTTTTCTACTTGGGAGAAGAGTAGTTTACACACCACAGTTACAGTGTTATAATATTTTGTTTTTCTATGTCCTTACTATTACCAGTGAGTTTTGTACCTGATTATTTATTGCTCATTAACATACATTTCTTTCTACTGAATTACTCCTTTTAGCATTTCTTGTAGGACAGGTCTGGTGTTGATGAAATCCCTCAGTTTTTGTTTGTCTGGGAAAGTCTTTATTCCTCCTTCATGTTTGGAGGATATTTTTGCCAGATATACTATTTTAGGGTAAAAAGGTTTTTTCCTTCAGCCCTTTAAATATTTCATGCCACTCTCTGTAGGCATGCTTCATTCTTTTTTATTACTTTTTCTTTTGCCTCCTCTGTGTATTTTCAAATAGCCTGTCTTCAAGTTCACTAATTTCTTCTTCTTAAATAACAGAATTCAATTCTTTCAAATCTTTCAGAATTCTTTCCATTCTGCTGTTGAAAGATTCATGCATTCTTCAGTACACCTATTACATTTTTCAGCTCCAGAATTTCTGCTTGCACCTTTTTAATTATTTCAATCACTTTGTTAAATTTATCTGCTAGTATTCTGAACTCCTTCTCCATGTTATCTTGAATTTCTTTGAGTTTACACAAGAGAGCTATTTTGAATTCTCTGTCTGAAAGGTCCCATAACTTCGTTTTTCCAGGATTGGTCCCTGGTGCCTTATTTAGTTCATTTGGTGGGGCCATGATTTCCTGGATTGTCTTGATGCTTGTAGATGTTCATCTGTGAAGAGTTAGGTATTTATTTTAGCCCTAACAGTCTGGGAAGAAAGTACCCATCCTTCTTGGGAAGGCTTTTCAGATACTCCAAATGACTTGGGTATTGTGATCTAAGCTGTATCTGCTTTAGGGGGCACCTCAAACCCAGTAATTCTATGGTTCTTACAGCCTTGTTGAGGTCCCACCTTGATGGTCTTGGACAAAATCTGGGGTAATTCTCTAGATTACCAAGCAGAGACTCTTGTTCTCTTCCTTTACTTTCTCTAAAATATACAGCATCTCTCTCTCTCTCTATCCTGAGCCATCTGAAGCTAGGGGTAGAGTGACAGAAGCACCCATGTGGCCACCACCACTATGACTGCACTGGGTCAGACCTAAAGACAACACAGCAGAGTCTTGCCCAAAACCTGCTATAACCACTCCCTAGCTATTGCCTATGTTTGTACAAGGCCCTGGGGCTCTACAATCAGAAGGTGGCAAAACCAGCCAGGCCTGTGTAGTTCCCTCCAGGGTGGCAAGAGCCCCTAGGCCCTGGTTGTGTCCAGAGGTGCCAGGTTGGGGAACCAGGGACTACAATAAAAAACCTTAGATGTCTACGTAGTGTTCTATTGTAGTGTGACTGAGCTGCACTTGAACCACAAAATGAGTTCTTTCCACTCTTCCCTCCCTTTTCCAAAGGTAGAGGAGCCTCACTTCATGGCCACCACCACCACAGGCCCACAAAGAGTACTTCCAGACTACCGCCAATGTTCCCTTAAGTCTCAAGAGCTCTTTAGTTAACTTGTGAATGCTGCCCATCCTGGGACTCACCCTTCAGGGCAGTGGGCTCCCCTCTGGTGCAGGGCAGGTCCAGAAATGCTGTCCAAGAGCCAAGTCCTGAAATCAAGCCCAAGGGCCCCCTTGGTGCTCTGTTTCCCTGTGGCTGAGCTGGTACCTAAGGTGCAAGAGAAAGTCCCCTTTACTTTCCCCTTTGCTTTTCTCAAGCAGAAGGAGTCTCGACCCATAGTCGCCACAGCTGGGAATGTGCTGAGTCTCACCTGAAGCTAGTAAGTCTCAGACTCTCATCCGAAGCCCTTCACATAGCATCCGTGTATTGCTGATGGTCATTCAGGGTCCAAGGGCTCTTCGGTTAGCAGGCGATTAATGCTGCCAGGACTGGGTCCCTCCCTTCAAGCCATCAGGTTCTCTTCTGGCCCAGGATATGACTAGTAATGCCATCTGGGGTCTAGGGCCTGGAAAGGGAGTCTCAGGACTCTGACCAGTACCCTATCCTGCTGTGGCTGAGCTGGTATCCAAGACAAAGTCCTCCCCACTCTTCCCTCTCCTCTCCTCAAGTGGAAGGAAAGTGTCTCTTTTGGAGCTGCAAACTTTGCAGCCTGGGGTTAGAGGATGGGTGATGCCAGCTCTCCCCTAGCCCACACCAGCCAGTGTCTCAGTAAGTTGTGTGCCCCCCAGTCCACTGGCTCTGGGCCTGGTTCAGCACTAGGATTTGCCTAGATGTTGCAGTCCTTGTGACCTTGACTACCTTTCAAGTTTATTTTGGGCCCCAGAGCCCTTTCCCCCACAGTGGTGAGGATTGCGGGAACTCAAGTTCGGACCACTGGGATCAGTGATTCCCCTCTCCTGGGGTGGTTTAAATGCTCCCTTCATGGGCAGGCATCAGCTGAGTTTGGTCCAGTTTTCTTTTCTGTTATAACAGGACAGCACTGAGTTCAATGCCTCACAAGTGCTGCACTCTCCCTACCCCAGAGCCCAGAGACACTCTCTGTATCACACCACTGCTGCTGGCAGGTAGAGGAGGGGTGGTATTTGCAATTCAAGACTGTTTTTCTACCCTTTCAATGCCTCTTTTGCAATATAAAGTTGCAACTAGGTACTGTGAGTGCTTACCTGATATTTGCAATAACTATGTATCAGGTACTTGGCTAAGCCCATTTCATCCCTCAACTTATTTAATTCTCACAGTAATCCAATGAGTTAGGTTTTGTTGTTGTTGTTGTTGTTATCCCTATTTTAAAAATGAGAGAATTGGATCTTGGAAAGACTGAGTGACTTAATTGGGATCACATGGCTAGTAAGTGGCAAAGGCAGGATTTGCACCCATGGACTCTGATTCCAGAACATGTCCTCAAAACATTAAACAGAATTGCATTCTTCATAAAGAGAAAACTATTAGCTGCAAGAGATAGCACCTTGACCTTGTTGTCATCATGATCTACTCATTTAGTTCTCTCTTAACTCACAGGGAAAAAGTGGTTAGTTTGTGGGGTGAGCCTGTAGTCCCAGCTATCTGGGAGGCTGAAGTGGGAGGATAGCTTGAGCCTAGAAGTTCCAGGCTGTAGTGTGTAGTGATTGTGCACTTCAGGCTGGGCAACATAGCAAGAACCTATATCTATAAAAAATGTTTCAAAAAGTGGTTAGTTTGTTGTGTAGCCTGTATTACAAAGGAAAGAGAAAAGAGAAGTACTGTTGTGTGCTCCTCAGCATTTCTTCCTCTTCAGTTTCTTTCTCCAGATCCTTGTCCCCTTATGGGAACTGTGCCATAAACTGGCCTAGAATGAGACCTACCAGATGTGGGAGGGAGTCATTCACTGTTTTAAGGGAAAAAAATCTGATAAAATATATATTTTTAGGAAGGGCATGTAAGCGTAAACGTTGAACAAGTGTTATAAATTTGAATGATATATTATAGCATGCATTGTCTATGTGTTTATATCTACAATATAATAGACATATTAACAGCAATTGGCTTCTTTTTTGCTTTTTTTTTTTTTTTTGGAGTAGCATTCTACTTTGTTTTCTCACAAAAGTAATCCCGATCAGTAGAGACCCAATGGACTATAAGATAAAGAAGACTTATGGATTTTTCTCTTCTGGTGGAGACAGGTACCAGCTAGATACAGAATAGCCTTATTTTTAAGCTTTGTTTTCAGGTAACTTGGAATTTTGCAGAGAATTATAAAAAAAGAGAGTCTTAGAAGAGGGGGTATGGTGGTTGCTTCACAACACATGTGAACTTTCCTTTGATTTTGTTGTTGTTGAAAACTAGCATGTATAGAATTGTAATACGTAATTAGAAATACCAGCTTAACATCCTGGCTTTATTGCTTATGAAGCTAAAACACAAGCAGGAGAAATATCATGTTATAAGACATTGCAGGATGTTATAAGACATTGCAGGATGTTAAGTGGCTGGTCAAGACAGCTTTAATCTGGGTGAGATTTTTTAAGTGAATGATTCTTTGAAAACAGAAAAAAATGAAGCACATGAGTGAATTCCCAACTTCTGTTGGCTGCAAAACTTTTCCTTCTTTCCACGACACAATAATTTATAGCTCTTCTAATAAAAAAGCACTTAACAGTTGATAAAATCCATCCGGTGGTTTTCATGTTTATTATTTAGTTGACTGTACTTTATTATTTCCAGGACTCATTACACAACTCTGCAAAGCCCTATGTTTCAAAGGTGCACATTTTGAAAGACAGTGGACTAGATAAGCTCTCTGTGACAGATACATTTAGTGCCTGAAGAATGTGAGGTGCTTCCCCACAGTCCCAGCACCTTGACAGTTATACAGGGTCATGTGACTACTTTGGGCCAATGGGCTATAAGTAGAGGTGATGTTTGTCGATTTCAAGATGCAAGGTAGACATATGGATAAAAATTGACTTTATTATCTTCTTCCTCTGTGGCCATAACAGCGGAGCTATGCAGCAACAGAAAGGCAGAGCCTCCATCAGCCTGGGTCCCTGAGTGTTAGCGAGAAAGAAAATGTCCTTTTTCAAAACCCACGCTGGACATGCAGCATGGAAGAGACACACTGACGTTTGTTGCCACAGCATAAACTAGCCTACCTGAACAACCTTGGAAATGAAATTCTCTGGTTTCTATTCTCTTTCTATGTCTTTAGTCCTCTTTTCTCGAATCTGATTTTATTTACAGGAATAAGTTTCAGCAAGCTGAATACCACCTCGATGGTGTCAGTATGATTATACCAAAATGATTTTATGGATATGCTATACAATAATTTTTTTAAAGTCATACATAACATTGTAGTCAAATTTATATGTTGGCCGTTATATTTTATTTTCTAAGCAATTGATTGGTTTATTATATAGAAAAGAATCCACACACAAAATGATTTCTGAGTGGGTCATATAGGTTATTTAACTCACATAATGAGACATTCAAAAGCAAAAAACATGTATTAGGCACCCAACTGTGTCCTTAGCATCATACCTATTCTTACAGAGAGTAAAGCACAGAGGTTCATAATAGAAACTTTGATATCCAATATTATGCATTCAAAGTTCAACTCTATTGCATCTGATTGTGTATACTTTTGCAAGTTACCCTATCTCCCTAAGCCCTGGGACTATAATTGAGCTACTAAGATATTCTCTTCAGGGTTGCCATGGCTTGAATTAGTACTGTAACACAAAGCCTAGCACATAATAAATATAAAACAAATATCAAATATTGTTGATTAGGTGACTTTAACCAACTCTGTCATAAACATATTTCTGTTTAAGAAAAACAATTCTTCTTGGTATTAGATCACTAATCGATATCTTATGCAAACATATACAAATAGGAAGAATATTTAGCTCATTAGAATATGTTGCAAATTAAAGACCTTTTCCTGAATGATGATCAGGACTATTATTTTATTTTTTTAAGTTTTATTGACAAATAATAATTATATATATCTATGGAGTCCAATATGATATTTCGATACAAGTATGCACTGTGGAATGATTAAATCAGGCTAATTAACATATTCATCACCTTAAATACTTTTCTTTATGGTGATAATATCTAAAACCACTCCTTTAGCTATTTAAAAATATACATTACTATTAACATGTCACCATGTACAGTCACCATGCTGTACAAAAGATCACCAGAACCTATTTTTTCTAACAGAAAGTTTGTACCCTTTGACCAACATTTCTTCTTTCTCCAGTTACCTTACCTTCCCAGCCTCTGGTAACCACTATTCTCCTTCTATGAGTTCAACTTTTAAAAATTTCACATGTAAGTGAAATCATGCAGTATTTGTTTCTCTGTGCCTGGCTTATTTCACTTAGGATAATGCATTCTATATTCACTCATGTTGTTGCAAATGACAGAATTTCTGCTTTTTAAAGGCTGAATAGTATTCTATTGTGTGTGTGTGTGTGTGTACCACATTTTAAAAATCCATTCATCTGTTGATGGCACTTCAGTTGTTTTCATATCTTGGCTATTGAGAATAATGCTGCAGTGAACAAGGGAGCACAGATATCTCTTAGACATACTGATTTAAGTTCCTTTGGATATATACCTAGAAATGAGGTTGCTGGATCATATAGTAATTCTATTTTTAGTTTTTTGTGGAACCTCCATACTGTTTTTCAAAATGGCTGTACTAATTTATATTTCCACCAACAGTGTACAGGATTTTCTTTTCTCCACTTCGTTGGCAACACTTGTTATCTTCCATCTTTTTTTGTAATAGCCAGTTTAACAGATGTGAGGTGATATCTCATTGTGGTTTTAATTTGCATTTATTTGTCTGATAATTAGAGAAAATCAACCTCTAAAAATCAGTAGCATTTTGTACACTAACAACAAACTATCTGAAAAATAAATTAAGAAAATAATTCCATTTACAATAGGATTGAAGAATAAAATACATAGGAGTAAATTTAATCAAGGCAGTAAAAGATCTATATGCTGAAAATTATATAACATTGATGAAAAAAGTTGATGACACAAATAAATAGAAAAATAGGCCAGGTGCACTGGCTCACACTTGTAATCCCATCACTTTGGGAGGCTAAGGCGGGCAGATCACCTGAGGTCAGAAGTTCAAGACCAGCCTGGCCAACATAGCAAAACCCCATCTCTACTAAAAAAATAAAATACAAAAATTAGCTGGGCATGGTGGCGTGCACCTGTAGTCCCAGCTACTCGGGAGGCTGAGGCACGAGAATCACTTGAACCTGGGAGGCGGAGGTTGCAGTGAGCCGAGATTGCATCACTGCACTCAAGCCTGGGTGACAGAGTAAGAGTCTCCTAAAAAAAAAAAGAAAGAAAAAAAAGAAAAGAAGAATATACTATGTTAATGAATTGAAACAATTAGTGTTATTTAAATATTCATACTATCCAAAGCAATCTACAGATTCAATGTGACTCCTATCAAAATTTCACCATAATTGTTCATAGAAATAGAAAAAAATTTAAAATTTATTTGAAACCACAAAAAACAAGTAGCCAAAGCTATCTTGAACAAAAAGAACAAAGCTGGAGGCATCGCACTACCACATTTCAAAATATATTACAAGCTATAATCAAAATGCTATGGGACTGGCATAAAAACAGACACATTAACAAATGGAGTAGTATAGAGAGCTCCAGAATAAACCCACCTACCTATGGTCAATTGATTTTTGAGAAGATGTCAAGAACACACCATGGGAAAGTACAATTTCTTCAATAAATGGTGTTGGGAAAACTAGATATCCAAATGCAGAAGAATGAAAATGGACCCTTATCTCATTTTTTCTTTATGTTTCAAAATAAGGAAAATAATAATTAAAAATAGCTTAAAAAATCCATTTGATGTCTAAGTTCTTTGTGGTTGGAAATAGAAATAGGGCAGCAGCTATAGCCTAACAGAAAGAATATTGGTTGCATTGTGGGAAGACTCAAGTTCAAATTCTGGCTTGGCCATTTAGCTCCATATGATAGTGAGCCAATCACTTTAGTTCTCTGAGCCTCAGTTTCTTCACAGACTAAATAGGCATAATATAACCTTAATTCAAGAGTGTGGGACAACTGGATATCCCTATGCAAAATAATAAAGTGGCACCCCCTTCCCTTATACCATATTACAAAAACAAACTCAAAATGAATCAAATAAATATAAGACCTAAAACTATGAAATTCTTGGAAGAAAACATAGGTGAAAATATTTATTACCTTGGATTAGACAATGATTTCTTGGATGTGACATCAAAAGCACAAGCAACCAAATAGATAAGCTGGAATGTCATCAGAATTAAAAAACTTTTGTACTTCAAAAGACATCATTAAGAAAGTGAAAGATCCTCAAAATAAAGAGACAACCCAAGTTTTAGAAAATGAGCAAAGAATCTGAAAAGTAATTCAGTTCTCCAAAGAAGACATACAAATAGACAATAGGCACAAGCACATGAAAAGGTGTTTGACATAATTAGCCATCAGGGTAATGTAAATTAAAGCTATAATGAGATACCACTTCACATCCACTTGGATAGCTATAATTAAAAAGACACATAATTGCAAGTGTTGGTGAAAATATGGAGAAATTGGGATCCTCTGGTGGTAGGAATGGAAAATCGGGCAATTGCTTTGGAAAACACTTTGGCATTTCCTCAACTGGTTAAGCATAGAGCTTACCATATGATCCAGAAAGTCTACTCCTAGGTATATCCCAAGAGACTTGAAACAGCTACTCAAACAAAAACACAAATGTTTATAGCAGCACTATTCATAATAGCCAAGAAGTGAAAAGTATTCAAATGTCCATCAACAGATGAATGGATAATAAAATGTGGTATAACCATACAACAGAATTTTACTTGGCAATAAAAAGAGATAAAAGGGGATATGTGGAAAATCTCGGTACCTCTCAATTTTGCTGTGAACCTAAAACTGCTCCAAAAATATATAGTCTTAATTTAAAAAGAAAAATACAGCATATTGATATATTGATAAGTGCTACAACATGGACAAGCCTTGAAAACATTAAGCAAAAGAAGCCAGACACAAAGGACCACAGGTGATATGATTCCATTTATATGAAATATCCAGAAGAAGCAAATCTGCAAAGAGAGAAAGTAGATTAGTGATTGCCTGGATCTCTGCGGAATGGGATGATTGAGTGGGTAACAGCTAAGGGCCTTGGGTTTCTTTGGAAAGAAATTAACATTTTTTTACTTTGATATATGTAAATATTGTGAAAAATTGCACAATCAAGTTAACACATCCATCACCTCACAGAGTTGTGTGTGTGTGTGAGTGTTGACAACATTCAAGATCTACTCTCTTAACAAATAATGGTGGTTGCCAGGGTCTGAGGAGTGGGAGAAATTGGGAGATATTGTTCAAAGGATACAAACTTTCAGTTATAAGATGAATAATTTCTGGCAATCCAAAGTATAACCTGGTGACTATAGTTAATCTTATGGTATTGTTTATTTGAAATTTGCAAAGAACACTTTTTATTTTTTATTTTTTTATTATTATTATACTTTAAGTTTTAGGGTAGATGTGCACAATGTGCAGGTTAGTTACACATGTATACATGTGCCATGCTGGTGTGCTGCACCCATTGACTCGTCATTTAGCATTAGGTATATCTCCTAATGCTATCCCTCCCCCCTCCCCCCACCCCACAACAGTCCCCAGAGTGTGATGTTCCCCTTCCTGTGTCCATGTGTTCTCATTGTTCAATTCCCACCTATGAGTGAGAACATGCAGTGTTTGGTTTTTTGTCCTTGCGATAGTTTACTGAGAATGATGATTTCCAATTTCATCCATGTCGCTACAAAGGACATGAACTCATCATTTTTTATGGCTGCATAGTATTCCATGGTGTATATGTGCCACATTTTCTTAATCCAGTCTATCATTGTTGGACATTTGGATTGGTTCCAAGTCTTTGCTATTGTGAATAGTGCCACAATAAACATACGTGTACATGTGTCTTTATAGCGGCATGATTTATAATCCTTTGGGTATATACCCAGTAATGGGATGGCTGGGTTAAATGGTATTTCTAGTTCTAGATCCCTGAGAAATCGCCACACTGACTTCCACAATGGTTGAACTAGTTTACAGTCCTACCAACAGTGTAAAAGTGTTCCTATTTCTCCACATCCTCTCCAGAACCTGTTGTTTCCTGACTTTTTAATGATTGCCATTTTAACTGGTGTGAGATGGTATCTCATTGTGGTTTTGATTTGCATTTCTCTGATGGCCAGTGATGGTGAGCATTTTTTCATGTGTTTTTTGGCTGCATAAATGTCTTCTTTTGAGAAGTGTCTGTTCATGTCCTTCGCCCACTTTTTGATGGGGTTGTTTGTTTTTTTTCTTGTAAATTTGTTTGAGTTCATTGTAGATTCTGGATATTAGCTCTTTGTCAGATGAGTAGGCTGCAAAAATTTTTTCTCATTTTGTAGGTTGCCTGTTCACTCTGATGGTAGTTTCTTTTGCTGTGCAGAAGCTCTTTAGTTTAATTAGATCCCATTTGTCAATTTTGGCTTTTGTTGCCATTGCTTTTGGTGTTCTAGACATGAAATCCTTGCCCATGCCTATGTCCTGAATGGTAATGCCTAGGTTTTCTTCTAGGGTTTTTATGGTTTTAGGTCTAATGTTTAAGTCTTTAATCCATCTTGAGTTAATTTTTGTATAAGGTGTAAGGAAGGGATCCAGTTTCAGCTTTCTACATATGGCTAGCCAGTTTTCTCGGCACCATTTATTAAATAGGGAATCCTTTCCCCATTGCTTGTTTTTCTCGGGTTTGTCAAAGATCAGATAGTTGTAGATATGCGGCATTATTTCTGAGGGCTCTGTTCTGTTCCATTGATCTATATCTGTTTTGGTACCAGTACCATGCTGTTTTGGTGAAAATGGCCATACTGCCCAAGGTAATTTATAGATTCAATGCCATCCCCATCAAGCTACCAATGACTTTCTTCACAGAATTGGAAAAAACTACTTTAAAGTTCATATGGAACCAAAAAAGAGCCCGCATCGCCAAGTCAATCCTAAGCCAAAAGAACAAAGCTGGAGGCATCACGCTACCTGACTTCAAACTATACTACAAGGCTACAGTAACCAAAACATTTTTTAATTGATTGTGGTAACACTTGTACAACTCTGTGAATATACTAAAAGCCATTGAATCTTATACTTTAAATGGGTGAATTATATGCCATCTCAACTTTATCTCCATAACGCTGTTAAAACAACGGCTATTGTGAAGGATAATCAATGAGAGGAGTGTGACTCAGAATACAAGACAGATGTGCAAAAAATACAACTTTTACATACCCTTTTACAGGACCTGATTCTGTGGTCCTGTTCTTGTAGGCCAGCTGCAAATTCCTTAAGAGAAACTACTTCTGAGGGCGCCCTCTGCTTCTCAGCATCACCGTGGAATTAGGGATATTACCTATTACCTAGAAAGAGAGACAAGCACCTCCATTCACCAGGGTTTCAAGTTTGCCTCTGTCATCATTACAGTCCATTGAAATCCCATGGTGCCCTGTCGTTTCTAGGCCTCACTCAGCATGGCTAGGAACACTGGAGCCTGCGTTCCCTTCTGCCCTGACTTTTTTGGTCTCACAGTTCCATCAGACCTTTCGGGACTCAGGTCTCTAGGGCTCAGCCATCTCATCTCTTGCCAGTCTAGTGGAAGATCTTGCTAGTCTAGGGAAAACCCCTCTTTGCTTCTTCAGGCTTCTCTGTGGTGTCTCTGTAACTCAATTCTCCTTGATCTTTAAAAGTTGGTATTGACGGATTCTAAAAACCACAGCCTATCTAAATTGTATGTTTGGCCAGACACGGTGGCTCACACCTGTAATCCCAGCACTAGGAGGCCAGAGCGGGTGGATCACTTGAGGTCAGTAGTTTGAGACCAGCCTGGCCAACAAGGTGAAACCCCGTCTCTACTAAAAATACAAAATTAGCCGGACGTGGTGGCACATGCCTGTAGTCCCAGCTACTTGGGAGGCTGAGGCAGGAGAATCACTTGAACCCAGGAGGTGGAGGTTGCAGTGAGGCAAGATGGCACCACTGCACTCCAGCCTGGGCAACAAGAGTGAAACTTCATCTCAAAATAAATAAATCGTGTGGACAGAAATGGCTTACATGGCAAACATATCCAGAAAGTAATAGAAATCGTTACATTCTACTCTTCTAGTGCAGCAAAGGAAAGAACAAATGGAACAACTAAATTGCTATAGTAGTGCATTCTGAAGGTTTATATGTCTTGATAGAGTGATGCTATAGAGTGAGTTAAAGATAATACTAAACATGGATTGTTACTTTGTATCCGGTATTGTGTAAGTACTTTATATGTACTACTTTTCTACTTTCAAGAACAAATAAGAAACATACTTACAAGGAAATATTGATTTTGGTCCTCAGTTCCAAGAAATGTGATAAACTGATTCATAAAATAAGCATTCTGAAATTGTTTGCAATACTTTATTGAGTGAGTTTAGGTAAGAAACCAGAGATTCTTATAGTTACCTACGCTGATAGAAATAAGGAATGTTGTTTAATTTTTCAACTTTATTTCCTCATCGGAAGAAATGGAAGAATGGTTTTCACTACAGAAAAAGAGCTCTAGGGCAATGTTTTCCTTTGCAACACTGAAGAGAGACCAGCCCCTCTCCTGTGGGGAGTGCCTAGGATAAAGAAGGAAGGCCTCCATCCTGGACTGCATAGTAGGAATAGAGGAACAAAGCTCTAACCCAACTTCCTGTTGTTCCCTGAGTCACACGTTAAGGATTTTCTCCTCAGTAACTGAGAAGTCTGGGCTATAATAGAGGAGTTCTCAGACCCCCTACATGTGTCACATTCTATGATTGCTCTACATATATGGTTGCACAAAGTGTGTCGCATCAGTAGGTGCCCACTGAAAGCAGAATTTGTGGCATTAATGTCACTGCTATAGATCTTTCTGCACCTTTTGTCATGCAGAAGATAAAGTACCAGGCAGCTCAGAGCAGTGGAAAGAACATTTAATTTTGACCCAAACCTCTCCATCCTGATTCTGGCTAATCCATTTACTAGCTCTGTTTCTACTCAGTCTCCCAGCCGCAGTTCTTATCCTACAAAACAAGGATACCTGCTACCTCACCCTACTGCTTACATCCAGTCACTTCATGAATTCTGTAGCTGATAAAGTGTCATACAGTTATAAGACACAATAATGATTAAAAACATTTCTGGATCAACTTCCAGACCCCTTCTATTTATGTTTTCCTGTAAATTGAAGTCATTATTCACTGCAGCTCTCAACACTGTCAGACCCAGGAAACTTCTAGTTGTCATTTTTCTGGAATCCTATTTTTGTGTTTCTCCAGTAGCTGGAACTGCTGCCACTCTGCTTGTCAGTCTCAGACATCCTGATTCTCACTCACCATTCTAGATGAACAAGCCTCTTACCTGAGACCCACGTATTTCACATTCTCTTCTGCCAGGTTGCTGTGAATAACTTCAGTTCTTCAATAACTAAATTTTTAGAGGCCTCTAGCTCCTTTACTTTCTCCTGTGGAAGAGGCCACAAAGAATCCTGGAACTGCCTTTTCCATGAAAATGCTCCAGGAGGTCAAGATCAAAACTAAACATAAAAGACGAAAATGGTGGTTTAGTCCCCAAGTTGCATTTTTGGCATTCTTTTCCCATCCTCTGTTAATCTGCCATCTAGCCAAAAAAGAAAAACAAGTAAAAAATAAAAGCAAGGCATTGTCCCCTGTAGGTCAGGGTTGGAAACACAAATGGATTAAACATCATAAAAATGTTTTTAGGTGAGCCCTAAAACGATAATTCAATTTGTAAGACTCTACACACTGAGATTTTGCTGAACTTTCTCTATAGCATAATGTGTCATTCAAGGCAGCTTCATGGAAAGCCAGAGACTATGTTTGAGAACATTCATCCGGTTATTATCTACAATGAACCAAAAGAATGTCGACACTGAAGTGATGGGAGAAGGAGGCAGAGAGAGACAGAGAGAAAGACAGAGAGAGAATGCACCCTGCCCTCAAGGATGTCCCTATTACAGAGGGACTATATCCCTCCCAAGAGCCTGCCTAACATCACATACCTATTACAAGCCTTTGAGATAGCTACTAATATTATCTGCATTTTTCAAAAGAGGAAACAGACACAGAGAGGTCGGGTGACTTGCCTAAAGTCACACAGGTAGTAGATAGCCAGTCAGAAATCAATGCAGGCATTTTGGCTGCAGAATCTGTGCTCTTAACTGTGTCTCTGCTTCCTCCTGTATAGACACTGTCAGCGCTTTTCCCCCAGGGTGTGAGTCAGATAGAGATATTTCAGATGCTGCATTGATAGCTTTCAAATTCCCACATCTCTAAACACTAAGGAGACAATGATCTCTTCCAGTAATTTCTAAGCCCAAATGTATTTGAGACTTTTAAAATATCATGGAGCAGTGCTGTCCACCAGGAGGATGGTTTAGTGCATTTTTAGTTTTTACTTTAAAAATCTGTTTTCTCTAAGTGTTTTCATACTTTCTACAGTGCCGTCAATAATATATAATCAGAGAAAGGAAACTTAAACAGGAATAAGCAGCATTCACTTTTTCTAGCTTCTTAGTCACATTATCAAGATTCTTCAGTGATTTTACTCTGAAAATATCCACTGAATTCCATCAACATTCCATTATCCCACAGGGCCAATCTTCAGAATTATGAATTGACATGTAGAAAGTGGTAAGAGCAGTAGATGCTACAGATTTCAATATATTTCCAACAAAATAGACATCAGTAGGCAATAACTACCATTTCTAATGCTTGATAGTATAGTTGGATAAAAGAGTCTATTCAACCTTCCACAAATTCTCTGAGGCAATTAGTTGCTATGAAATATTGCTTTCACTAGAATATTTTAGCTCACTGCCTGCTTCCCTTCTCAACATTTATCCATTACTCCCACCAACTCTCTCTCTCTCTCTCTCTCACACACACACACACACACCACAAGTGTTCCCAGGACTTTCTGAAATATGGGGCATACATTCTTATCATAAGATTATATAAATAAAATTAAATATAAAAATTGTGGAAGTAACAGAGCACAAACATTATAAACATAATAGATGCTGAAATAACTGCTACTGTTAATATTTGAGAGTGACTGAAGTGTTGGGTTACCCCTTAGTGGTGGGCATCACATCTACACCTTCCAGAACCCATCTGAGACATGTTCTCAGCCCTTTAAAAATGTTATTATCCATGTTTTCTTTAATGCTGAAAACTGCAGATCCCTTGCTTTGTGCCTTTGTTCTTTCATACAGAGACACTTTCTTCCATCTCTGGTTTTCTTTTGCTGAGCAAGGAGCCTTTTCCAATCCCTTGAGGTCTGAAACTTTCTCACCAAACTGACTCCCCTTTCCTCTGGAGACAGGCAGCATTGCATTTTTGTAGGCTCCTTTGCAGTAAGGTGTGGCCCTGTGACTGAGTTCTGACCAATAATGTGGACAAAAGTGATGCACAACTAACTTCCAGGACTGGCCGGCCCGTAATAAAAGCTTCCATGCACTGCTCTGTTTTCTTCCTCCACATACCAGCAGGAATTATGGATTCAGTGATGGTTCTCAGGCTACAGGGGATGGTGGAGAAACAAATAGAAAAAGTCTGGATCCCTAAATGACTGTATGGAGAAGGGTCACCTCCTCCCAGCACAACCCACATTAAAATGTAAAAATAGGAAATAATATACTTTTACAATGTTAAGTCACTAAAATTTGGAAGTTGTTAGTTCCAGCAGATAACTTATCTTGTACGTTTACATAAGAGTTATATAACATAATTTAAATGCTATGTTGTCATTTGGATCAGACTTAAATAAGCCTCAACATCACTTGAAAATTATTTCTGTTACCATGCCATGAAGAAAACTAAACTGAGTTTTCTCAGTTTGGAGAGCAAATACCATAAAATGAAATGAAGACAAATTAATTTAGACCTGTTTAAAACTTTAATTGATTTGATTTACTCTAGCTTATTCACCAATAAATGGAATGTGGTGAAATGATCGTCATGTATCTTTCAGATTTTTATGTTCTATTTACATGGGTTTTCAAGAGCTTTGTTCCAACGAGCTTGTTTTGTGATTCTGAGCTCCTTCAGAAAGTAGTTTCATATTTAATACATCATGTTTGATTGTTGCTAAGCATCCTTTTGGTGCAAATTAATAACAACACAAGCACTAGCTTCAAAAGCCAAATACAGGATGGGGCTGGAGCAAAGGATGCTAGACTGACTGCCCTCTGACTTGCAAAACCAGGAGATTTCACATGTGAATCTCTGTAACAATTTGTTTTTCTTTTGTTTTGGCTTCTTCTCCAGTAAAGAAGAAAATAAGAATACAACATTGTGATTGTGAATTGCTCAATGTTGATTAGCTCCTCTCTAATTCTTGTGCTAAAAAGAAAGCTCATCTGCAGAAGGCAAAAAGGCTGCCAGGTGGAGAAGGATGGCTGATCCAGGACTGAGCTGACCGCAATATGAAGGGAAATGAAATGGTTTTGTGTAGTCATATTAGGCACTGGAACCTGCAAATGAAGCCAAGGGTCAGTTACCGAAGGGGAGACACATGTAGGAACATGAACCTGAAGACAGCTGCTAAACCAAAAGATTGAGCATCAGAGGAGCAAGCTCAGGCTTAACAAATAGTGAGAATGACAGCAGGATATTCAACCATGGTGACAGTTTAGGGCTGAATTTGTTTAGCCCATGCAAAACCCAAGCCTGGAAGGCTTCGCCTTACCATTTAGCTTTATCCTGCAAGCTTGCTGGGTCCTGAGGGCCTCTGAGTGTTGTGAGTGGTAGAGGCAGCTGGCAGGTGGTGGAGGATAAGGTAGGGGATTATTCACAAAAAGCAAGTGGATCTTGGCTGAAACAAAGATACAGGGCTCAAATGAAGATCACACCTACTGATAAACAGGCAAAGTGCCATTGTTGCTGAAGTAAAATCTTCATCCTGTGCCAGCAGGAAGGAAAGCTAGTGTGGCAGTTGAGTACAGGGCTCCCAAAGTGTAGCCTGGGGCACTACGATGGCTCCTCCTTTTGTCCCCAGCTGTGGCCAATGGAGATATTGATGAAATAGAGGCTGGGCCATCCTCAGACACTGACCTGGGTCCTCTTCCTGTTCCCTTCAGGTCATGCCGCCTCCTCTTTCCCCTGTGACCTCTCTTCTTTATTTTCCCTTCATATTTTCTCTCCTTCTGCCAGAGACTGTTTCTCTAATCAAGGAGTGGGAGTGAACAGAAGCTTTTCTATTTCTCACATTTTCTTTTTGTCCCACTTGCATTGGCCAAAGCAAGTCATACACCCTAGCCAAGTATCAGTGTGGCAAGCCTTATAGTCTTCTTTTAGGGAATAGCCGTCATCCTCCACAAGCACCTTCTAACCAGTCTTTGGTGGATAGGATTGGACCTGTAGACTCTCAGGGTAGGGCCAACCTATTTCAGATGGGAGGGATCAAAGGGACAGAGAGAAACAGTTTTGACATGAAGCTTGAAGAAAATATTGAAGTCAGATACAAACCCCAGGAAGATTTTGGCCTCAGTGAGGAAAGTGAAAAGAAGGTTCATTTGTAAACATTACCAGAATACTTAGATTAGTATTAATTGATAAAATTGAGTTAATGAATGACCTCTCTGGGTTTGATCAAGTTAGCTTAAAAGAGAAAAATGTTACTGGCTCATTGTTAGCTTGGTGCAAAAGTAATTGCAGTTTTTGCCATTAAAAATAATTAATTTTGCACCAATCTAATATATGCAGTAGGAACTTTGAGCCTTAGTTTTATGGATTTGGATGGGAATGCTAGAAGAATGTAATAATGAAATCTTTGGGAAAAATTGTATTCTATAAATAAGGAGAGCTCCACAGTTACCAAGATTTTGGCAAATATGATTTAAATGTCAGTGAAGGAGTTTCAGTCTACATTTGAATGGAATCTTTTCCTTCTTGTCCTTTTCTTGCTGTTATTGTTCCTCCCCTTTCTCCACTCTCTTCCTCCTTTTCTTTATTCTTCTTCTTATTCTCCTTCCTCTTTTCTTCTTCTTCTTTTCTTCTTCTCCTTCTTCTTTTTCTTCTCCTTCTTCTTTATCTTCTTCTTTATCTAATTCCTCCTTCCTCTTCCACTTCCCTCCCCCCTCCCCCTTCTTCTCTTCCTTTTTCTCCTCCTCCTTCTTCCTCATCCTCAGTCTGATCAACCTCCCTCCTTCTCCTCTCTTCTTTCCTTCTTCCTTAGTATTCTTTTCCTCATAAGTATTTATACTGCCACTTTTGAAATTCTTTGAATATTTTGTCAATTCTCAAGGATTTTTTCAAATGTAGCTTTTTAAATACTAAAAACATACACTGATTGTATCAATTAGAATTATATTTGGCTGTATATAATGGAAAAATCCCAAATAACAATTATGTAAACATACCAGGTTCATTATCCCACATTAAAGAAGCCAGAGTTCAGCAGCCCAGGACTGGTTTCACCCTCCATAGTGTCATAAACTTGACACCGAGAAGGGCAAGGAGACCTGGTAAGGTCACACATCAAGTCAGCAGAACTTGGACTGCTGGAAAGCAAGACAAGTTTTGTAACTCGAACAATGGAGCTTCAAGCGATTTCTAAATTTAGCTTATTTTGAACTTGTCTTTATTCTCCTTATTGTCCTCTTTTCTTTGATTTCTTTCAGCTCCTTTGTTGGTTTTATCTTCCCTTTGCAGCATCCTTGCAACAAAATATACCACATGGCCTTATTCTCCGGGAAGACAGTAACTGTCAGAAATATAGAAGTCACTACCTCTGAGGTGGTGCAGACACCTGCCTGTGGTCCTGATGGATCGCTGGGAGGTAATAAGATGGATTGCCCAGAACTTCAAAATGGAGTCCAAATGCAAAGAATCAGAGGGAATTCACACAGTCACAAAATGCAACACAAGGGACCCATTGACTTAAGGCATTTTTTTGGTGCTTCTTGCTTTTTTCTCTATTAATAACTGTTGGGTTATACTAATATCAAAGTAGGCAGTGGATGTGGTAGAAAAGGATGTGGGCTTTGATTTCAAATCTACTGGACTTATATTCAGATATTACCTATCTACCAGTTAAGTGTCTTGGGAAAGTTATTTCTATAACCCCACTTTCCTCATGTATCAAATGGAGGTAATAGTCTCCACTCTGCAGGTCTGTTGTCAGGATTAAAAGAGATGATACACATAAAATTTTTGGCTCTTTGATTTTAAACAAATAACTACAAACTACAGAAAAACAAGCCATATGAAAATTTATGTTTACAAAATTAGGTAAATTAGTTATTAATAATTTGAATTTTAAATAATAACTACACTGGTTTAAAACATGCCACCTTCAAAGGGAATGCAAAGTCTTGTTTACATAAAACAAATCTAATGTACACACAATTCGAGGAGTAAACTGATGTCTGTTTTACTCATTGCTGGATCTAGAACTAGAATGGTTTTGGGCACATGGGAAATTTTCAGTAAATATTTGTTGAATGAATGAATACATGAATGAATGAAATAACTTTCTATTCTATATGTACTTGGCACCATAGTAGCTGTTGGAAATACAAATGACTCAACTTTCATGCGTCTTAGATTCTAAGTCAAGACAAAACAGTAAAATGATTTCAGATACTGATAAATACTATGAGGAAAATTAAACAGGGTTATGTAATAAAAATTGATTCAAGGAATGTGAAGGAGGCAAAAAGAGGCTGAGATTGGATGGTCAGAGAATTCCTGAGTGATAGGAAAGGACCAGTTATGGAAAGATCTAGATTTGTTGTTGAAGATTTCCTTAACAAGCACTGTATATATTTATTTGACTTATGCTAATAGAAATCTATTTAGTACATTTTGGAAGGATTTTCTTAAGTTATAAGTTAGTCACAAGGTTTATAGTCATATATGCAGATACTATCGTATATTCTACAAAACTCGGGAATTCTGAGACTTTAGGGTCTCCAAGAAACTAACGTTGAAATGGGCAGTATTTTCAAAAGCATGTTCCAGTAGACATAAGATGGTTACAGATGTATTCCTCAAAAAAAAAAAAAAAAAAAAGAGAGAGAGAGAAAAGGTCCTGTGGTCAAATACACTTGGGAACCAGTCCATGAGCACTAACATATTAAGGTCTTGAGAAGTTCTGAAGCAGAGAAACACATACTACATGTATTCCAATGTTTTCTGAACATATTTTCAAAATTTTGTTTTATTTTTTTTTCTCTGTGCACTTATTGACATCAATATGCAGTTTGAGAAATACTGTTATAACATAAAAGATGAGGCTTTGGTACAAAGGGAAAAGAGAAAGATAACCCTATGCCACACTTATACACTGTTGGTGGGAGTGTAAATTAGTTCAGCCATTGTGGAAGACAGTGTGGCAATTCCTCAAAGACCTAAAGACAGAAATACCATTTGACTCAGTAATCCCATTACTTGGTATATACCCAAAGGAATATAAACCATTCTATTATAAAGACACATGCACATGTACGTTCATTGCAGCACTATTCACAATAGCAAAGACATGGAATCAACCTAAATGTCCATCAATAGTAGACTGGATAAAGAAAATGTGGTGCATACACACCATGGAATACTATGCAGCTGTAAAAAAGAATGAGATTATGTCCTTTGCAGGGACATGGATGGAGCTGGAGGCCATGATCCTTAGCATACTAACACAGGAACAGAAAACTGAATACCGCATATTAGTGGGAGCTGAATGATGAGAACACATGGACACAGAGGGGAACAGCACACACTGAGGCCTACTGAAGGATGGAGGGTGGGAGAGGATCAGGAAAAACAACTTATGGGTACTAGGCTTAATACCTGGGTGATGAAATAATCTGTACAACAAACCTCCATGACACAAGTTTACCTATGTAACAAACCTACACTTGTAAGCTTGAACTTAAAATTAAAGTTGAAAAAAAGAAAGATAATCCTTTGTCATAAGCCTTGCAGTTCCAAAATGGTATATTTACACAGACTTACCAGAAACTTAAAATAAGCTCCAGATATCATATGTACATACATTGCCTACTTTGACCAAACTGTTGACCTGATAAGACAGATGATCACGTTTAGTTTTTGCATACTAGAGGTTTTTAAAGTTGCTCTGCTTTGAAAGTGGGATGTGTTTGCATTTCCTCTATAATTTTATGAGAATTAATGACAGTCAAGTGTATCTGTTTTTTTTATTTTGTTTCATTTTGTTTTGTTTGTGTAAGGCAAGCAGTGGAATATGCCAGGAATTTCATGAGCTTTGAACATGTGAACACCGCACTTAGCTCTATAACTCCATCACTTGCTAGAGGTGGTTTTAGGCAGATTACTCAAACTTTCTGAACTTCACTTTTCTCATCTGCAAATGGGGATTGTAATAGCCATATCCTACTTTTTGGGGGATAAGTCAAGCTGGTGTAAAGGACTTGCAGGAGAATGTCACTCTAGCCACTTTCTGAAATGTTTACTTGGGGACTCTAGAGTCTTTCCTCTGAAAATCTTTTTAATCCCCCTCTGGAGATTCAGTGGGAAAAAACAGAATGTTTGCTGTTTGTTTCTATAGTGATGACTCATGGAGTGCTGATTTACTGAATCAATTAGTGAAGAAGTAAAATTAATGTCTTATTATATAGGTGTGAAATAAGCTATTCAGTCAATGCCATAAGCAAGGGCTTATCTAGATACTTTATCTCACCCAAACCAAGCTAACAAGAGTCAGTGGCCAGCAAAAGAGTCTCTCTTTAGTTCCCTAAATGTTCTAAAGATGTAGACAATCTCAACAACTAACAACTGAATTCATCACATCAACTGCATAATAATAACTATGGATGTTCTCCAACTATTGTTCTCATGACAGAATCAGTAAGAGGATTTGGCCTGCCTAGGTCTTAGATGACTACACTATTTCCAGTGGACCACACACAACCAAGTGCAACAATGATGTAACATTGGTAAAACTGATTAGGTTAAGAACACTATTTTAGAAGATTGTTTAACAAACATATTTTTAGGCCTTAGAGAATGTTCATGAAGGATTTTAAGCCCACTTGTGCAGAGGACTCCTGTATCACATAATGTAAGTGCTCAGGAATTATCTCATGAGTCATTCCTAATATTAACCAAAAGTTGAAATAGTGGTATGTTCTTTTGGTTTGATTGTTTAGTTCTAATCTTAGTGTTGATTTTAGAACTGTGGAATATAAAAATGGAACCATACTACTGGCATGAAGAGAGGAAAGCAGTGTATCATGGGAACTAGGGGAGTTGGAACATTCCACTGCATATTCTTCCTTCTTCTAGGACACTTTGCTTGCTGGTAGAAAATGAATACAGTTATTTAATGCATCTCTTTCATTAGAATGCTGTATTAAAAATAAGTTATGATCAGATTAGGAAGAATCCTGGACTTCAGAGGCCAGAGACATAATTTTGGTGTTGATTCTACCATCTATGTACCTTAAGCAAGTTACTCCCTGAGCCTTACTTTGCTCTTCTATAAAATGATGACTTCACTGATTATTTCTAAGACATCTTTCAGTGTTCTAATTCTATCATAGTCCAAAATCCATGACCTTTTCTTTCTTTTCTGATTTTTCAAGGCATTCAGATATCTTGCTTTTTTGCTACTTTTCTACTGATTTGCTTCATGTTACGCCTTTCAAGAAGCCCAAGTTATTCCAGTCTCCACAAGGCTACTACTGGAGTATCAGGAGAGAGGTGAGGTGGTATTTGTGATGGTAGAGGCAAAGCCCCCTTTTCCTGAATCACAAAATTCATGAGATTGAACTTTAGGTTTATATGTTGGTCTTTTTCTGTACCTGCCGCAGGCACTATATTGGATTCCAATACCTGGCAAAAGTAAACTTGATCAATAATTGTTGACTTTCAGGCGGGGTGTGGTGGCTCACCCCTGTAATCCCAGCACTTTGGGAGGCCAAGGTGGGTGGATCAGTTGAGGTCAGGAGTTTGAGACCAGCCTGACCAAGATGGTGAAATCCCATCTCTACTAAAAATACAAACATCAGCCGGATGTGGTGGCTCACACTTGTAATCCCAGCTACTCGGGAGGCTGAGACAGGAGAACTGCTTGAGCCTGGGAGGCAGAGGTTGCAGTGAGCTGAGATGGCACCATTGCACTCTAGCCTGGGCAACAGAGTGAGTAAGACTCCATCTCAAAGAATAAAAAAAAAATAAATAAAAATAAAAATGTAAAAGAAAATTGGTGACTTTCATCAATCAAAATTTTCTTTTACCATCACCATCTTCTCTGACCTGAACAATATACCAGGCATTACTTAGACAGTGAGAAAAGTTAAAGAATTTGTCTCTGTTATTGAGGTCTTCATATTCCAGCTAAAGTAAAAAGGCTTGCACAGAGAAGTACATGATAACATAGACAAGAGGATAGCTTGGGTGTTCAATTGTGTGGGATTGGAAATAAGTGCATGAAAACTCCTACAGGGGAGTGGGTACCGTGGAAAAAAATAGTTTGGATAACACTTCCTGGGGAAACTGAATGCTAAACTTTGAAGAGTGGGAAGATTTAGTATGATAAGTGGCAGATATAATAACAATTGAGAAAAGTTATAAGGAAAAAATACAAAAAGGTGCTGGGTAGAGACACTGATTTCCCATTATCTACTCATCTTGTGAACTAAACCTTGCCAAACAGTGTCCTCAAGGCAAAGCACAATCCACTGGGGCATACATCCAAGGATGAGGAACTTTGCTGAAACAAAAGGGAAAGGGAATTTGTACAGGAAAGTATAATTCTGCCTGAAAGTAGAAAATCCGGTAATTAACTTGACTTTTCCTTAGCAATTGTAGCAGTTCAGTTTATCCCAGGGCCTAAAAAACTTTTGGGTTATAAGGGAATCCTAGTGGCTGCACTTGACTGGCTAAGTTCATCTCTTATATAATATGTATTTTTTCTGGGCTTGTGGGTGAGAATCAGAACCTTTTCAGTATGAGGTGGAAAGGTGGGTGAAGTTACTTCAAGTTCCATGACTATTGAGAAAGGTATCAGTCACAGTAATTTTTTTTCAAGCTAGAAGAGACATTAAGAATACCCAGGACTAAAAAACCTGCAGGTTCTGCACATATATCCCAGAACTTAAAGTATAATAATAATAATAAAAAAGAGTGCCCAGGTCTTCATTTTATATATGGGAGAATAAGGCCCACAGAAGTTTGGGTAACTTATCCAAAGTCATCATAACCATATATACATGAGAACCACTGGGTTATAATTTTGCTGTCATGTCATTCTTTTAAAGAAAATTATTGGCATTATTTTTCCTATCTCTCTCCCATAACAATAAAATCCCTTTCTGATCCTGCCCTAAAACACAACCATTTTTTAGCACCCCATGTGTGCCCCACTTCTTATGTCCTTAGATACTAACCTGAAGAAAAATTACACAAAGAATACATATTTCTTGTGGGAATATTTAAAAACATAGATAAGCACAAAAAGGAAAATGAAGAACCATCTTCAAGTCCCTAGAGAAAACCATAGCTATATATTCCATGTATCCTTCCTATGCATATTATAATATTAAAAATATTATAAACATATTTTAATCTAAAAATGGAATTTTACTATTTTCATACTACTATTTTAGTATGCTATTTTTCATATAATATTTGTAAGCAACTTTTCATGTGAATGTATATACTCCTACAGCCCCATTCTTGACTCTACGTAAAAAAAGAACTGGAGTCATTTCTGGTGAATTGCTTAAACCCATTCCATAAAATGCAAAGTTTCTCCAGAAATACTGACCCTGCTTGAAAAAAATGCATTTGGCTGTAGATATAGAGAAATGTGAAGCTCTTCCCCTTCTAAAATCTGGTGGTATTATCAACTCCTATTTTAAGCTTGTTTATGGAACTAGAATAATACTGAACATGGATATATAAAGGTGATTACAGCAGTTCAAGTTTGACCTTTGAAAAATCTTTCCCTGTATAAACAAAGTCTGGAATGTTTTAAAACCTCTAAGCCAGTCAATTTCTTTTTTTATTTATCATAAACCTGAGTCAACAAGGAATGCCCAATTTATTTAAAAAGTAGGAAATGAAAATGCCTTGGTTCCTTAACCATAAATGAAGGAGCTATCTCTGGACACCATGAGTTCCTCGCCTCGAACCTGCTGCTGCACTCTCAGGGTCCTGCAAACCCGGCCTCACCCTGTAGCTCTACCTGATTCCTCAGCATTGGTGGATCTGCTCCCACAATTCTGCTTAGGCAATTTCTTCACTGTCTCACACCCATGCTGATCTCATTCCCACTTCCATATTTTTATCCCAATAAGATTTTCCATGAAACATCCATCCTCTCCTATTTCAACCCCATCCTTACTCGCAGGCCCAGCTGCGCAGCTTCCCCAGTGCAGCCATCCTAGTGAGATTCATCCCACACTTTATACTCTTATCTGGAATTTGCTGGCTCTGAAAGTAAATCTGGTCTGGTATCGCATGTCCATATTTTTTTTTTGTCCTTTAGTTTGTATCTCCTCTAAGCCTTCTGGCTCCTTTTGATAAACATTTGTTTTAGCTTTCATTTGTGTTTTGCACAGCAATGTGCACATTACATTCTAAATACTCAGGAAATGTGTGTTCCTTTATGAATGATTTGGGGAGGGAGTAGGATCTTATTTCTGCCTATTTCTTCTTAGATGTTAGAATTTAGAAAAAAGTTCCTTAACCTCTCTGAGGTTCCTTACAATCCTGAGAACAAAGTGGAAACACTGAACCTAGAAGTCTGTCATAAAGAAAAAAGGGATTCAATGTGAAGAGCATGGGGTATAAATAAGTTAAAAAAATGTCATCTACCATCAGAAGGTCCAATGAGCTTACTTCTCTGACTTCATTAAAGGCCCCAGAAAACTAAAATATGACCCAGAATCTACAATTATTATAAAATTCTAACACTTGAAAATATTTTCCAGCATTCTCAAAAGTAAATACATCTATTATATGTATATAGTATACATAGAATGACATATATAACTATATAGTACATATAAAAGATGGCTTGACTGTTACTATGGTGCATAGCCTGCTCCCAAGACTGGAAATAAGTTTGTTTCTTTGAATATTCTAGACTTTCTTCATCCCTGAACTTTACATGCATACACACACACACACACACACACACACACACACACACACACACATTTGCATGTAATAGCTGTATTAGATAGGATGAGATTTGGCCACATATCATTTTAAATTTTACAAAATAATTTCTTAAGTAAAATATAAATATCTTTGTCTGTCACATGAGAGGTACAGTGGCAGTGTCTCCAGGGCAGTAGGAACTGAATCTTCTCCCTACTGCTCCACCATTATTAGCATATGGCTTTAACTTTCTAATGCAAGAAGACTGTTTGAACTCCCTTCACTGGAAGAAGGAAAGGCAAAAGAAGGGCCAACTTCCTTCCTTTTAAGGGCCTCCTAGAAGTAGCACACTTCCACTCACTTCTCATTGGTCAAACTGTACTAGCTTTGCTTTACCTTGCTACAAAAGATACCTAGAAATGTTATACTTTAACTGGATGGTAATTCGTTCAGAAAAAAAATGAGAGTTATTTTATTAAAGAAGAAGGGGAACATGTATATTGGAAATGCTATTGCAATGCCTATAATTCAATGTCTTGCAATCATAAAATACACTTTATATATCTTCTCTGCTTAGTTCAAATAGATATGAAATAGAAAGAAAAGTGAAGGTTATGGAATTCTTAGAATGAAACCCAGAGTGGGTAAGTTAGTAATAGTAGTAAGAAACTTTAAAACTGAAATTTTAAATGATAGAGGTATTTCAGAGATCAGGTAGGGAAAGAAAAACAATTAAGGGGATGATAACTGAAGAAGCTTCAATGCTTCCAAATAGTAAAACTTCCAAAGTGTTGGGTTCACTTTCTCTTAAAGTATGAAGTTTGATAGTAAGAAATTCAATGAAATGTTTGGGATCTTATCTCCAAATTCAAAATATGGTATTGTAAAAATAGTTTCCTCTAGTTCTTAGTTAAATTAGGAAGGAAAGAAAGAAAGAAGGAAGAAAGGAGGGGGGAGAGGAAGGGAGGGAAGGAGGAAAGAAGGAAAGGAGAGGGAAGGAAGAAGAAAGGAAGGGACAGATTGGGATTGGAAAAATAAATTAGTTTTAGCTCCAAATACTGAAACACTCATTAACATTCACATTAAATTGTAAAAGAAGCAAGAAGCCTGAATGTAAGGAGAGTTTCTAGATTATTAAAAAAATATTATAAAGCATAATATATAATATGATCCCTTTTTATGAATGTCACATTCTTACAACTTTTCTATACATTTGAAGTTATTTCCAAACAAATTTAAAAGGAGTGAAATGAACATCAATACTGCAACAAGCTATCACCACACTCTTGTTAGAATGGCTATTATCAAAGAGGCAAGAGGTAAGGGTGTGGGGAAAGTGTTGGCAAGGGTGTGGAGGAAAGGGAACTCTTGCACACTGTTGGCAAGGATGCAAATTGATACAGCTATTATAGAAAACAGTACGGAGGTCTCTCAAAAAATTAAAAGTAGAACTACTACATGATTCAGTCATCCCATTTCAGGATATATAAATGAAATAAAATGAAGAAAATGAAATTAGTATCTTGAAGAGATATCTGCACCCTTATGCATTATTCACAGTAGCCGTGGAATCAACGTGTGTCCATCAACAAATAAATGGATTAAGAAAAAATACATTATGTATATGATGGAATATTATTCAGCCTTAGAAAAGGAAATCTTTCCATTTGTGACAACAGAGATGACCCTACAGGATATTATGCTAAGTGGAATAAGCCAGACATAGAAAGATGAATACAGCAATAGCTCATTTGTATGTGGAATCTGAAAAAGTTGAACTCACATAGAACCAGCAAGTAGAGTAGGAGCCAGGGGATGCCTGGAGCTAGAGGATGGGGAAAATGGGTATATGTTGGCCAAAGGGTACAAACTCTCAGTTAAAAGATGAGTAAATTTTGGGGATCTATTGCATGGCATGTGACTACAGTTAATAATACTGTATTATGTACTTTAAATTTGCTAAGATAGTAGATATTAAGTGTTCTCACTACAAAAAAGTGGTAATCATGTGAGGTGATGGATATGTTAATTAGCTTGGTTGGGGTAATCATCTTACAATGCAAAAATATATCAAATCATCATATTGTACACCTTAAATATATACAATTTTTATTTTGTCAATTATACCCCAATGAATCTTGGGGGAGGGAAGACAACATATGTTTGTTAGATATATAGAAAAATAGATAATGGATGGATGTAAAGAGAAATGAGTATATAGATAGATGGATACAGAATTTGAAAGATGGGGAGGGTTGGGGGAGCGTGAGTGGGGTTTGTAAATGAGCATTCTGCCTTCTCATGGAAACTGTAAACTAAATAGTCAAAGTAAATGAGTGGACTGCCTGATAGCATTAACTTAAGACAGGTTAAGGGAGAGAACTGAAACTAAATGCACTAAAACCATCAACGGTGGATATCTTTGAATTGTAAGGTTATGGTGATCTCTAGTTTCTTTGTGCTTTTCTGTATGTTCTAATCTTTCTGATTTTGTTGGTAATAAATAAGAATTTGTTCTATATATTTATAGAACAAATATATAAGAATTGTTCTATATATTTATATGTGAATATATATGTATATAATATATATACTGAATATATATATACTGAATACATATATATTCAGTATATATAATATAATTTATATAATATATAATATATATTATTTATATATAATAATATATATTATATATTATATATGTATATATTATATATATTATATATATAAAATATATATTATATATTATATAAATATATATAAATTTATATATATAAATATATCTATAATATATATAAATTTATATATAAATATATCTATAATATATCTAAATTTATATATAAATATATCTATAATATATCTAAATTTATATATATAAATTTATATATATTATATATATTTATATATAATATATATTTTATATATAATATATATTTTATATATAAATATATATTATATATAATATATATTTTATATATAATATATATTTATATATATTATATTTATATATATAATATAAATAAATATATAATATAAATATAATATATATAATATTATAATATAATAATTATAATTATATTATATAGAAAATATATATAATATAATGATTATAATTATTATAATGTTATAATATATATAATATTATAATAATATATACTATATACTATATATATATATATATATATATATATATTCAAAACCAGATCAGACCCCCGTCTATTCATCTCAGGCAACTGTATTTATCTAGAGTACCCCAAGGCTGTATGTAACACTCCTGCAGTTTAAGGTAAGACCATGACTGAGACTGATAGTTCTTATTGTGCTAGAAAGTTTAATGGCCAATGGCTCATTGGGATGGTATCCATCATAGAACCATTGGGCAGCTATATGCAGGAAAACTTCTATCTCAGTTTAAAAATGTATGTTAATCAGGAGTTGGAAACTAGCCTGGCCAACATGGTGAAACCCCATCTTTACTAAAAATATAAAAATTAGCCGGGCATCATGGCACATACCTATAATCCCAGCAACTGAGGAAGCTGAGGCAGGAGAATTGCTTGTACTTGGGAGGCAGAGGTTGCAGCGAACTGAGATATCATGCCACTGCACTCCAGCCTGGGCGATACAGTGAGACTCCATCTCAAAAAAAAAAAAAAGGTTGTTAAAATTATTTTTGATAAGAATTCAGAATTTTTTGAATGATAATTAATGCATATACTGTTTTGAAAACCAAGTTGCCATCAACAGCTATTAAGCTAATCTTCTTTTACATTGACCTCTCTAGCTTCTGAGGCCTGGCCTTAGCCTCCTCCTCTTGAAGGATCCCTGAGCACTCAGCCATCAACCCCTCTTCTGACCCTGAAGTGCTCAAATTTGGACCTTGGCATCTGCTCCTCTGTGACGTTAGTTACCTTTTTATAGCTGAGTGTTCTGCTTCTCAGAGTAATTGTAAGCCAAATACCCAGGAGATATGAGGAGACTGCCTGACCAGCAGGAGGTTATGGCTGGTGCCAGGTTAAAGGATTTCAAACAAAAAATTGAA
This sequence comes from Homo sapiens, assembly GCF_000001405.40. Lineage (NCBI taxonomy): Eukaryota > Metazoa > Chordata > Mammalia > Primates > Hominidae > Homo > Homo sapiens. The sequence continues at coordinate 46,513,594 of NC_000006.12, read as the reverse complement.
AGAGAACATAGGGATTGGCGTCTTATATGGTAGGGACTTAATGGACTTAATGAAAGTGGGGGACTTACTATTTCATTAAGTCCAGGCACTGGAAGGTTCAGAACACAGGTCTGAAACCCAGACGCCTGGCTCTATGGAATCACCCTCTGCCTCGGTTTTCTCATATGTAAAGTGGGAATAATAACACTGTCCATGTCAAAGAGTTGATGTTAGAATTACAACAAATTAATACATGTAGAGCACCTAGGGTAGCACTTGGCACCTAATACATGTTAGTTCTTATTATAAGAATAGTATGTTTATTTTCTCATTGTAAAAGTAATTCAGAAAGTTTAGAAAACAGATACAAGGAAAAATAAGGAATTAAATATATCCCAAATTCTCAATGCTCAGATATAAAGTCCTCAGTTATAATCACTGTTAATATTCTGATTTTCTTGAATTTGATTTTCTCTCTCCCTCTCCTCCTCTCTGTATGTATTTATATATATTTTAATTCATTTTACCAAAAAGGATATAATACCATAGAGAACTTTACAGCTCGTCTTTTGCACTTAACAATATGGTGAGCATTTTTCACATAATTATTTATATGAACACTTACAAATGTCCTAGTATTACTTGGAAAAGAACTAAACCAATAAGGGCAGATTTGGCAGTTTGAAGTTTAAATGTCTTTCAAATGTGTCCATGAAGAGAATGAAAACATGAAAAAATGTAATTTTCTATTCTAAATATTCAAGCAGTAAAACTGGAAAATGTCAAGAGATTGTATATTGAGCTTTTAAAGTACTAAAAATAGTATTAATAACATTGAGAAATCTGGCCCTGTTCTCCTTTTAGGAGGAATTTGATTACTTAATTTTATAAAATAAAGTATTAAATTATTTTCCCTTATTTTTAATTTCATGTGTATTTATAGAAAAAGAAATTGTTGTACTTTATCCAGAGAGCAGAAGAGATTTTGAGCTCGTGCATTGAATACTTTTATAAATTTAGTCAGGATCTGACCAACGCACTTGTGTGTTCCTCCAGCTATTAGGGAGACTCCAGCCCCTTGCCAGGCGAGAGAGTGGATGGTCACCCTCCATGGAGGAAGTGTTTCCCAAGGGTGTCTGCTGGGGAAGGAAAGCATGATGCAGTGCAGGTGAGCCTTTGGAGGAGGTGGCAGCTGGAGCACCAGTGATATGGATTTGGGTTCTTCCCACAGCTCAGGAGCCAGTTGCATAGGGTCCAATCCTGTCACCTGACTAACTTTGTAACCTCAGACAAGTCATTAACCTCTGGGTGCATCACTTTCCTCCTAATTGTGCTTCCCTCATAGAGTTCTAGTGAACTATACTAGGCTACACATAAGATGCTCAGACAGGGCCTGGCCTACACACAGTATGCACTCCATAGAGTGCATATATATATATAATATGGGTGATATGATACATAATATTAAAATAGAAATACCAAAAGTTGATGAAATCAGCTCTTTGCATTCTGATCCATAAATTTAATGAATTTATATTTTGGTGATTTAAGATATTTTGTATGGAGACAATGTCTAATACAATGTGCCTCTCTCCCATAGTTTCATGATATGACTATCAGAATATTTTTATTTGTCCAGTGCTTCTTCAGAAAAATTGCTTAGACTTAGAGGGGGTGTTGGCAGGGGCCTCTCACATTTGATTCACTTCCTTACATCAGAAGGAGAATGCATTGGTAATCCGTCAGGGAGCTTTGAGATCTGTCCTCATTCAAGGACAGACTACTTGGCTACAGGACCCAGAAACTTAAAAATATAAGATTTGAAGATATAGGTTTAAATTAAGTCTGAATTCTGATCACCGAAGCAAATATCGAATGCTGTCTAAACCTGGGGACTATTGCTTTCTTGGCAGTATGGCTAATATAAACCCTGGCTTAACGGAATGTGAGTTCCTGAGCCCTTTCCCCACAGGAGTGTTGACAGCACTTCCACGCTTCCACACAAATATAGCTGATGTTCCTTGCACTTATGTGGATTTCTGGAAAACGCTCTGGGTTTGGCCTTACCACTGAAAATGACTTTGGGGAGAGTGAGGCAGAGTAACCATTGGCAGTCGTGCTTCACGTCTTCGTGAAAGTTGACAGGAGCTGACGTTTCCTGGCTACATCCCAATGGTCTGCATTTGGATAGTTGTCAGTATCCTGAACCCAGTCAAAGGAAGAGAGAAGCCCAGGTTTTGGAGGGCACATTCAGGTTTGTCTGACCTAAACATCCACCTGAAACAGGCTGCCATACAGTCTCTGCCCAAAGATTTCTCATAAAGTAGAACTTTCCCATGCACAAGGTAACCCACTATTCACTATTGCATGAATTAGTATTATTAAATCCCTGTTTTATATGAAAGTGGGGTCTCCTTCCATGTTGCTCTCACTGGTGCTTTCTGGCTTTCTACATTGACATTGGGTAAATCGATGCTGTCTTGACCACATTTCACATTTCCCAATGCTGAAGATAGCTATCACAGGTTTCTGGTTTTTCTAAAGAAGTCCAAGCTAAAAATGTCCATTTTCTCCTAACTGTTCCTCATATAACTTGACTTCTAGACTCCTTCTATCTTGGTTTCCCAGCAGCAAACACTTTCTAGTTTATTATTTTCTCCAATAAAATGTGGCTTATGTTCCAGCAGAGGCCTGACCCATGCAGAACACTGAGGCCATTGCTTCCAGTGATCTGTTGAGGTTTTGTTTTGTTTTGTTTTCTAGCTGCTGTGTCATGATCTTGGCTCACATTGAGCCTGCCTTCAATAAAACCCCTGGATCTTTTCACAGGACTCCTGCCAAGCCACAGCTCCTCCCTCAATATTTGTGGAATTGATAGTTTAAAAAATAACATTCACATTTTTTCATATTATAAAAGCAATCCACAGTAATTGTAGGAAATTTAGAAAATGTAGTTAAGTAAATATTTTTAAAAATCAGCAATAATCACACTATTCAGAGAGATCTACAGCTGACACTTTGGTGATTATCAGGGGTAGCAAACTCAGATACCAGCAGGGTCTAGGCAAATGTGATAGATGCATGAAGAAGGCTGGGAGTGAGACACTAGGGCATAAGTGGACCAGTTGCCATTTAAAAATGCCAGTCATTATTCAGCTCCTGGCTACCAATTGCTCTCTAGAAGTGAGGGCTCCAAAAAGCCTGAAACGGAAAATCTAAATGTTTTCAAGAGACATTGTAAATGCAGAATTTTATGAGAAATCTCCTTATTAAGTATTAGCATCAAATTTATGTTGACCAATGAATTTACATCTTTAGACCTTCTTGAGTCCTTGAACTGCTAGCAGTGTGGCCCCTCTCGTGTACATCCTTCCATTTTGCCTTCTTTCTTCTCTCCATCTCTCGGAAAATAATGGGCTTATTCTCTATTATATAACAACTGGCAGTGACGTGTGATCATGTGAGTTAACCCTAGATATCTTTGCATAGCTGACCACTCCTTTTTGGCTTCCCTCTCATTGTCACTATTATCCACACAGAATCATTTCTTTCCTTTCTTCCACATAGCCTTCTCATTTCCACTGCCCAGTTTGTGCTGGGTTAGATCCCTGCCTGAGCTTCACTCCATGTTCATATCTATCACTCCATGATTTGGCCCAAAACACCGCCTCTCTTTACTGTGCTCCTCATTCTCAGACTGCAGAAAAGATAAGCCTTTGGAGTCCAAATGACCCATGTTCAAACCCAGCTCTGCACTTTAATAAGCAGTACAACCCTGTGGAAAATTACTTTGACCTCTCCAAAACCTAGTTTTCACAGCTGCAATGTTAGAGATAATAATGCTTACCTTGAAAAAATAGTTTAGAGGATTAATAATACTGTATATAAAGTATCTCAGGAAATTGTAGCTGTTATAATAATATTATACTTGGTTTTAATAATCTGTGAGTGTTTATAACTGTTCTCCCCAACTTAATTAGGAAATAATAGCCACCTTAAGATATTCATTGAATAAGTGAATAAATTCAAAAATGAGTGAGTGAAGAAATGGAAAAGCACAAGCAGGCTGGAAGATCCAAGTTATTCTTAAAGATAGAGATACAGGAAAGTACTCCAAACCAAGAAAGGAAGAAAAGCACTCACACTTGGTAACTGTTTCTTTCCTACTTGACCCTGACTTTTTACGTTACAGAGAAATGCTGGCATTAGAACAAGTGCCTCCTCAGACTAATATTGAATTTAATCATTAATTACTAAACAAATTGTGTACTCTGTGATTTTTCCAATAGGTAGGAAACAGACTTCTCAACTCAGCCTTCTTGGAAATGTTTCATCACACTAGAGACGTGTCCCTAACTTATCCAGTGGCCGACCTTTCCCTGAACACCTAAAAATACATACATTGCAGTGCCAGCTTCTGGACAGATGCTCACCTCACCCTGCTCGTTGGAAGCTCCACCTAAGCCTTGTTGCCAGGAAATGCCACAAGGCCTGTGGGGCTGCTTTGTAGGCTCAATAGATAGGTTTTAAGTAAATGGTTGGCCAAAAAATATTCATTGGAAAGAGATAAAAAATCTTTTATTCACCCTCTCCCTCATTCTCTGCACTTCACTAGCTGAATAATCCTGTGGAAAATTAGTTGACTATCTCTGAAATTTAGCTCCTCACCCATGAAACTGGGATAATAATAACTACTTCTCACTCTCTGTGAACTCCAGTATTAGTTAGGTTGCCTTTGGCTGCAAGTAAAAGAAAGCCTGACTAAAAGTAGCTAAACAACAAGGACATTCATGATCTTAAATAACAAGATGTCTAAAAGTAGATGGTTCAGAAGCCTGTTGATGTCTGGGCCCCAAGACAGCCTCTCTGTAGTTCTCCTGGCTCCTGTCATGGTAGTACGATGACAGTCATCACATCCCCTCATGATAGCATGACTTTTAACACAGGAACCAAAGGGCTCTCCTGTGTGGTTTTTTTGTTGTTGTTTAACTTAAGGAGAAAAAGCTTCCCTGGAAACCACTAGAAGATTTCTTTTTAAGTTCCACTGGCCAGACATCAACCACATACCCATGCCTAAACTGGGACAGAAGGAATTATTAAGATTGGTTCATACCAACGGTGGGTCATCCCCTGGGGCTGGAGGAAAGCATCAGCCTCCCTTCCCTGAACACCTTGCATCCTTATATCTGAACAAAATGGGATGTTGAGCATCCAGGAAAAAGAAGAAATGATCGTTAAATAATAGCTAATAGTGATCACTATTATTTATTGCTGGGTAGCCATGTACCAAGCTCTGTCTTAGAGACTTTTTGTATGTGAACACCTGTAATGCATCTCTATGACTTAGGAGCTGGCATTCACATTTTACAGACAGGGAAACAGAGCCTTGATAGGTTAAATCAATTTCCCAGTGTCACACAGGTAGCAAGCTGGTATGTAGAAAGGCCAGCTTTAAAGCCAGGCAGATGGTCTCCAAATCCTACACAATGCAGCCTCAATCTATGCTAGCCTCCCCTATAAGGGTCTGCCACCCTCTCCACTGGGCAAAGACAACCCTGAACCACCCAAAATAAGGTCTTAGATAAGTGAAGTGAGTACATGAAGACTGGGTAAGTGCTCAGGTTGCCAGAGCAACAATATGGTTACCCACCTAGTGGATAGTTTCTACTGACAACATTGATAATAAATCCTGCTTATCATAGGCCAGGGATCCTTATGACCTATTTCAATCAATCATTATAACAACCAGCAAGTTCAATATTCTTTCCCTTATGCTAAAATAGAAAATGAGGCTCAATTAACTTGCCCAAGGAGGTGAGAACCTAGATTTGAACTCAGTTTTGCTTGATTCCAAGGTCCATGCTCTTTGTTCCTGCACCCCTCAGCTTATTAAAACATTTAATAAATGAATAAAGTTTACATTTACATCAGCCAGGAATCAGTCCTCCAGCATGCAGGGAATTCCCCCACTGAAATATCAACCAGGAAGAGTAACCACCCCAGGAGGCAGGAATTATGAAGCTGTGATTCATTAATAATTAACCAACAGATTTAACCATGGAGAAAAAAGAATATTTATGTAGCTGGTCCTTCATATAAAGCTGTCAAGAGTTTGTTTCTACTTCTGTTAAGACATTTATTGTATCTTTACAGTTTATTATAAATTCATTGGTGTCCTGATCTCACTTTGAGATGGTAAGCTCCCTGAAGACAAACCATTTTTTCCCTTCTCTCTTGATCTTTTCATGCTGTCTAGCACAACCTAGTATTTGCTATATGCTCAAGAACTACATGTGGCATATTTTTAAATAACATTTTTATTTTGGTATATTTCGGATTTACTGAAAAGTTGTAAAGATTGTACAGAGAGTTGCTATACACTCTTCACTGTTTTCTTAGTTGTCACTTCACACAACCTTCATATATTTGTCAAAACTAACAACTTGACATTGTTTCTAAATTAACTAAACTACAGAGTTTAATCAGATGTCATTAACTTTTCCACTAATGCGCTTTTCTGTTCTAAGATCCAATCTAGGATACCACAATACACAGTATGTGTAGCATTTTACTTTGAAGACAGTTTATTACTTTAACTGTCTAAATGTGGTAAGAAAGGAATCATATATATATCTATATAGAGAGAGACAGAGAGAGAGCGAGAGACAGTTTTTATGTATAATAATAACATTAAAAATAGCCAGGATTTACTAAGTTCTTACTATGCACCAGACACAATTCTAAGAAGTTTATATTTATTATGCCATTTTTTTTTCCTAACAAATACTCTATGAGGCAGGTGCTATTAGTAGCTCTGTTTTATGCATAGGAAAAGGAATGCAGCCTTCATGTGCGTTAGCTTGTAGGAGCCGTGATTCAAACCCAGTCAGACCCTCATGTGCCCTATCTAAATGCAGTATTTTAGAATCAGCTGCAAAGATGTGAAAGGAGTATTAGGTGGCTTAAAAAAATTTTTAACTAGTGTGTTATGGTGAAGGGTAAGACTGGAATAGTTGCTGTTCTTTTCAGACTTATTTTTCAGGGCTTCTGTTTTTCCATTCACCTCCTGCAAATGGAGGAAGGGCAGCATGCAGAGGCTGTGAGACTTTTGCTAAAAGAGAACTGAAGGTCCTGACACCTCATCTCAAACTTCTTCCGGTCTCATGTACTAGAGTGTCACATCCAAGCCTGGGATATAAATGATAAGTGAATGCGGTTGATTGTCATTTTTCCCCATGCTAAACCTCACCCAAGTGCTCTCACACTGAAAGAGCAGAGGTGTTGAAAGAAAGAATGGAGGAGAACTGGCAGAGCACCATGGCGAGGCTCAAAGGGCAGGCTGGCATCTCCCTGGCACAGGATGTTCCCAGTTATAGCTACTCGAGCTCCATTTAATTTACAATGGGGAGACTAATAAAATATTAGCAATGAACAATAAATCCCCAAAATGCTCAGAACTATTGTCCTTTGAACTCACAATTTTTCTCTTTCTTCTTACTATTCAACGCAATGTTTGAGAGAACCACTTTTCATTTGAAAATTCCTGTTGTAAGCATAGAGATTTATTATCATAGGTTTATAGTTATGGTTAGTGGCTAATAAATTATTGCATAAACAGGCCCTCTTTTTTTTTTATTAAGTATGGTAGCAGGGCCAAGAGTCAAAAGGAGAATGAGAGGCTGCAAAAATAGCTCATCACGAGATCTCTCCATCCATTCATTACTCATTCAACAAAAAAATGCTGTGTCCCTGTATGTGCCAGGCACTAAGCCATGTTCTCTATGTAGAAGAGAAGCTATATATGAGACTAAATCATCAGTCTAGTGTTATAGTTCCTATTTAAGAAATATCTACGTACATGGCTTTACAAATTGCCCATCACTACCCATAAGTGGTACTTAAACTAATTCTACAGCTTGCAGACAGCAATACATGAAATGGAACAGAGTAATGTTCAAAGTATCTGAGTCCATCACACACACTAAATCAAAATATTCTTTCATGAAACTTTCATTTCAGTAACATATGGGTTGTATGTGTGTGAGAAAGAGAGAAGGAGAGAGAGAGAAACAGGAATATATTTCTTACCATTGATTTTAGTCAAAGAAGTTTCAATGCCATTGTTCAGTTGGGAAACAAATGTGGAAGTGGGAAATTCCTCCTGAAGTGGGAGGAGGAAAACAGGAAGATTCTCCATGATGCTTGAGTTGAGTCTTGAATAACAGTTTTTTACCAGGTGGATTATATGATGAAGGATGCGCTAAACTAACAACAGAAGAATGGGATAGGCACAGGAAGGCCCAACAGCTTGTGATATTATGAGCACTACGAGTTCTGCCTTTCTCCTGGTATTTGAGAGCTATGGAGCTTATGCACTGTCAGAGGGCCAGAGAGAATTACTACCCTGTGTGTGCCTGAGAGCAGAACTTCTCAAATTTAATGTGCACAGGAATCACCTGGGGATGTTGTTAAAATGTGCAATCTGATTCAGGAGGTCTGGGATGGGTCCTGACACTGCATTCTAACAAGTTCCCGGGTGATGTTGATGCTGCTTATCCAGGGACTATGCCTTGAGAATCAAGGCCTATTCTTAGAGAATGAGGAGGCATTGTTTCCAGTGTTCTCATTTTATCCAGGACTATATATGATCCCTGTGATCTGCCTAGATGTAGGCAGTCTTCTGGTGTGTGGAAATGCAGGGAGTTGCAGAACCAGGTAAAATGCTGTCTAACAGTCATTGAATACTATCATCTGGCAGGTGCTGTTTTAGGTCCATTATGGTTAGGTTCTTATTGGAAAATATAACAAGCTGAAAGGTAGGCACTATTATTATTGCCATTTTATATATAAGGAAATTCAGTAACTTCCTTGAGGTCATAGGATGTGGTAGAGCAAGAATTGGAATCCCAGTCTCTTACCAGTATAGTTAACCTGTGCTGTTTGAGTGGTTAGAACTGAGAGTGCACTCAGTTCTACCTTTCTTGGCAGGGCCATTTTCCCATTGTCTTTTTAGATTTTTCTTCTACAAATGGCAGTATAAGCACTTACTAAACAAAGTGGAAATAGCACATACTTCACTAGGTTGTCTTAAGGGTTAATATAAATAGTGCATATAAAACACTCACATTACTGTCTGAGGCCTATAAAACACTGTCTTTTAGATTACATTGCTGGTCATGAGACCAGAAATGTCAGAGGTTTTAGAACCAGACTTCCTTATTCTCCTCACCCCAAACAATTCCCTAGTCTTCTTATACAGTTGTCTAGGAAAATGTCATGGCTTGGGGAATTTTTGTTGTGTATTATTTAGGATAGTTTTTACTTTGTTTTGTTTGTTTGGAATTGGCTTTTGGATTGTTTTAAGGGAGTGGAAGCAGAAGTTTCTTTTCTTATCCCGGCCAGAAAACTGTATCCCATTAAAGATATATGGCAACGGAAACTAATTGCCCCTTCTTGAAAGGTCCTAATGCCAACTCCAGACACATCCTCAGCACTCACAAAAACATATTAGACTACTAGCTGAAATGGAGTACCGGGGCTTAAATCCTATCAGATATTATGAATCCCAAACCATTAGTGGTTGCCAGTAGCCACATTCCATCACTTCTTTTCCTCTAGAAAGTATTGCCTTTAGGTAGGGGGTTCCTGTCAAAGAAACAATATTTTTTGCTCTCAGATAAATTCAAGTCTATGATGGTACATGTTAAGATTAAGTATATTGATTATTTGAAAGGTTTCCTTCTGAGATAACTTCAAATTCTTTTATATTCTTTTTTTTCCTCTGTTTTCCTTCCATGTCAAAATTTGGACAAATTATTATCAGTATTTTGCCATGTCAATCCTTAACTTGCTGTGTGCTGACAAATGTCTAATTGAGTACAAGGCTTAAAATCATTGAGCATTGCCCGAGTGAAGTTTGGCTGTGGAAAGTAAGAATGGAATGAAATAACATTTAATTTAATAAGAATGAAATGAAACTTTAACCCACCAGCCTTGGTTCTTCTTGATGTATCTTTGGGCCTGAAATGAGGTTTCAGTGTTTCTTTGCCAAGTGTGGAAAAATTTTGAGAATAACCGACTAGCAATCTTCTCACCAGGGAGCAGGTAGAACTATTTTTATTGAATTCTAGAATATTAAATTTAGGAAAAAACTGTTATAGATTATATAAATCACTTATCTTCCCCAGTATTTTACAAATGAGAAAACTGAGGCCCAGAGAATTTAGCCCATTGTCACACAGCTAATTAATTGATGGCCAAGGAAAACTAGACATTTGGGTCTCTTTTCCACTTTATCAGCAGCCATTTTATTTATGCCACTTATTCTATGTTTATCCCTATATTATTATACTAGATATACTAGGGAAGGTGGTTACAATTGCTCTAAAATTGAAACTACAGATGGTGTAATGTTTCCAAAATTCAGGTAAGAAAATATCAGAGGTTAGGGTACAGCATTCTGGGTGATCTATTCCTGAAATGTGGACCTCTGAGCTGCAAGTCTGGGGCAGCTCTTGAATGTACAATTGAAGGGAGGAAAGGTTTCATTGGAACACAAGTAGTCTTCTTGGAGTGGCAACTTTCTCTTTCCATCACATGACCAGTAGCCACTGTGTGTATGTGTGTGTGTGTGTGTGTGTGTGTGTGTTAGGGGAGGGAGGAGAACTAAGGCAAGTCCCTGTTGCTGGCACAGCCCAGCCTCACCAAGAAGTCACAGTGCTCCCATCTTCCCCAGTTCCAAGTTGGGTGGGACCCAGTCACATTTCCCATGGATGTCCGTGTAGGCCATCTGAAATGCTATTTCAGAGACAGAGTGTTCTAAATCAGGTTTGTGTTTTGGCAGAGGAATGGAACCCTCTTTTCTAATATTACTTCTGTGGGAAAGTGTTTTCTGAGATCCAAACAACTCAACTTACAAATGCATTTTTGGAATATGACCCATTTGTATGCTGAGGACTGCTTGTTCCAGGGGGAAAACAACTTCCCATATACAGCTTGGTGGAACCAACTGCAGGCATTTCTTATGTTGATATTATTCAAAGAATATTATATAATGTGCCTGAAATGTGAAGCACATTCAGGCTTTCTTCCAGGTAGGGTTGGTTACGAGGTAAGCAGCTCTCCTATGAGGTAGGATTTAAGGATGAGATGAGTCCCTCCTTTCCCATTGATGCCCTCAGCTTGGTCTTATCAAGCTCTCTGATATTGTAAGTGTGAATTAAGGTGGGAGTTTTATGTGAGCTGAATCAGTATGTTGGGCACAACTTTTTCTTAAACCCAGGTTCTTATTTCTGTTTTGACTACTAAAAATACAGATTCACAGGTCCTACTCCTAAAGACTTTCAGGGAAGTGAGAGATAGGATTTAGTAACCTGTATATTTTAAACTTCTTGAGAAAAATTGGTAAAGTTGCTTCTGAGGCAAGATATAATATTTACTGATTCACTAATCATTAATTTAATTATTCATTCTTTCCTCATATACCAAGGTGTGTTTATTGCAACGTAGGTACTGGGTACCAGGCATAGAAAGATGAGAAAAGTACATGCATAGTAAGAGAAGAAAGTGATGTAGGGACTACTGATACTGTTTGGTGAAATTTGGGAGATTGGCATCACACGGAAGTCTTCACAGAGGCATTTATTTATACACGAAGTAACAGCTGAGTCATAGAATGACTAAATTCTTAAGCTAGATAGCCTGGATTCAAAGCTCAGCTCTACCACTTCCCAACTTAGAACCATTGTCAAGTTGCTTAGCTTTCTGTGTCTCAGTTTTCTCATCTGTAAAATGGGGCAATCTTAGTACCTACCTCAGAGAGCTGCCATGAAGATTAAATGTGCTGATGTAGCTCAGGTTTTTAGAAAAGTGAGCTCAAGCTTCAGCGCACATCAGAATCTCCTGGAACTCTTGTTAATTAACATAGGTTTCTGGGTCACCACCCCGAGTTTCTGATTCAATAGATAGAGGGTGGAACTGAGAATTTGCATTTCTAAAAATTTCCCAGGCAGAGGGAAATGCCAGTGCATGGCATGGAAGTGAAAGCTGGGGACAGAAGAGAGAGAAACTGACAGAGAGACAGGATGGACAGTGGCCACCAGACTATAAAGAGCCTTGTCCCATTTAAGTGTAGATGTTATCCAAGAGTAACCAGAGATCCTATTATCAGCCATTAGCACCTTCGCTGAAATTAAGTTATCAGAGTATTCTGTCAATGTGTCAAACCCTGGAGAAATCTGACTCATGCCTCAATTTTGATGGCCCCAATAGATCAGTGTTTCTTCTTTGGAGAATCAACCCACACCAATGAGTCACAGGCACCTGCGGGTGCTCAGTCGTCCAGGCCCCTGTGGCGGGACCTGTGGATTGGATCAGTGATCACACCTGGAATTGCCCATGAGCATCTGCATCCTCATATTCCCCACTCCCCAAATGCACATTGCTTTTATTTGCAGACTTTAAAAAATACAGCACTGGGAGGCTTAGAATGTTGTCTAAGAATGTTATCTCTATATAAATATTTTCCACACTACAAACTGGAAAAAACTTATTTATGTACATATTTTTTACTCCATAGACTGTCAGAAGAATATTAAAAACAAAACACATCCCATCCATCTTTTTGCTTTTTTTTTTTTTTTGTTATTTTTCTCCTTTTGGGCAAACCAAGTAATTAATGAGTTTTAGTTTAACAGATAATTCCTGAATTGCAGTTCCTTGTGCACGCCTGTGTCGGTGTAAGAAATGCAGATAACTTAGCTGCCCTGTGGCTGTTTTCATGCCTGTCATTCTACCAGCACTTTGTACAACTTTACACACTCCAGACACACCAAACCCAAGGAAGATCCAATATGGGTGGCAGTGGCTTTCATCCTGGGGCCACTATGAAGGCAGGTTTGACTACTTGGGGCATGACATGTGGTAACAAAAGGAAAAAGAGAAATCAGAGACAGGCAGTTTTCCTCTGGCATCTGAACAATAATATGGATGTGTCATGACAAAAGGAACAGGGGGAGTCACAAGGAGGAGAACTGCTCTTACTGTTACATCAAAATTGAAGAAGTAGGAGGAGGCTGGAGGTGGAGAGAAATCATATAATAGGAGAAAGTTCTCTGGTGGGTAGAATTTATAGACAGAAAACCCACTGACTGTGGCATCACTACCAATAATAGTTTTAGCCTTACTTCATCCCTCTTGCCTTATAGATAAGATTTATTAACATACTTAAGCAAAGAATTACCCCTGCTTCTACAGCATCTAATCTAGAGCAAAGCACTGCTTCCTTGAGCTCTCCCAAAAATCACTTTAGACACGTTCAAATCCTATAAGTCCTTTCTAACATCCTCTTCCTGTGTGATACTTCAGTAGCTCCATGGTGTGTGTTTACTCTCATTACAATGAGCAACAAACCCAAATTACTCAACTACAGGTATTTTCTTGATGGCCTTTGACTGGAGGACATTGACACTAGAAATTCTTGAGCTATTAGAGACAGACTCAGTTATTTTGACCTTATTTTTTTCAATGAGTATGTGGGTTATTTTCCCACTCCCACCTCCCCCAGCCCAGGAAAGTCTTTAGAGCAATTAAGAGCAACCAAAACTTGTCCATAGGATCACTCACTCTGTTCCCTGACTCAGTGAGCCCTCCTCACTTCTCTACTCTACTCTAAATGCTACCAAGAAAAACTAAAACAAATTAACTTAGAATGTTTTGAGAAGTGCTTCTTCCCTCATTTTCAATTTCACAACTTGACATGAAATATTGTAAACCTAGAATAAATATACATGACAGCCTCTACTTTCAGATCAGAAATCTGGACTACTCCAGTTTATTTTAATTTTAAACCCAGCCCATTTTTATTTTTGCCACTGCAAGGCATGGAACTGTTGCATTAAAAATGTATCTTTTTCATATAACATTACAACACATCTAAATCTATAAGGAATATTCTGAAGTTCATATATGCTACACAGTATTTTTCTAGTGGTAAATGTGGACCAGCTTGATGCAGGAAAAAAGAACAGCTACTTGATTGAAACTCAGAAGACTTGGGGATTTTTAGTCTGAGTTTTCCACAAACCATCACTTTGACCTTGGAAAAGCCATGTTTTCTAAGCCTAAATTCTCCATCATCCATTAAAAATTTATTGAAAATCTGCTCTATTATGCATGATATTAGGATAAGTTGCTAGCTCTATTCCTTAAGTAGTTTGCAAATAATATAATGTGACATACATTGTATAGAAGAAGCATGTTTTTAAAAAGTACTACAGGAGCACTGAAAAGGAAGGCTTAATTCACTCTGCATGGTTGCTAAAAATGGCTGTATTTTCTTATACACAGGAGAACCTATGGTCTCAAACCAGGCTACTTAGGGTCCACTCTGACTCAACTTACCAGGGCTGGGCAATCTATCTGTGTCTTGGTTTCCTGATCTGTAAAGTGGTAATAATAATTGTACCTATCTCATCAGGCATTATAAGGATTACATTAATTTATACGTACAAACTGCAGAGAACAGTGATCGGCAGTTAGCATCCACTCAAAAAACATGTTTAATGTTGTGATTATTTCTAGTTACAGTGCTAGATAATCTGTACATTTCCTCACAGATTCAAACTTCATAATTTTTCCTAGTGTGATAGCAAATAGTCTAAAGTTCTTTCTTTGAATATGTGAGTATGGATCTTTGGAAAATATGAAATCTTTCCTGATTTTCTATACATATGTTAGTAACCTTACTTAAAATAGTTTATAAGCTACCCTGAAGGAAGTTGAGATTTCTTAGCTAACCAGTAAGATCTATAACAAGGATCCATGTCACCCAACTTCAGGCTAGGAGACCTCACATATAACATGGAAAAGACATAGAAAACCCCACAGGCAAGTACAGTGAAGCCATAGCTTATTGCTTGGGTCCTATGCCATGAAGAGGATCAAACATATTAGTCTTCTGGTTACGAGGAAAAAATATGGAAGCTTCAGGGTCCTTATTTCTAAAATAGGGATAATATATATTTCTAAGATCATTGTAAAGATTTAGAGAGAATATTTTCAAAATCAGCCAGTGTGGCATTCGATACATAGTAACATTTTAAAAGTCTGAAATGTTAACTCTAAGAAATAATTGTAGTTCTATTAATTACAAGTAAAACACAGAGTTGCAAATATACATTGAGCATGAGAATTCACTCGAGTTTTCTGACAAGTAGAGCAAAGAGGGAAACAGAAGTTTCATATTCTTGTAGTCAGAAAAGTTAAAATGTCAGAAATTTCTCATATGACCTCCAAGATCCCTTCTTATTTCTGAGATTTTATAAAAACAGGTGTAATAACATCCGAAACTCAGAATCTTAATAGGATTAAATAAAATCATATTTGTGAATGAAAAAAAAAGAAATCTTTCAAGGGTCATAAAGTGACTTTTAATAAAGCCTACACTTGATGAATTGAATTTTTCTCTAAGTCAAGAACAACAAAGCAGGCAAATGTACAAGGGATATATTTCACTCAAAATTCTAAGCTCCATAAGAGCAAACATGTTGTCTTATCCATTGCTATATCCCTAGCACCTACAGCAGTACCTAACACATAGTGGATACTCAACAAATATTTGTTGAATGAATAAATGAATGTTTGGCACATAAAGACAAGTACTTTTTTTTTTTTTTTTTTTTTTTTTTGAGACGGAGTCTCGCTCTGTCGCCCAGGCTGGAGTGCAATGGCACTATCTGGGCTCACTGCAACCTCTGCCTCCTGGGTTCAAGCGATTTTCCTGCCTCAGCCTCCCGAGTAGGTGGGATTATGGGCGCGCGCCACCACACGCCCAGCTAATTTTTGTATTTTTAGTAGAAACAGGGTTTCACCATGTTGGCCAGGATGATCTCCATCTCTTGACATCATGATCCGCCCACCTCAGCCTCCCAAAGAGCTGGGATTACAGGCATGAGCCACTACTCCCAGATGACAAGTACATATTGTAATTCTCTTCAGTTACTTGAATTATGTATAAAGAGTTCTAATTTAATAGAGTGATAATTCTCAACCTATTTTCCCCCATAGACCTAAGAGATATGATGTTCTTATATTAATAATGTCAATTAGAAAAGCATTGCGATCCAACTCAGAGCAGAATGGAAAAGGAGAAGAAGTATGGATATCATGGAAGCACATCAGAATCACAGGAGGAAATATGTATTGTGGGACAGTCCCCAGATTCTGACTGCTCAAAGTGAGCATGACTTTCGTGTGTCCTTTGACAATCACTGACAATGATGGAAGTCTCAAGTGGTGGTCCCCCGGCTCTCACCTCATTCAGTTTTATCACTGACTTAAATAAGGGTGTAGACAACATACTTAGAAAATTTGCCAATGATGCAAATCTGGATGGAATAACAAATACTTAACATACTGAAAGCAAAAATTAAGCTCTGAATGATCTCAGCTTGTGAAATTATAGGATTCATTCTACCATGAATTTTTTGTTTAAAAATTCTACTCTGCAGATAGAGACTGTGAGGTGAGTATTGGGAGAGGTCTATTGTTGTACAGCGAAGTATTTAAAAGACTGAGGGATTATAGTTGAAAGTAAATTCAACATGAATCAACTGAGTGATTTGACAGCAAAATAACCATATAGGCACTTAAGAGGAATTAATAGAAATAGTATCCAGGAGAATGGATATGATGGATCCATTTTACCCTGCTCTGATCACATACACATTCGTATTATTTATTTATTTATTTTGAGACAAGGTCTTGCTTTGTTGCCCAGGCTGGAGTGCAGTGCCATGATCTCGGCTCACTGCAGTCTCAACCCCCTGGGCTCAAGTGATTCTCTCACCTCAGCCTCCCAAGTAGCTAGGACTACAGGCACCCACCACCATGCCCGACTAATTTTTGTATTTTTGTAAAGACATGGTTTTGCCATGTTGCTTAGGCTGGTCTCGAGCTCCTGAGCTCAAGTGATCTGCCCGCCTCGGCCTCCTAAAGTGCTGGAATTACAGGTGTGTGCCACCATGCCTGGCCCTCTTATTTAAAGTCTCTTCTCTCATCTCTTTTCTCTTCTTTCTCTTGCAGGAAGGCAGCATTATATGTGTTGGGCAGAGGAGAGGAGGTCATCAGAGAAAGGATGGTCCAGTAGGAGTTGAGGCTTGTACAAAGAGGGTGCCTGAGTAGGGCAAGGCCCAAAAAAGATTGGAAAAATAAATTTATTGAGGATGATAGGAGCCATGTTTTCCCATTGTTAGAGAAAAGAGGTGTACATTGGAAAGGGGAAAAACTAGAATAAACCCTATGGTGATGGGTTGGAATTGCAGGATTATTGCAAACTCATGGTTTTCAATATATAAAAATAGACATAGAAATAAAGAAGTAAATTTGTATACATATATATGTATAAAATATGTATGCGACGGAAAAGATAACTCACAGAATGGGAGAAAATATTTGTAAATCATATATTTGAGACAAGTTAATATCCAAAATTCCTAAAGGACTCTTACAACCCTACACGAAAAAGACAGACCAATTAAAACATAAGCAAAAGCCAAAAAAATTAAATACTTAGGCATAAATTCAATAAAATATTTACAATATCTCTGTAAGTGAACTTACAAAGCTCTAATAAAAGGAATCAGAGAAGAACTAAATAAATGGAGGGATATCCCATATTTATATATAGGAAGACTCAGTGTGCTCAAGATGTCAGTTATTCCCACCTTGATCTGTAGATTAAATGGCATCCCAGTCTAAATGGCATTATTTTGTGGATGTTGACAAAATGATTCTAGAGTTTATATGGGAAGGCAAAAGATCTGGAGTAGTCAATAAAATATTGAAGGAGAAGAACAATGTCAGAGGACCAAACCAGCTTGACTTTAAGATTTATTGTAAAGCTACAGTAATCAAGAGAGTGTGGTCTGAGTGAAAGGACAAACAAATACATCAGTGGAACAGAATACAGAGCCCAGAAATAGACCCACACAAATATATAGTCAACTTATCTTTGATGAAGGCCAAACACAATACAACAGAGAAAAGATCATCTTTTCAATATATAGTTCTGGAACAAGAGGATACCCGCATGCAGGAAAAAAAAGAGAATCCAGGCACAGACCTTATAACCTTCAAGAAAATTAACTCACAATAGAGAATAGACCAAGATATAAAATTCTAAACCATAAAACTCCTAGAAGATAACATGGAAGAAAATCTAGATAACCTTGGGTTTGGTGATAACTTTTTAGAAACAGTGCAAAAGGTAAAATCTATAAAAAATTGATAAGCTGGACTTTATTAAAAATAAAAACAGGTGGGGCACAGTGGCTCACGCCTGTAATCCCAGCACTTTGGGAGGCTGAGGCGGGTGAACCACGAGGTCAGGAGTTCAAGACCAGCCTTGCCAATATGGTGGAACATTGTCTCTACTAAAAATACAAAAATTAGCCAGGCGCAGTGGTGCGTGCCTGTAGTCCCAGCTACTTGGGAGGCTGAGGCAGAAGAATTGCTTGAACCCAGAAGGCGGAGGTTGCAGTGAGCCAAGATCATGCCACTGCACTCCAGCCTGGGTGACAAAGCGAGATTCCACCTCAAAAAAATAATAAGTAAATAACTAAAAACTGCTCTGCGAAAGACACTGTCAAGAGAATGAGAAGACAAGTACCAGGTAGGAGAAAATATTTATAAAAGACATATCTAATAAAGAACTCTTATTCAAAATACAAAAATAACTCTTACCAATAGAAAACAAGAAAAGCAACATAAGAAAATAATCTGATTAAAAAATGGGCAAAAGATCTGAACTGACGCCTCACCAAAGAAGATGGCAAATAAGGCACCGCAAATGGCTTTAAGCATATAAGTTTGACAAATGGCAAATAAGCATATAAAAATTCTCAACATCATGTCAATAGGCAGCTACAAATCAAAATAATGAGATGCCAATTAGAATGGTGGAAATCCCAAACACTGTCAACACCAAATGCTGGTGAGGATGTGGAGTAACAGGAAGTCTCATTCATTGCTGGTGGCAATGCAAAATGGTATAGCCCCTTCAGCAGAGTTTGTCAGTTTCTTACAAAATTAAACCTACTATATGATCTATCAATCACACTCTTTGATATTTACCCAAACAAGTTGAAAGCTTACATTCACACAAAAACTTGCACATGAATACTTAGAGCAACTTTTTACTTATTGTCAAAACTTGGAAGCAATCAAGTTGTCCTCCAACAGGTGAATGAACAAATAAACTGTGGTATATCCAGACAATGAAATATTATTCAGTGCTAAAAAGAAATGAGTTATTTGAGCCATGAAAAGACAGGGAAACTTACATCCATATTAAGTGAAAGAAGCCAATCTGAAATGACATTCACTTATATGACATTCTGGAAAAGGCAAAACTATGGGGACAATTAGAAATTCAGTGGTTGCCAGAGCTTAGTGGGGAGGATAGAATGAATAGGCAGAGCACAGAGGAGTTTTAAGGCAGTGAAGCTATTCTGTGTGAAACTATAATGGTGGATATAGGTCATTATACACTTGTCTAAACTCAAAAAAGTACACCACCAAGAGTGGATCTGTAAACTACGGACTTTGGTTGATAATGTTGTGTTCATGTAGCTTTATTCATTGTATTACTCCTGTGTCAGACTTTGATAGTCAGGGAGACTATGCATATGTGGGGGCAGGCAGTATATGGGAGTTTTCTGTTCTTTCTGCTCAACTTTCCTGTGAACCTAAAAGTTTATATTTATAATGTCACATACAACCATTGAGAGGCAGTCTAGTCTAGTGGGGACTCCAAAGCCAGGTTGTCTAGGTGTGAATTCAGCTTTCCACTTGTTAGCTTCAGCAAGTCATTTATTTAATCTTTCTGTGCTTTCTTTACTATAGGTTAATTATAGTACCTATCTAATAGAGTTGCCATGAAAGTGAAATGAATTAATGTATAAAAATTCATTGGCTTGGAGCGTGGCATATACTAAATGCTCAATAAATGTTAGCAAACCAAAATTCTGATCTTATTTACCACCATCCTTAACATTAGCTACCCTTTAGCCTCACTCCTGCTCTCCAAAATCCTCTTCAAGCTCAGACCCCATCCCATAAACTCTTTTTCTCTCTGTATTTTCTTCTTGCCATTAACATTTGTTTTGCTAGTAACATTTTGTTCTTCTCAAGGTAAACAACATGAGGCTGTTTGTCACTTTTCATTTTTTTCCTCATTTATTATGCTTCCTTCTTCACACAAACTGACAAACACAGAATTTCTCTTAGCAGTAGAAGGAGGAATATGTGGCTATGAGAACTCAGAAACAGCATCTAGAAAAGTAACAATATCTATATTTGGTGTTAGGAAAATGGCTATGTTGATTTTGGTAACAGCTAACATATATTGAGTATCACTGTGTGCCAGGCACTGTGCTTAGGTGTTTTACATGTATTACCTCATTTAGTTCTCAGATTAAATCCTGTGTTTTTCCAACTTTTCAAAATTTCTGCAATGAATATATTGCTTCTATAAGCTGAAAATTTTATTTGTAAATGTATATTCACAAAATAATAAATAGTCCCTGTTAAGATGAAAGTCATCAGTTTGACGAAGATTCTAGGAAGTACTCACTAATAATAAGTGAGATTTTGTTTAAAGGGTTGGGGATGCTTTACTTGGAAAGAAAGGGGATCCTGGAGTGCATTAGACATGCTAGCTATTTTTACATATTTTAAAGATAGTTAGAAGAGGAATTTGACTTGGTTTCTTTGGCTTCAAAAAGTAAGGGAGAACTAATGATTAAAGGGAGGCAAGTTTTTGCTCAACTTAAGAATGCCCTTTCAGACAATTCTAACCCAAATGGCAATTATCTAAATCAACGACTAATTACAGATTTATGCATCCAGGGGAAGGCTGAACGAGGGGAAGCCTAAGGTCATTTTCAATTCTGAAATTGTGTTTATGTTAATGCAGATTAATCAGAGAGAAGAGCCAACGTCTCGTCTACCTTTTTTTGTTGAAAACAAACAAAACGTGATTGTATGTCAACTTTGGAAAAAAACAACGTAGTGTGGGTAAGTGAAGAATGATTGTGAATGGACTGCTTCAGTGCAATCGTAATATTGTTATCAGAAAATCAAAAGGCATAAAAAGCAAAAAGAAAACGGCTTATTTATGCAGCAATTCGAAAGATGACAGAACACAAACCTGATTTAAATGTTATTCACTCCCTCCCTCAGATTGGTCTGCACACCTCCTTCCTTTAATTTCCCGCACTCTCCTATGATCTTTTGCATAATTCACATTCTCTTGCCATGAGACTCAGTCCTGTTCCTATCTGTGCCACCCGTAAGCCACAGGCTTCCTTACCCATTTGAGTTGCTTTATTCCGTAAAGCAGAGACTTCTACTGGGGTTAACTTTGTTGAGCAACAGATCTACCCTAGATTGCGATTCACCTTCAGTCCCGTTTGCTGTAGGATACCAACCTCCCACTCACTGTGTCATGGCTCTCACACAATAGGATTCCTTGCAGCCCGAACCCTTCTGTCCTCAGGTCTGATGGCTGCAAATCCTGGCAAAGCTGTGAAGCCCGCGCAGGGCACCCTCAGCGGCCTGGGCTGGGCCGGGCGCAGGGCTCCAGCCAGAGGGCGCCAGCGCCCACCAAGCGCAGAAGCCCGGGAGGACCATCCAGGGGCTCCCCGACATTTCCTCAGTTAGCCAGAGTCGGGGGGCTCAGACATCTGGTAAGAAGAGTCTTTCTCCCAGTACTCCCCCACCACAGTTTGCTTCTCTGACCATTTCTTCTGGGCTGTCGCTGCCCCCTCACCCTCAGCTTAGTATGGGACCCCGAGGAGCCTCTTCCCGCTGAGGCCGGGACTCCTGCAGCCAGGCTCCCACGCCAGGTGCCCGGAGGCTCCTGCGCCCTCCCGGGCACCTGAAGTGGAAAGGAGGGGGTGCGGGGCTGAGGGCAGGGTGAGAGCCCCGGAGGTGCGGTGGGTAGGGGACTGGGGAGGGCGCCGGGTCAGGAGGGAGGAGATGAGAAGAGGCCAGACAGGGGCTTTCGGTTTCCCTGGGTCTGATTGGAGGTTGGCCCGATGAGTCGGAGCTGGGGACGCGCCCATCTCCGCCGGCTCCTGCGAGAGCCGCCGGCTCAGCCCCTCCCTGGAGCCGCTTTGTCCCGGGTGACGGCGGCGGAGGTTGCGGGGAGGAGCGGGCAGCAGGCAGAATCCCACTGACCCACGGCGGCAGAGAGAGGGAGGCGGGGCGCGCCGCGCCGCGTACGGCCCCACGCAAAGGCCCGCGGGCACCGCGCCGCCCCCACGCGCTCGCACCGGCGGGCAGGTGAGCAGGCAGCGCCGCGCGCTAGCAGCTGGCCCCCGTAGACGCCCCAGCCGCCGCCTCCGCCTCCGCCTCCGCCGGCGCATCGCGGACGCCCAGCAGGTCGGTTATGTAACCGCGCCGGCCAGGCTCGCCCAGGCACCCCGTCCCGCCGGGGCTGACAGCAGCCCCGGGGTCGTGCCGGGGGTCCGCGGCGGGGATCTGGTCTCCGGGCCGGGTCTGGGTGCAGGGCGGGGGCGGGGGCGGGGGCGGGGGCGGTGGCGGGGGTGGGGGCAGTGGCGGGGGTGGGGTTTGTCTCCAGATCTGTGGTCAGTCCCGGCTGCGGCCGTGGGGACGGAGATCTCCCGCGACCCCCCTCTAGGGGGCGCGGGTCCAAAGGAGCCCCTTCCCCACTGCCCGTGGCCCGGGGGTTTGCCTTCCTGGAAGCAGCAGCAGGTGCATAAGTGAAGGAGCGAGGATGACGCCTGTGATCCCCGGGACTGAGGCTTAGAGAGGGTCTAGAAGAGACTAACTGGATGCAGAGAGCAAAGAAGATCGAGAGATCCCTTCTTCCCAATGCAGAGGCTGGGGAGGGGGTAGGTGCACTGAGGTGCAGCGGGCTGAGAATTGTCCTGCTTGGGATTAGCGGCCTTGGGTCATCTAAAAATAACTTCAAGTTTGAAAAGTGAAATGGAGCGGAGCGCAGTGTGCCGGGTTCGTCCTGCCTGTGGGATGCTTCGCTCCAGAAGTCACCAGAGGGAACAGGCAAATCCCAGCCGCCTGATCCCTCGGCCGCCTCCAGGTCTCGCTGGTTTCCAGGGTGCCTCGGTTTGCCTTTTAGTTAATGATTTATTCTTCGAGGTACTTCTGCCTATTTCTTATCCCAAAATGAATTATAGCAGAATGCATGCTTTGAATCTTTCCTGTTTCTTACAATGGGATAGAGGTGTTCAACTGCCAAATGAAGTTTTTTTAAGTCTCAGTTTAGTAAAAACAAAAGTTTCTGGGGTTCCTTTAATATGCATTCCCACAGTTTTCCACAATTGGAGATGAAGGGATGTCACAGCATTCCAGCTCACACTTCTCTCTCCCTTCAGCCAGAATTTCACTCAACTTATCATGCAGAGGGGAGGCTTTAGGAAATGTAGGACAACTTTAACAGTGCAACTCAAGTTTCACACCTTTGTTATCCTTTATTACATCACTTCAAAACGAAGAACAAATGTACCACAAGGTACCACGCAACACTTGCTAACCGGCCTCTGCATTCTGGGGGCACAGTGAAGTTGGAAATACCCAAAAGCTGGAAAGGATCAAGAGGCAGGTCAGCATTGACTGTCAACTAGGCAGGAGAGTGAGCATTTGGCTGCTTTTCAGTGTAGTCATTGATTTTCTTTAGCCTTAGAGCTATTATATTAAGTATGATCAGCCATTGAGTTCAATTAGTCTAAAATGTGAGTTGCACTTTGCATTCAAATCCACTGCAAATCAAATCAGCATTTACTGAGCATCTACTACCTGAGTCCAGTCCATAGAATTTTGTGAGGGAAAAGTGTTCTCATCTAAAGCTACATGATTCTGAGAGCTCTCAAAATGCTTAGTGTGTGCAGGTCCTCCAGAACTCACCTAAATTTGGGAGGGCATGACTCTTTCTCCAGTGATGAACGTGTAACAGACAGAAGTGGGAACTCGAGAGCTTTCTCATTTGTAAGTGCACATCACGGTGTTAAAAACCACTTGTGTAATCATTTGCAGACAGTCATACATATCACAAATTCTTTTTATTGAGACTAACATTGACAATCACCGAGGTCTCATTTTCCTATTTTACGTTCTGTAGCATCCACTCGATCAATTCAATAATTATTTGTTGAGCACCTCCTGTGTGCTTTGTAGGTCCTGTGCCAGAGGCTAAAAGAATGAGGCCCATGCCTCCCAGAAATCAATTTAGCAGAAAAGGAGAAGAAAATAAATGGTAATGATTCAACATCATGAGTGTTTAATGAAGACAGAAACAAGTTTAATGGGAGCCAACAGAAGAAAGAGTGGAGGGAATCTGGAAGAGTTTAAAGAAGAGTTTACATTTGGTCTGGATCCCAATAGGTGGTAGGAGTTGTCTAGAGAAGGGGCTGGGTATTCCACACTGAAGGAACAGCATACACACATGGCAGAAAGGTCACATTCAGAGGACACCTACATGTTCTGAGGGAAGACAGGAATGTTTAGAAAGGTTTCACTGAAGCTGGATTGTGAATATACCCTGCTAAGGAGGAGAAACCATGTGGCCCTTAATGGTAGGAATGATTTCATCTAACTTACATTTTGCAAAAGTGACTGTGGAGGTGTGAGGAGGTGGGGTTGCAAAAAGGAATGAGGAGACTTTAGACCATTGGAGTGGCACAGACCAAAACAAAACAAAAACCAGAAAACTTATGAAATGTGCCTGAACCAGATGGCCTGGAGGAAAGAGAAGAGATCTATACAGAGCCATTTCAGGGGGAGGATCGGTAGCATTGGTCACCAAGTGGATGGTGGTATGGAAGGAGAAGCTTAGATGTCTAGAGGATGGTCAGGCTTTTAACTGAGGGAGTAAATAAGAGGAGACTTGAGAAAGATGGAGAATTTTTATTTTGAACAACCAAATGAAAATGTTCAGTAGGCACTTTTATTTTCAAATGTAATTTCTTCATTTCTGGTGCTAACCTTCTACTGATCTTACTTCTCTTCATTTCTGAGACTGTGTAAGGTTGCTTTTAGAGAAGAAGGAGAGACAAACTTAATAGCAGGAAGTTGTTTCTACCTTTATCCCCAAAAGTGGTAGTATGAACTCAGTTATTTGAACTACTACTAGTGGTAACAGTGATAATAATGATAATGATAATATCTAACATTTATTCAGTGCTTACTACATACTGAACACAAGGAAGTTAGAACTGTACCTGGTTTATCACATCTGATCTTCCCACTAACCTTATGAGGCAGGCACTGTTGTTATTCTCAGATGACTGACAAGAAAACCAAGGCAAAGAGAGGATATCTTGCGTGGGTCACACAGTTTGTAAGACGTGCACCTAGAATTGAAGCCCAGGCTCTGACCAGCATTCTGAATTACCAATGTGAATTAATAGCATTAAAATAATTCTTTTTTATCCTGGAATGTGTTTTTTGCCCTAGGTTTGGATATTTTTGGCTGATGCCACAAAAGAGAACTGGACTGAGTCAGGAGTCCTGGCTTTTGACTGGGCTCTACACCTGATTTGCTGTGTGATGTTTGCAAAGTCACATCCCATCTCAGGCTTTTGTTATTTTAAATCTGTATATTCATGGAACAAGAGGTCGGTTAGATGCTCTCTAGGGAGTGTGACATTCTGAAGTCTTGCTGTTTGCTTTCTCAAATTCTCTGCTACTAGAACCATTGGTTTGGGTTAAGGTCGTACCTGTCTGGTCACTTAGAGGATAGAAATACTTCAAAGAGGATTAACACAAATGGTGGCTTCTCCTTAATAGTTTGGTGTGAACTGATCCATTTTACAGAGCTAATGGGAGTGCCTGAGGTTGGGGAAGCATGGTCCTGGAAGGGGAACCCTGCCTGCCTGGGCACTAAAGTAGAGGAATCTCCATGGTCACTTACCAGTTTCTTTTCTTTAGACATGTTGCTTTAACTCTATGAGAGTTTCCTCATGTCTGAGAAACTGGGGCAATTAATGCACATATTGTGAGATTATTGTGAGGATTGAAGCAGTACTATAAACCAGGCACCACATACAAGTCCGTCTCAGTGAAGGTGCTCAGGAAATGGAGGTCCCACCCTTTGCCGCCAGGGTAAACGACATGTAGAAAGGGAAAGGTAGAGTGTTTCTGAAGACAAAGTTTCCTACTTCATAGCTTTGATAGGGGCCACCTCTTAGTTGAGTATCATCTATTTATCTAAGAAAGAAGTGTATGTTGGTAGTATAAAAACACACAGCACATTAAATAACTTCCAAAATGTGCATCTCTGAAGTATTCATTAATAGGTTACCTTCTTAGAGATAAAGAAGCGTCAACATTCCACAACACAGAGTTTTCAATTCTTCTTTTGCCAGCTTATAAGGAGGCCAATGTTGCTGTAAATAAAGAAATAGTATTGCCAAGGTTGGTCATACTGGATTCTATTATTATGGCATAGAATAGAGAGGGGACAGAATGATTTTCTGTTCTGTGTGTGTCTGTGCACAGATATGTGCTTTGTCTTCCTGAAGAATTTTCTGCCTCTGCCTGTAAAGTGTTCACTGTTCTTGTGTCTTTTCACTTGTTACCAACTCTAGGTGTCATATATTGTAAGTTAAATTAATTAGTTGAGGAATATTTTTAAAGATGGAAGCAGCTTTAAACTCAATGGAAACTTCAAAAATCCCTTAAAAATGATAAAGTGAGTGACCATGAATGGTACTTTCCAGAAGTTAAAGAAATGCTTCCAAATACAATTCAAACTCCCTGCAGTTCAGAATGCCCACAGAAAATATTTTTTATAGTATGGATGGAAACAGCCTTATTTTCATATCTGATCTTCTATATTCAACTTACTGCAAGACAAGGGATAAAATTTTGGAATCCTAAGCTTTGGAATGTATGCATAAAAAGACATTGTAATGGTAGCTATTGGACCAAAAAAATGTATTATTTTAGAACACGGTCCTAGATTTTATCACTGTTTCTTAGTTCTTTGTGGGAATAATTGCTTTATTATATCATGTAACTGAGATTTGCCTGTTCCAAAATATTATAATTTCTCTGAAGACTCGGGCCATGCCTTAGTACTTCTCATACAGTGTTGGGAATGAAGTATAAAGAACATGGACTTGGCATGAAAAAGCCTGGATCTCAATCCTGGTGCTGTCATTTCCCTGCTATGTGACCTTGAGCTTCCCATTGACCTAACAGTCATAGGAACTGGCATTTGTTGAATGCTGCCCCTGTTCCAGATGCTTTGCTCAGCATGCTACATACGTTATCTCATTTAATCCTTACAACAACTCCACAAGGTGGGTATTATCATCACTATTTACAGAAAAGCACACCCTGAGGATCAGGGGGAATAAGCCACTCAGTGCCGGTTCTCTGAGTTGCAGTTTTCTTATCTGTACAATTAGGAAAATAATACCTTATCTCCCCACTTTACAAAGGTGTGAGGGTGATGTACTATGAGTTTGTGAATGTGCACAGAAAAATGGAATGCTCTGCACAGATGTTGAGGATGATTGTCACAATAGGGACCTACTAATAACAAGAAATCAATTATAGGTGGGCCTGGTATAGTACCATGGCTGTGAGAAGAAAGATGTCCAATGCATATAAAATACATTTATATAATGCATTAAGAATGTTGTATTTCCTTGCCCTGTTCTTTGGTACAAATAGCTTGTTTTTTGGGGGGGTAACTTATTTGTTGTCAGTACCAATGTGGGTCAGGTCAGGCCAGAGCTGATCAGGACATGGAACTGGGTCCAGCTGGTGAAGGGGGAAGGAGACTGTGGTTTGAAGAGAAGAGGTACTGCCAGAGGGGTGTTTTAGTATAAACAGAGAAGGGTGAAAGTCAAAGCCAAGGTTGAGGAAAGGATAGGCATGATGTGGAGTGCAAGAAGGAGTCATCATCAGGGTTTACATCAAGCGTGAGTGACAGGCAGAACATGGAGTCTGCTCATGAAGGCTAGAAATATTTTCCACTGTCTGCTGAGGCATGTCCACTCAGCAGGAAAACAGGGACCCTCTGCCCTGAAGTTTTAATGTTTTGTTTTTTTTCTTGGACATATGTGCTTTCTAGAAAAACTTTGGAAAACACAGGAAAGTATAAAAAGAGAGAATTAAAATAACACATATTACCATGAGCAATTGACAATTACTATAAACATATTGATGTACTTTTCACTTTTTATATGCATATTTTTATAGAAATGGAATTATAACTGTGTACAGAATTTTGCATTCTGTGCATTTCACTGAAAATTTAAAATAACTTTCATATGAAGCCAATAATCTTTTTGAATATTTTTCTCATTAGCTGCATAGCATTTCCACGCATAATTTTATCGTAATTCATTTACGCTTTCCTCTATTGTTGAACATTCAGATTGTTCCCAATTATTTAAGATATCATATATACTACCTTGATAAACATCTTTGAGCACAATTTTTTTCTATGTTTTGGATTATTTTCTTAGGACAGATTGTTAGAAGTGGGACTATTGGCTCAAACAGATAGACCTTCTTAAAGCTTTCTCTGTATACTGACATTGCTTTTAATTGTTTTTTTAGCGGGTTATACTAATGAACTTTCCCACAAGCAATGCAGGAGAATACAGATGTCACCTCTGTCCTTCTTGTAAGCACTCTTTTTGGTGAAGATAAGGGCTTGATGGTGTTAGTGCTTTCCAGAGATAGCCCCTACCCTGGAAATATTCATGCCTAACAATTGGTTCAAGGAAGTTAGGCTTTCTTTTAGGGAGTTGAAGATGAGTGGGTGGGGATCTGGTAGATTCAGCATACATGAGTGTTTGTAGGAAAGTTGATTTCTGTGGATGGCTTCTCTCCTGATGTTTCCGTTATCAGTGGCCTGGCCCATGGATACAGCAGCCTCAGTGAGACCTGACTGCTGACAGCTGTCATCACAGCCTGCTGATCTGCTAACGCGGACTTATGCTAAGTAGAATAGAACAAACTCTGCTTATGTGAGAACTGCTTCAGTTTGCTTCTTCTGGCTTCTCAATTCAGCAAAAACAGTTTATAAATCCTGAAAAGTTATCCTGGAAGATATTGACAGCAAATATGGGCACTTATTTGCATTAGTTCTGTTGTTGCTTTAGCTGGTTTTGACCAGCTCCCCTTCTGCTTTTGGGCAAGCTTCAGACAGGCAGGTCTTTGTTCACCTACTCAATGAGACACGACGCAGAGAAAACCATTTTGAATAAATCACTAAGATAACCGTTGGAATCTTCTTAAAAATCACTTAAGTGGTCATTTTTCTAATTTGATGACTATTCAAATTAGTCTTTTCAAAGAAAAAAAGGCTCTACATTTACTATTAGGCTACCATATCAATTATAGTATTTTGATTATATTGACCAATTTATTGAGGTAAACAGCCAATTTGAATTATTTTCCCCCATAAATTTGTCTGAAAGTCAGGCTAGATTAATTTAATTGATTATTTATTTTGACTTCTGTAACTGTTAAAGCTAAAAGTCCAGTATCTGGCCAAGACAAATCAATGCTCAGTTTATACTTCTCTTATGAGGTTTAATAATTTATCAAGAAAGAAATTATTTATTTGATTACAGATATCAGCACCTGAATTTTGAAATAGCAATGTAAATTCAGATAAATTAATGGTGGTTCAAACAAAATTTTATTTGCTCAACAGCAAAATTTCTTAGCCTTGACAAGTGAAAACTAATAATTCGTGAATAGGTTACTTTTGTCCTGCTGTGGGCATTAATATTTATTTGATCTTTTATGACATACAAGCAACTATTTATTTTAAAAAGTGTCACATTTTGGTCAGGAAAGATATTTAGCAACTGGCATATCACAAAATGTGTTTTTTTGGTAGCTTTTATTTTCTTATTTCTCTGTCTCTTGGTGACTTCTGTTCTGCCCATTACACTTCAAAATTTGACAAGGTAAACAAAAAAAATTTGACAAGGTGACATTTAGGTGATGCTCTGAGTTGAATTACTTACTCAGTCAGATTTTCAAAGGCTGACCTTCTGACCTTGTGTCTAAGTGCCACAACACATGAACACTGTGGGGATTCTTGGCTTGCACCCTGGATGCTGGTTTGGTTTCAGCCTCCTGAGATATCATGGGTGGGGAGAGGAGATTTCCTTCCCATTCTGTTTGTAATCACACTGGGAGGTTCAGTGTCTGTTGTTCTGGAAGGTTAAGAGGGCTATCATAGCCCCTACGTGTATGCAGACTGATTTGGAAGGGTCAGCTCCAGGTGGAGGTGAGATGGAATGGTAAACCTGAAGAGCTTCCTGTGGCTCCTCTGGATCTAAATTACCTTCATCGAGCCAACAACTACTTCCTTCAGGCTGTGTGAAAACTGCTGAGATAATTAAAGTGGAAACTAAGGACATTAAGAAACTTAGAATGTCTCTAGATGGGATCACTTATGTTCTAGTGTAATTTTCGATAGCTTACATGGGACATGGGGCAGTCCACAGTGTGCTTGTGGGGAAATCTAGGTGAGCGGTTTCCCCTGTGCTCCTTCCTACCAGACAGCTCCCAGGAAGCCATATGGCAAGCACTGAAGGGAATGACCATGTATGATTCATGGAATGACCTTTAGGGTCTCCAAAAGTAGAATGCCCAAATGTGGCAGCTCCTCATAATGCTTTCAGTTTTGTTCCTTAAAATAACCTTTAAAATCTTATGCTTATACAAAGATGACTATTTATCAAAAGACTTTTGTCTTGGGTGATAAAGATTAAACATATGCCATGCTTTTGGTGCTTTTTACCCTTCATTTAGCCTCTTCCTCTTTGCTCAACCATTATGATGTCCTCACAACCTCTCCTGGCTATTGGCTTACAGTTCAAGCCAAGGTGTGATACTATGAGAAGGTTATTTTATCTGAGTAAAACTAGAAATATCTTAATGGATATTCATGAAAACTAATCCTAGGTAATTTTATGACAGTATAACTTTCAAGGGCATATCTTTTAGGAAAGAAAATCCAAATAATAATGCAGGTTAGAGACCTTTACCTAACTGGTGTTTGGGACCCATTTCCATTTATCTGGGAGCCTGACATGGTGGATTTCCCAACAGACCACAACAGCACTCCTGCCCCATTTCCAAAAACACAATCCCAGATCATGGCAGAATCCTCCCTTTCACTGTTTAGGGACTTTACCTTTAGCCTGTTTTCATTCTTCTTCTCTCACCTCTCTCAATGATCCTAGGGCTTGAAAACAAAGAGATATTATTCCTTTTCCAAAAAAGGGGACTGGTATTCAGATGGCAGAATATATACACATAGCTAAAGCATATTAAATTTAATATCCTTTAATATTAAATTAATATTATTTTTAATATTAAAAAATGTATTAGTAATTTGAGGTCAGTTGATGAGCATCTAACCTTGGTTCTTTATCTAGAAGTGGTTCTTTATCTAGAAATGGTTCATAATCTAGTTTAGTGAGAGCTTATCTTTAAGATAACAGTTTTTTCCCCAAGTGTTTTTTACTCAGTTTTTATTATTCCTTTTTGGATCAGCCAGTCCTTTGAGTGATTTTCCAAAGTATCAAAATTATGCCTCTTCTTGCTTTTAGATTTTTTCCTATTGAGATATTTACATGCAGCCTTTATAATATCCTAATCATTGCTTAAACACACCATTCCTATACCTCTTTCTTTATCCTAGGGTTGGTTTATGCTAATATCGAGATGAAGTTATTCTCAAATTGTAGGGTTTCTGTCATTCGTATCTATTGTCAATCATGGCAATGTAAATGCTGCCAAATATATGCATTTTTTTCCTAGTTGCAAATTGACTTTTTATGGCTACTTATTAGAGAACCCCAGGAGGCCAATAGTAATAATTGAGACACAGCTGCCAGAGACCAGATATTACTTCTTCAGCTTCCTATTCTAATAAATAATGAACCACCAAGTTGTTTATAAATAAATCAAAAGTCTTTGTAACAAATAACAAACTAAGAAGCAAATGCATACAATTTTCAGATATGAAGAGTTATAGAAATGTGAGATATAATAATAATCAGAGTAAGAATTATTTTACTAATGAGAACCAATTTAGAGAACACTGCAACTATATAAAATTATAATTGGATTTTCTCCCATCTCTATTTCTTGAAATTCAAGACTTTCTTCAAATTCCATCTCTTTTGTATTTCTTCAATTCCTGAGCCCTCAAAAGAGCTATCACTCTTTGTTGAACCTGCATTTATGGCACATCCATAGATAACCTATATATCTTATTCACTCATATATTTCATTAATTCATTTACCTCTACTATGAATCAGGTGTGCTGACCACTAGGGTATAAAAACCAGTAAGACATAATCCCCATCTTTAGGGAAATTAGAGTTCAGTAGACTTTAAGTTTCTTACTTGTTTATCTACACCTCCCTGTAGACAATAAGTGCCCCCAGGGTGAAGACTGCACCTACTCATTCATCGCCATGGCCCCTGCTACACTCATCACTATGGCTTGCATATGGCGGGCACTCAGTCAGTGGTAAAATGAACTGACTATCCATCATATTTATTCTAAATAATTCGGAAACACGAACTTGAAGATATCAACACCTTCAAATGTCTTTAAAGCCTTTGTTCTCTTCACACAATTATTAACTATAAAAACAAGTGGCCGGGCGCAGTGGCTCACGCCTGTAATCCCAGCACTTTGGGAGGCCGAGGCGGGCGTATCACGAGGTCAGGAGATCCAGACCATCCTGGCTAACACAGTGAAACCCTGTCTCTACTAAAACAAAAAATTAGCCGGGTGTGGTGATGGGTGCCTGTAATCTCAGCTACTCAGGAGCCTGAGGCAAGAGAATGGCGTGAACCCAGGAGGCAGAGCTTGCAGTGAGCTGAGATCGTGCCCCTGCACTCCAGCCTGGGTGACAGATCGAAGACTCCGTCTCAAAAAAAAAAACAAGTAACTCTACATGATAAGTTTGTCTAGTTTCATTTTGCGTGGGTGAATAGGTTTCTTTTTTCCAGAATGTGACCTAGTACCACATCTCTGTGACATAACAAAGCACCAGATATGACTGAGAGCAGTGTCTGAATTTTTTATAGGCAGATGTATTAAATGCTTCTTCTGTCTGAAACTCAAATTATTTTGAAATGCTTATGTTTTGGTAAGATAGTGCATTCTTTCTTCTTTTGTGGAACTTGGATACAAAGCAACTGAACAGGAATAATTGTGGATATTTATTGAGGACCTATTAAGCACCAAGCACTGGCTAAAGACCCCACATGTTATCACATATTGTCCTCTCGACAAACCTGTGAGGTAAGTTCTGTTTTCATCCTGCTGTTCTTTAGATGAGGAAACTGAGGATCAGGAAGGTTGAGTTACTCTCCTATAATTATACTGGTAATAAGTGGGAAGCCCAGACTCACCAATGATCTCTTTGTCACCACAGCCCACCATTCCTTGTCAAAGTGGGATTTGTAAAGGCATTTGTGGGGCCCGCTTTATAATGAATAATACTGCTGCATGGTTTTGGTGCCGGAATTTGTGTTTTATATTTGCAATCCAGTTTGTCCAATGCTATTTTAGTAGCTGTGGGCTTATGGGAATGAACAATGGACTTATGTAATTTGCCTCAAGTGAAGGCTATATGACTGCATGGCACACTGGTCCAGTATGTTTAGTTTTGCTGTGGATAAAGAAATGTGGCTGGGCACAGTGGCTCACACCTGTAATCCCAGCACTTTGGGAGGCTGAGATGGGCAGATCATGAGGTTAGGAGATCAAGAACATCCTGCCCAACATGGTGAAACCCCATCGTTACTAAAAATACAAAAATTAGCCAGGCATGGAGGTGAGTGCCTGTAGTCCCAGCTACTCAGGAGGCTGAGGCAGGAGAATTGCTTGAACCCGGGAGGCAGAGGCTGCAGTGAGCTCACGCCACTGCTCTCTAGCCTGGGTGACAGAGTGAGACTCTATCTCAAAAAAAAAAAAAAAAAAAAAAGGTGAGACAGACCCTACTGCACGGCAGGTAGTGGGAGCATTCTGAATCCCAAGACACCTGTGTTGAGGTTTTCAATATCATAGCCATAATGAAAATGGAGGGTTACTTTTAGGAAAACATCATCATCTGAATATTAAGTAAATGTTCATTTGAACGGAATTGGTGTTACACTTTTGTGGGTATTTGGTTAAAACTTTTAGTTGGCATTTGATGATTTTAGAGGAGCTGAAACTATAAGAATTTTTATGTTTGTATGTATTTAAGTATCATTACAGTAAAAGCCATGTAAGTCAAAATTGGGAAAGGAAGCATTCTAAATTGTTTTTCCTGAAAAGGATGCTCTGTACTCAGTTTTTCAAAATCTAGCATACTGAATTTTTCTACAATACCTAATGAAAATCTTCGATGCAAAAAAATGATTTCACACCCATCAGGGGTCTGGCCTGCCCACTGTAAGTCTTTCTTGAGAGATAAGTCATTGATATTTCCTTTGAACCTGTAAATATTATCTGGGACAGTAAAGGTCTGACCTTGGGTGGAACTCTCCATTGCTGAGGTTCTCTAATGCACCTTCAATTGGCCCTGTCTATCAAGATGCTTGTAGATTCTTTGTCGTCCTTTGTCCTGATTCTGATAACTCACAGTTGTATGCACATCGCCAATTGTTTATAATCGTTTTCTTATCACCACCATAAAGATTTGTGAATTTGGGCTAGGAAGTAGTACCAGCCTCACTTAAGCAGAGAAGATAATGACAATATACTGGAATTTTAAAAGCTTCTGGCTTAAAAGATCTCTCAGTCTGTCCAAAATGACTACATTAGTTACTTTTGAGTAAAGAAAAAGCAGGTCCCTGTTAAATGCAGACATGGGAAGAGGAGGTAGTATCTGACAGCATATTTATCCTTAGTTCTTCGGTGTTGCTTATGACGAATTTCCAGTAAGACTTTGGAGCACTAGATCGGAGGGCAGTGAGGTCTGATGGAAAGGGAGGAGAAGCTCATTGTATAGCATGTGGACATAGACATGTGATGGGACTTATGAGTGAAGAAGGAGGAAACCAGGAAGGAAAGGCTAGCTTAAGAGCAGTGCCAATCTTGGGTAGCCCAGGGCCATATTGTAAAAGAGGGGACTTTTTTTTTCTGTGCATAATGTACTTTTCTTCTGTCATTTACAATTTCAATAAAGGTTTTCTATTTTAATAAAATATGTAGAAATGTGTTATAGGTGTTTGTTGTTGTTATTATATCACTATCATTGTTATTATTTCCCAACAGCCTGCATGATACAGAGAGATTATCACTGGGTGCATGGAGTGGGAAATTCAAAGAGCTGGGCTAGATGGGCTGTGATTTTCTTGTGAGAGATTGGGCTTTCCCTTAGTAACATTTTGACCTCAGTTTTCTAGTTTACATCATTAAAGTATTGGGCAAAATGATCACTGGAGTTGCTGCCAGCTCTTTCATTCTTTGTATATTCTAGTCTTTGCAAGAAATCATCGTAGCATCCTTGGAATATTTCATGAAAATGACCGATGGTAGTTCTGATTATTATTTTAATGCTCATCTTTCATGCAGAGCTATTCTTAGTTAAAGACTATGGGAATACTTACTTTTGTCATCTTCAGTGAGAGAGGTATTTGATAGCTTTTCAGGGCATCCTTAAGATTGAGCCACCAGCTGATCAAACATTTGCATATACTTAGAGTTAGCCATTTTATGGTAGGAGCTTTTCTGTTCCTTTCTCTGAGTTTGCTTTTAATTATACTGTCTGCCAGGGTACTTCCACCCTAGAGATGGCAAGATGGATGTGTCTTACATCCTTGCCGGGTCTTCAACTGACAGAGGGGAGAAAAGGATGGCATCGATTTTTGTAGGAATTGGTAACGACGTTATTTTTATACTTTGTTACAACTCTGAGTGTATTGTCTGGCAAATCTCTTTTCAGTAGATAATATTTGTATTAATAGGTAACTTATCTAGAACCTATTTTGTGCAAGGTATTATTTTAAACATTTTACTCATAAAATGACATCTGATCCTCATAATATCTTCCTCCACATTTGACAGATGAGGAAACTGAGGCACAAAGAAGTTAAATAGCTTGCCAAAGCCCCACAGCTGATAAGTGGCATAGCTGGAATTCAAAGCCAGGCATCAGCACACAACATCTGTGGTTTTTATACAATTTGATTCTAGCTTTTATGTGTTACCCAAAAATGTTAGACTCAATTTTATCATTTTTATAAATTGAGCCTTGAAGAGCTCACCAATAATTTTATCCTAAAAATGGATCAGCTCTTATGTTTTGCCCCTGCTTTTCTGTTTTTCACTTTTTATGTCGGGTAAATAAGCTGTTAGAAACCAACAGAGTCCATGTATCATTTAGTACCAGAGTTGGAGAGAGAGAAGGGGAGGATTCTAAAGGACATGATGAACAGCCAGATAAAGAGTTACATAGAGGGAGGTTTAGAAGGGCCCTAAATGCAGGAGCTTCTGTCCCCCTGCAAGTTGAGATGTGCCACCCTCCTGGCCCATGCTTGTATTCAGGAACCTGGAAGCAATCCAAACTCTGTTCTTTTATGTTTTTTTGGAGGATTCATCATTCAGGTATGATTGATTACATGATTGACCACTGGTGATCAACCCAACCTTCAGTTCCTTTCTTTTCCTTTGAGGTCAGAGTTGGGGGACCGAAAGTTTTAACCCTTTAATCTCACATTTGGCTCACCCTGGCAACCAGCGCCTCATCTTGCAGTTATCTAGGGGCTTTCCAAAAATCTTCTGACTGAAAGGGGCTTGCAATGAGTAAGAGAAGATATGTTCATCTTTCTTGCTGTGTAACTGCTGTAAGCTGTTTAAAAAACCTAGAACAAAAGACAAAATATTTTCACAAAAGATACTCCTATTACTCCTATCACTCTAATCATTTAGGAAATTACAAGGATTTCAGGAGCTGTGAGCCAGGAACCTTGGACAAAGACAAAAATATATGTTTCCTTTTATATCACAATATCACAGCATGATACAAAGAAACTTCCACCTTCAGGATTCTATCTAAGAGGGCTGGCACCATGTTTTGTTACTCACCACTATGTCCTTCATGACTAAGCATCTTGCATGTAACAAGCACTCATGAAGTATTATTGAAATTTTTGAATAGATTGGATGACTGTTGATAGCATTCTAATTATGTTATTAATATTCAGTGGATTATTTTTTACCTAACCATAAAAATAATGCTACCTAGCTTTATGGATTATTTGTTTCACTTCATGCATGCCAATTTACCAAAAAATATTGCCTTCATTATTTTGGCCTAGTGGGATGGAAACATCAAGATTCAGGGGGTCTTCATTCTCGTTCTGATTCTGCTGTGCTAGCTGTGAGACAGTGAGCAACTGAGCTTCAGTTTTCTACTCTGTAAAATGGGGATTATAATAACTGCCCTGGTGATCTCATAAGGCTTGTGGAGGGTCAGATGGCATAAAAGCTTAGGTGACAAAAGATGAAAGGCATTACTATTCCCAGCATCACCCACTAGTGCATTCCCATTATCTACTACCCCTTCTTCACCAGTGTTACTTAGTCCACCTACATGTTCCATCTTTGGCTTCAAATTTTAAAACAGAGTCCATGAGAATGTCTGTTAAATGAACACTGGAAAAGAGAAAGAAGACCCATTTTGGGTGATTCATGACATCACCATTTGACCCTGAAAGCTGTGAGGGCAGGGATCATGGTTGTTCAATTTGCTTTGTTTTGTTTATCAAGAGCATGGTAGACCCTCCATGATTGTTTTTTGAATGAATAAACATAACTCCTGACTTCCAGTATTAGATCATAGAGTCGAGTAGCCATTCTGTGCTCCATGAGGGTGGAAGCAGCAGTCACCATCAGATGCTGGAGAGTACAGCATTTCAACTGCTCTGCTTAACATAATACAGAAACCAACCTGTGTGGAGGGAGAGAAGTGACTATAGAGAAATAATTTCAAGTTGAAATAGCTAAAGAATATTGGAATTATAGCTTTTCTGTTTGTTTGGAAAGAATTGAAGCCTTGGAAAATCCTTCTTCACTTCCCTTCAAGTGTCTTGACATTGGAGAAGAGGGTGGAGCAGCTCATCTCCTCACAGCCTGCTCATATCTCATTTCTACAATAAGCACTTACCTCCCTCCTCCCTGCTTTGCAATGGACATAACAATTCACTGCCTACCTGAAGTTAAAAAATGGAATTGCTGCTCTGTATGGCCAATAAATTAGCCTAGAGAGCATGACTTTCACCTGCCAGAAGCTTGCTCAAGTGGGCATTTCTTGAAAACAGCAATGGCTTCTGCTGTTGAAGCAGAGGATGGCAACATGCAGCTATTAGAGGGTTTCTCCCCTCCGTAACCAATAGTCATAGAGCCCTGAGTCATGTGCAGAAGGACCTCACCTCCAACCTAATTTCCAAGTGACCAGGAATCAACAGCTGGTCATCAGCTTCCCTCTAAGATTCTTATACAGAAAAATAAAAAAACTCATTTTAATCCAGTATTTCTTAAAAATTGAAAAATTTCACAAAATACTTCAACAAATATTTGGAAATCCATAAAAATGCATACAGCAACTTCCTGATTTAGAAAAAATAATATGAGTAGTAAAGCAGTAAGACAATGTTCACCTAGAAAAAATAAGCCTTGACTTTCCCCTTGGAGTACAGTAGGGCATTGGTATATGATTTTTCTATGCCACCTGCTGCTTATGTTTCTTTCCCAGCTACTCACCCCCAATTGTGTTCAATTTATCTTTTGTTGCTCCCCTTTGGAACTGAACTTTTGAAGGCAGCGGAACTCCAATCTGGAGATCAAAGTTATTTCTTAGTCTTCAGCATCCCTAACTTTCACATAGCAATGATTCCAAAGGATTTCCTCCTTTCCCAAAACCTACTGACTATGCTATTGTGAGGAGGTTTTTCCTAATTCTCCCACTTCTCTATCCATACCTGTCTCTTCCTTTCCAAACGTACCATCACTCACTTCTTGCAGAACCTTGTTGATGGCGGCTTAGGTGGTCTTCTATCCATATGCCCCTCTCCAACTCTTAACTGAGCTGCTAGAGAATTTTGTTAATATTTATTATGATATTAATAGCACTCTGTTGCTTCAAGAATATTCCTCATTGCTGGCCTTTACCTACTGAGCTAGAAACAGATTTTATGTCATGAAAGGTACATGACAATATGGCTTCCCCCTGCCTCCCCACCGCCTCATGTGTCAGTCAGGACTCCTGTAGTTCTTTTAATATGTAGTAAGCTCTCCCCTCTGTATATATTTGCTCAATAATTTTCCTTAGCCTGGAATGTTCTCTCCAACCCCCAGCTACCCCCCACTACCCTTTCTCTAAATGTCTGCTGCATTCCTCTCTACCTATTCACCAATTCTGCCTGTTCCTGAAGCATTTCCTGATTCTTTCTCCAGCTAAATCCCTTTCTCCTTTGAGTCCCCAGAGCTCTGCCTATTCTCCTCTTCTTCTGATGTCCACCTCCATTCTGGGCCTGGGTGTCCCTGCATAATCACAGTGCCTCTCCTCCACCACCCACTCAGGATGAGTCCTTCTGTCCAACTCTGAATCATCTAAGAGGAATCAGGATAGTTTGCACATAGTAGCTTCTCAATATGTTATTTTAAAGAGAAATATGTGAGTTTATATGTAAGACTTAAAAGTTAAAATACTGTCTTTGTTTTATAAATGTACCCTCATTCCTTTCCTGAGAGTTTATATGAAGAGTGCCCCTAAAGAATAAAATGACAGAGGAAAATGGTTTAATATCCATGGATATTATTCAGACCTGAATGATAATCAGCAGCCTTTCCCTTATCCACAGTCAAAATATGTCATTGATTTATCTAATAATTATCAGGTTAAAAAAATCCCAAGTTAGTTTTGGATAATGCATAGTTTTCTCTATGAAAATACTACTGAGGTTATAAACCCACTGAGCATATACTGGACTAGCACTGCCATTGATGTGTTTCATATGGTGCTGTTATTGACATTTGGTTCCTGATGGTAATGAAAGACTCTAGTCTATTACAATTCTGATATTTTATTGGTGATTTATAGGTAATAGTTTATTGTTTAAAGAGAACAAAAAAAAATAGCACAGACAGCCAGTTAAACAATTCAGTTCACTAGACATTTACTGAATGCCTATTATATGCTAGGTATGAGATAGGGGTGTGTGTTTGTGTGTGCATGTGTCTGTATGTGTGTGATGCCATTCTTGATATTAAGAAGCTATAAGGTAGAGTCATAATTGATTATCATGGAGGATCAAACAGTATACCGTAAGATATTGTATGTGGCAAAAGAAAGGAGAGAAAAGCATTGGTATGCTTTAAGAGTTTGCAAATTAATAAGAGACCACATAAATGTGTATATGTACATTTAAACATGATTTATAGAAACAGACAGACATACATGCATATAACTAATCAAACTGTCCTGAAACATGACTTCTAAAAGTTCAGGGCTGTGGACCCCAGGAAAATCACATTGTCACTTAAATTAAAAACTACATTTATCTGGAAAGCAAGATTTGGGGCTTAAGCTTGGTATTCTGAGTTAGTCCCATGAAGGGACTTTTTCTCGCTCTGAGCTACCAGAAGCCAACCTAAGTAGCTCTTCTCTGGGTGAAAATCCCTAGATCTTGTTACTTCAGAAAAAGTTCCAGTGTTCCTGTACTCTCTTTCCCAGACTGACTGGCTTAACTCAGTTGGTATGTCCTCCAAGTTCCTTCTTCTTTCAAGACTTATATGTCTTAGAATCTAAGACTAAGATTGAGTTTTGATTCCCCAATCATTCAAGAAATTCTACTTAGTCTGTACTAGATACTTGGTACAATGTTGAGTTCTAGAGATACAATGTGAACAAGGTAGACAATCTGCATTTGCAGGTTGGAAAGAGAGGCAGCTACACAATTACAGTACAGCAATTGTGTCTTTCTCCATTATGATGGAGAAAGACAGCATCATGGGGGATTTATCCTGGAGTTAAACATCTTCACTGTCCTCTCCGTTGCCTGGCTGAGCACAGGGGAATGGGATGCGGAGAGTCACAGAGAGATTTGACAGAGATTAAACTAACACAGGCACTACAAAGGGACTATTGCTCAACTTTATTAGTCTTAGTTGGGTACCTAAATATAGCGATATGTTACAGACCATTGCTATTAAAAGGAAGTCCCAATACATCCATCTTTAGAATTTATATGTGTGCTTTTATGTCAGGAAACAATCTGTAGCCTTTTGAATATGGGTTTCCATTACATTGTTTGGAGTTTGGGATATATTTTCCTAGGAAGCATCATGAATTATGACCAGATCCCCAAGCTGGCCCAAAAGCCTGTTATATGCATGATGTACTTGATGTAAAGTACAGGAGTGTTGATTTGAGAGATCTTAAAAGCTACGTTGTTGTGGGAAAAATACTCAGAATTCCAGGTTGGAATACAAGCAAGATTATTTTTCCCTTTGTAGCCTTTAGAGTGAGAACAAGGTTTCCTGTTCTCCACCCACTTCCTTACAGAACAATGCGAGGAAGAATTCCACCAGGTGCAAGTCGCCGAGTCCTGGGATAGGTGCTCTAGGGGAGGTAGGGGCTAGCAGGTGGTAAGAGGTAAGGGGGACTGTGTGAGTGTGTGTGTGTGTGCGCACGCACCTGGTTGTTGACTGTTGAAGAAGGTTCCTATACTATTTTAAGTGCTTTACATGTATTATCTAATTGAATCCCTATAACACACCCCCTTGCAATGGTACTATTATTATTCCTCTAAAATTGTGGTGTGTTTCAGGGCTCAGGCCTTAGACCTCTTCTCTCACTAAACTCACTCATTCAGACCCATGGCTATAAGTGTCATCTATTTTATTCCCCTCTCCCCTGAACTCTGAACTCATGGCACCAACTGCTCATTACTTAGATGAATAATAGCATTCTTTATGGCATGTCCTAAACTAGACTTCTGATTTCATCCCTCTAAACTTGCTCCTGCCACAGCCTACTCCACCTTAGTAAATGGCAGTTTTGTGCTTCTAGGTCCTCAGGCCAAAATCTTGGTATTACTCTTCAATCTTCTCCTACCTCATATCCGATCCATCAGCAAATACCACGTGTACATTAAAAACACCCAGACTCAAGTTCCTACTGATTCTGTTTCTACTGCCACCTCTTTGGTCTCTATCACCATCATCTGTTACCTAGATTACTGCAATTGTTTCTTAGTAGGTTCCTACTTCTGGCCTTGTTCCATTGCTCTATTCTCCAGATAACAGCCAGATAAATTATTTTAAAACATAAGTCAGTTCCTGAAACTCCTCTGTTCAGACTCTTCCAGTGGCTTCCCATCTCAGGGTAAAATCAAAAAGTCCTCTCCAAGGCTTGTAAGGCTCCACATGTCCTGGCCATCTGCTTTTCCTCTGAACCCATCTTGTACACTCTCTCTTCCTTACCAGCCTCACCTTCTTCCTTATTGATCAGAGACATATTCCTCACCACCCCTACATAAAGTGTATAAAATAGCAAATGCTCTATACCAGAGCCACACTACACAGGTTTTGATAGGTGGGTATAAATACTCTGAAGGGTATCTGTGCCTTCTGGTGGAGTGGTGAATGAGGTGAATGAGGAGAGGTGAATTCACCAGAAGAAAAAATGAATAAAGACTGAGCCATGCACAATGAAGACAGATTTCATCCTTGCCACATCTAAGCCATGGGCAAACCATGTTTATGTGGTCAGTTAAACTTGCTTTCTTTTTAAGACTCATACCCTTATTACATTTTTAAGTGTTTCATATTTACTATTTGAAGTAATTGTACATTGTAAGTGAAAAAACAATAGTTCTATTTGGAAGAAGGAAAATAATGAAACCAGTTTTAAGAAATATAAAAAATGAGAAAAGTAAGTGAACTGGTAGAGAGAGGGTACATAGAAAACTGGCTTGATTTATTTAGTGAACATTTTTGTATGTGTCACTGACATCTGAAAGGTAGAGCTATTAAGTAACTATATAAAGAGACAAATGGCAATAGTTCCTCAAAAAGACAAGCAAGCCTAATATAATGTTTCTCATCTTTAATATCACCCCATTCCTGGTACTGAACTAGGTTTTATAAATCCAGTGGTGAACGCTGATCTCTGACATCTTAATAAGGCACTTCAATGTTGTTGGCTGTTTATCCAGTTTTATATATATGGGATGGTGCTAGGATTGGTTAGAAAAGTAGGAAGGTAAAGGGGGTCCTAGTTCTCTCCT
This sequence comes from Homo sapiens, assembly GCF_000001405.40. Lineage (NCBI taxonomy): Eukaryota > Metazoa > Chordata > Mammalia > Primates > Hominidae > Homo > Homo sapiens. The sequence goes on along the minus strand of NC_000006.12, from coordinate 46,470,288 downwards.
CTAATATAAATAGCTTCCATTGGTCTTGTTGGAATGCCAGATGGGCCCCTCATAATGTTCTAGTTGTATTTCTCAGGAGTCTGTCGGCTGCACTATCAAAAACATTGTCTTGACTATCATGGTGTCTATTGTGATGGTTTCAGTTCATTAAAGTTGTTTTAGTTCATTTTGTGCTGCTATAACAAAATATCTGAGACAATTTTTAAAATATCTGAGGCAATTTAAAAAGAAGAGAAATTAATTTTCTCACAGTTCTGAAGGCTGGGAAGTCTAAGATCAAGGTGTCCAAGATCAAGGAAGTCCAAGATCGAGGTTCGGTCGTCTGGTGAGGGTGGTTCTCTGCTTGCAAGATGGTGCCTTATTGCTGTATCCTCCACAAGGGAGGAATTCTGTGTCCTCACATGGCCAAAGGGCAAGCTAGCTGAATGCTACATGAAGCCTCTTTTGTAAGTACCTTAATCTCATTCACAAGGGGAGAAGCCCTTTTGACCTAATTACTTCTTAAAGGCCCCACCTCTGAATACCATCACATTGGCCATTAAGTTTCAACACCTACATTTAGGAGGGGACACATTCATAACATAGCACAAGCATTCCACCAGCTCTTTTGGACAAGTAGAAGGATGGTATACATCCTCTTCCCACTTCGTTTCTAGCATGGTCTTTGTTGTAAAGCAGTGTGGAGGCCAGGACAGTTAAGTTACCAGTTCTCAAAAGGTGGATTATCAGCTAAATCACCTAGCTGTTCCTACTTGTTTCCTCTACTGCCTCAATTTCTTCCCCCAAATGCTTTGTAGGTTTTCCTCAGAAATCTTACTACCCTTTGCTACCAAGACTGGTTCCATCCTCCACGAGCCCTAGCCACTGATCAGCTGCTGGAGGGGGTGAGGGATGTGGTGAACTGGTCCCAATTGCAGCAGGCCAGAAAGGACTTTATAAAGGTTTCAGTTTGTTTTTTTTCTAGGCTAGAATCTGGGTCAGCTCTTTCTTGTAAACAACACATGGCACTAGAAGTGGGAGATTAATTACGGATCATCTTGAATTGTGACTCTCTGACAATAGTGAGAGAAACTGGAAGTTATTTCCACAACTGCCCAGCCCTGTGTCAGTGTCTCAGTTGTGGCCCTTGGTTGAACAGGCCAAGGGCAGACAGCTCCATCTAGATGGGAGGTGGCAATGCAGAAGTACAATCAGCCCTGGCTTCTGTAGGAACCTGAGGGTATTACAATTGTAGATTTGAGAGAGAAACAGAGGTGTGATAGAAACCGTCTTCAATAAATGGATATAAAAAGAAGGGAAGGGTTTTAAAAGTAACCTGAAGCAGCTGGGGGCAGTGACTTACTTTCAGATCAAGAGCAAATTGTGCTAACAAGTAAAGTTAAGGAGGAGAGAATGAAAACACTCAGCCTTCCGGATTTAACACAGCTGGAGACAATGAGAATCTGTGAGACTCAGGAAGTCACTCAAGTTGAGAAAGTGCTGATTAAAGGTGAGCAAGGCTCTGGAACATCTAGCGGAGAGAGAGAAAGAGTGGGGAGAGAGAAGAGAGGGGAGAGAGGGAATCTGAGGGTATTACATTCCATTTGTCTCGTCAGCACAGCATATCAGGAGCCGTGCTGGGAGCCAGCATTATAGGAAGAAGCAAGTATGCTCAACATATGGAAGGAGATGTAAAAACGTCAATAAATGGGTTTGCTTTGCCAAATGTTGTAAATAACAACACATGTGCAGACGGGAGGACAGAAAGGAGAAGCTGGGCAGCCCTCCCAGGATGGGGGCTGCTTTGCTGGCGTTGGCGCGGCTGTGGTGGGGTTGGACCTCACTCTGAAGTACCCTGGATCCTCTGGTAAGCCCTGACAGGGTTTTCATCTAAGTTGGAAAATTGTGATTAAAGAAAAGAGAAGGGTAAGTAAGACTATAAGATTGAAGCAGGGAATTTGTACTAGGAAGCTAAGTACTTCAGGTCCCCTTTGGGTTGAAGATGACCTGATAAAACTAAAAGGTTTAGAACAGTGGTCCATATTCTTATCCTAAACTCAAGTCAAACTCTGGGCCTAACACCAATGTTGACTTTCTTGGAAAGTAAAACAATTAAGGGAGAACAGATTAAGTAAAGGTATAATTGGCAGTTAGATTAAGCAATTATAGCAAATGCTAATATTTCATGAGTGATTATAGCTGCTGGGCCCTGGGCTAAATTCTTTACTAGGATTATCTCATTTGGACCTCTCAGTAGTCCCAATTTATAGCTGTGGAAACTGAGGCCTAGTAAGCAGAGCTAACTTGCAGAAAATCACAAAGTAAAATTGTTGTAGAAAGAGGATTCAGACTCCAGGGCCAGCCACTACTGTCAGTCCATCTTCTCCTAATTGATAATCACAAATGCTGAGGAGCTGGGATTTCAGTCTGAGTCTGTCTGACTTCAGTGTTCTTGCATTTTTTCACTGTGGAGGTACAGTCTCTTCCGAAGAGCCGAAAAACATAGTACCCACCAGAAATTTTGGGATTTTGGAGTAGGTGAGAGGGAGAAGAATGGTAAGATGTGTAACATTTAATCCAAGGAACAGCCCAGTGAAGTAGGTACTACTGTGGTTCCCACATTGCATATGGTGCCCAGAGATGTTCAGTAACATGTCCAAGGTCACACAGCTAGAAAGTGGCAGTGCCAAAATTCAAGACCAACTTCAAAGTTCACACTTAACCACTGTACTCCTTCTGTACATGCAAAAAGACCCATGACTCTAGGAAAGAGAGGAGGAGCTCCTGTGTCATATGAGACAGAAGGTTGCTCTGTTGAGAACTTAAGATGGTTAACACTTATAATAGTTAACACTTACTGAACACTCATGGTGTGTCCGAGTCATTGTTCTAAGTGCCTTATGTGCATTAGCTATCAAATCTTCAAAACAGCACTATAAAAGGCATATACTCCTGTCATCTTTACAGTTGAGGAAACAACACAGAGATTAAGTGATTTGTCCAAGGTCACACAGCCAGTAAGCTGGACAGCTGAAAGTCAAATTCAGAGCTCTTTGAATTCCATTCAATTCAAGAAATGTCAGAAGTTACCTTCCAAGTGCAAGGTCCTGTTTAGTAGCTACAAGAGTTATGCAGGCAGGTAAGACACAGCTCCTGCGCTCAACATTGGGTGGAAGATAAGAAATAAGTTAGTGCAAAGAGAGGCAAAACAAAGTAAGTGTCCCAAGAGGTGCAAGCGCAAGACAATAGCAATCAGTAACTGGGGAATCTCATCTAGTGCAGGCTGGGCTGAGAGCGGGGTATGAAGGCAGTGACCCCAGATGTGACTTTGAAGATGAGTGGAATGTTGATAGGTGGGAATGGGGCACAGCAGAAGAAAACCTTAAGGAAAGCTTGAGGAAATTGGCCAAAGCTACACAGCTATTTAATATTTATAAGTTTGTTACAGATAAAGCCCTTAGAACAAAGTAAGCACTCAATGATTGTCGCTGCTCCTGCCGCTATTGTTATGGACTGAGCTGGAACTTGATACTGAGACTTGTGATTTTTTTCAGCGTTGATGAGGCAGTTGATAAGTCTAGATAGGAAGTCTGTCATCTTGTGGCTGTCCTGGTTTGCTGGGCTGAAGAGTTTTTTATTTAATTTGACAGGTCCTGTGGAGTTATGGAAGATTTTTAATGTGGAAATAACGTGAATATTTAGCTGTATTGTGGGAAAAAATAGCATACTGTCTGCTAGGTACTGAGATGGGGATTTTTCTTCCCCCTGCCTTTCCTCCTTGAGTTGAAAGGAATTCCAAGCTCTTCATTACCTGCTAATGTTGTGGAAGGGAGTGTGACCTGCCTCCTTGGACTTCTAGTGAGTCCTGTCCAGCTCTCCACTCCCTAGGCAGCCTTCTAGTCCATCTTTTCTTTTCTAAATAAGTCAGACCCTTCTTAGCTGTATTTTTCTCAAAGCTGCAGTATCTCTCACTCCCTGCTTTCTTTCCTTTTCACTCTGTTTCTCTCCAGCACTCCATGCCCCATCTGAAAACCAAAGGTGAAAGATGACAGGATAAATCTTACTTTGGCTACCATAGCAACGTTCTTGTGCTTTGCTGCCCACTTTTGAAGTGTTGCCCTCCTGTGAAAAGTTATTTTGCATAACATTGCTCCACTCTTCCAGAGGCTTTGGGCCTTCTTTAAGCTTCTTCTAAGCAATCATGAGAGGATGGTCTTCTGTCTCCAGGTGGGGCGTCTGAACACATCTCCCCCAGTGGTGCAGGCATTCTCTACTATATACAGAGCCACTCATTCCCTGTTCACTTTTTTGTTTCTAAGAAAAATGCAGTCAGAGGTGATGAATCTTCAATTGTATTACATAAGCCCTGGTTTGAGCCATCTATTTACAAATGACTCAGCTGTACGTTTTCAAAATTTAAAGTGCTATTGAAATTAACCTATAAAATTTCTAGACTACTACCCATTTATGAAGGGTGTGCTTGTTATCTTTACTTGATCCCAGAGAGTCTCTCTCCACCCTTATCCCTCTGCACTGCGCCCTGTGCCCCAGAGCCTGACCTCTGTGTTCCACCTCCATGGCCCCCTGGCCCTCTGGTTTCCAGCTGGGTTTGACCAATGGGAGGTACCAGCAGGAGATCAGAGAAAGATAACAAGTTGGGGATATTTATTTCTCTGGCACTCTCTTTGTAGCACTACTGTAGATTGACTACATCCTGCAGTGAAAGATGTGTCAGGGGGCCATCTCCACACAGCCGTCTGTTCTCTCCAGAATATCCCCAGGTTCTGGAAACCCCTCCCCTCCTCTCAACTCTTCAAATCTAGGGAGAGTGCTAGACCAGGGTTTTGTACTATCTGTTGTGGTTTTCCTGTACCCTGCCCATGCTGTAAATAGTCCCTTTGTTATACTCTTTTCAAATTATCCAATTTGAACATGCTGTCTGTTTCCTGTGAGACCTTGACTAATACAATGTCCAAAACTCTTTTGCTTTGTGTGAGTGCTCCAATATTGCTTGTTTTGTTTAACAAATCTATAATTCACTGTAGCTCATTCTTTGTAGACACAGGTTTTTCTGTCTTTAAGAACAACTTTGTCACCCTCACACCCCTCATAAAAGATGGTGTTTCCTCTGACTCTGTTCTTTTGCAGCAAACCTGTTTGAAATGCATTTTCTTGATGATGATATTAGGTTTGTGGGAATGGAATACAAATGCCCTATTTGCTTGTCCCATCTGACCTTTGGTAAATTTGAGGGTCTTCCTCCCCTTTTTATTATGTTTATTGAAAGAATATATAGGATCTGCAAATCTTGTGAGATCATGGGCATTAAAATCCTGCAGGTGTACACATCCAGTGCAAAAGGACATGATGGAAACAACTTGCTTTTTTTTTTTTTTGCACTTCATAAAAATTCATAAGCTGCTGCTTCCACAGGGAATTGAATTAATTGAATTATTGCCCATTGGGAGCTTAAGGTGGAACAGTGGCTCCAGAAGGTGTCCTGAAGAGAGCCATAAATGAGGAATGTGGATGATTTCCTTTGAAAACTATGAGTTGGAAACTGCATGTTCCTGATACTTTCAAGACTGATCCCAAATGATATCAAGAATAGCATGAGGTTCACATAGCTCAGCAGGTGTGAAATTCTGCAGCTGAATTAAATAGGTTCCATTATATTTCAGAAAGAGCTCTAATGGGTTTCTATGGAGCATAGCCTAAGAATATCATGTCTCTCCTTTGTATCTCAGGATGGCTGGCTTGGTTTGTTGTTACTAATATTATACTTCAATCTCCCTGTAAGATGGACAAAAATGAGCAAAAGGCTTGTCTTATCCCTAGGAGGATCTAGATATTAAAACACCCAAAGGGCAAATCAAAAAGATCCCACTTCTAAAGCCAGACCAAAAATGAATGCTGATAATAAAATTTAATTGTAAATTTATTATTCTTATTATTCATCTAAATATTTTCTTCTAATGAGCTCATTTTGTCCCAGATATTATCAAATAATCATTTGGTTTTAGAGCTGAAGGGATTTTAAACACTGCAAAACTTTAGGTTCATATTCTTTAAAATTCTGAACTTGGCTCATTTAACCTTATATTCAATTGAAAAATATAGGCATTTCTTTTCTATTACTTATTAATGCTGCATTGTATTCCCAGTTTTTGTCATTAATATTTAAGCTGACATTGTTATATTTAAGTTCTTGTAAACTAACAAATCTCCCATAATTCATTTACTTGTTTTTCAATCAAAACTGAACTTGAAGTCAGGATGAATTATTCATTAATCATTTCCATTTATTCTATTTCCTTATTTATCCTCCTTAGCTGGCCATAACATGGAATCAAGGCATATTTTTTTATTTGTTGCCCTTATTGCAAAAGTTTTATATTTCTGTTCTTAATTTTAGAAGCAAATGAGGTGAATCTTTAACATTCTTTTTGTCTAAGAAAAAACAAATTTAAACTTAAGTTGCTTTTTGTATGTCTTGCTTATTTTTATCTTTTTATGGATCATTACTTTCTATTGAAAAATTCTTGCTTTTTAGTTTGAGTCACCTGGAAGAGAAAAAATAGAGACAGGTTATTTATGAGCATCCAAATTTAAGATTTAAACTCTGGAGAAAGCTTTTGTTAAAAGTTATATGTTCCCCTTTCTTGAGTATGTTTAATCCCAGAGATAAACAGATGTCTCTTTTCTTATGTATTTTTTTCCAATCATGGTAAGATAAAAATCTCAAATTGAGGAGAATCCTTAAAGGAAATGTCAGGCAATCATCACCCTGTTCCTTGGATTCCCTGTTTGACATCCTGCTAAATGAATGGCACCTGCTCAATGAAACTTTCTTATTGGATATCACCACTACAAGGAGTTCACTAACACATAAGGCAGGACATGCTATTCTAACCCAAATTGTTAAAAGATCCGTGGCTCCTTATATGAAATTAAACTCTTTCTCTCTGGTTTGACTTCTGTTTTTGTATACAAAAATTGTATTTGCTCTTTCAGAATTTGAAGGCAACCAAGCTTTAACTCAAAACTTATTTTCTATGCTTCGTATGCTTTTTCTTATCATGCATCTGTCTCTTAGATAACGTAACTTGACTGAATACTTTCCTTTGAAAGACTCAGTGTTTCTGTAGTGGACAGTACCCAGAATTGGCCATGATCTCTCCAGGTTGCCAAGACTCTAGATGCGATTATCACCACCCAACCCTTTCTGGTCACACATCACGCTACTGACTGATTTTACTTGATGGTAAAACTATTATAAGCATCTCCATGAATGTTTACCATCTTTCTGTGGCTCCCAGGTTGTTCTCATGGACTTATTTGTGGTTAACTTCCTCTCCTTTTATATTTAAAGGCTTTCTAGACCAGAATTCCTATGGGCAAATGCATGGCTCCCTGCTCTCATGAGTTATACCCAATTCCTAGAAAAGTGAATTTTTTTAGAATTCTGCAATTCAGAAATGTGAATCTCATGCACATTGATAACTCTGTGACAATAATGATATCCAGCAGAATCAGATGTCTTCTAAAGGTCTCTTCCTCCGGGTTTAATCATATGTATAAACATTTGTCAGGAAAGAAATTAGAGAGTTTTGGAAAGATTAATTCCTTGTGTAGAAAGCCAGTAATGTCTCTAACATCCAGATTTATTGGGGGAAAAGAAATTTTTTCACTTATTCATACAACATTTATTAAATGGCTACTTCTGTGTAACAGATGTTGAACAGATATCTTTATGTTTCAGGTGGCTAGTCTTTAAGGTAGGAAACATATTGTCTTTACTTTAGGTCTTTTAATGTTTAAAAAGTGCTATCATGTTATTTGAAAATCTTGGATGAAAATTATCTTCACATGTTTGCGAAAAAATGAAATGGTCGCAAACCCTCCCTTCTCCAGGCTTCCTTCTTCATTAAAATGAGTCAAATGCAATTGTCTATGTCTTCATTGCCATTAACGTTCTAACATTTAAATAAACTGTCATCTTGTTGTTGGTGATGTTTTCTGGGGGGAAAAGGTTGTTTGTTTTTTGTTTTAATTAATTTCTTTTGCCTTACAAATATCTTTTCCTCCTAATAGGGTCTTCACCCAAACTCATACCAAATATTCAAGCTGCACTGCTGCTTGTTTCTCATTGTAATGATATGAGCTGGAGGTTTGAAGCTGGAGGTTTCATACACTGGAGGTTTGAAACTCATTTACACACTTAACAGTAGAAGATGATGGCCACCTCTGCAGTGCCAACTTCCTCTGCCATTGGCTTGCTCTTGATAAGCCTAACAATAGTAATAAATAGCTTTCATTCACATGTTATTGGCAGAGGGGGGCCTTCAAAAGACTTTCATGTAGATCTGTAAGGTAGGCAAGGCCATGTTCCTTCTCCATTCTGCAGTCAAGAAAGCCACAGCTGGCTGGGCATGGTGGCTCACGCCTGTAATCTCAACAATTTGGGAGGCTGAGGCAGGCGGATCACCTGAGGTCGGGAGTTCGAGATCAGGCTGACCAACATGGAAAAACTCCGTCTCTACTAAAAAATACAAAATTAGCTGGGCGTAGTGGCACATGCCTGTAATCCCAGCTACTCGGGAAGCTGAGGCTGGAGAATCTCTTGAACCCGGGAGGCGGAAGTTGCGATGAGTCAAGATCGTGCCATTGTACTCTGACCTGGGCAATAAGAGCGAAACTCTCTCTCAAAAGAAAAAAAAAAAAAGAAAAAAAAGAAAGCCACAGCCCAGAAGGCCCCCTATTTACAGCTTGAGACTGGCATGAAGGTATTCCCTTAGGGCTCTTTCCAGTATTTCATGAAGATGTCTCTTTTCTTTATCTAAAGAAGTTTTGAAATTCTCCCATGGGAAGATTTATATTTTAATAGTGGATAGTGGTTTTTCTTTTCCACATGCATAAGGTGATGGAAACTTATGCTTTCCAAATGTCAAACAACAGAAGAGTGATTAAATTATGACAGATTCATACACTGGGATACAATGTGGCTATTAAAATTAATGTTTTGAAGAATATATAATCACACAGGGAACTGCTCTTGATTATATCAGTGTTGCAGGACAGGAGCGGTATACTAAACAGCAGGACCCCCATTTTGTTTAAAAATTTTACATGTAAAAAAAACACTGCAATGAAATATACCAAAATGTTAGCAGGAGTTTTCTCTGGATAGTAGGATTATGGTTTACTTTTATTTTCTTCTTTATAGCTTTTTGAATTTTCCAGTTTTTCTTCAGTTAACTCATTAAAAAACATTAATGTTATTTTTGCTATTTTCCACAGATTATTAAATTTTAGCTAGAGGAATCCTGTGAGTCTTGCTATCTTTGAGTGATTCTTGCTATCTTTCATTTGTAAAATTACATTTTAGAAATCAAACCTTTACATTTAAATGAGAGGATTGTTTTCATTATTAGTGTAGACATTTGAAATAGTATATCATTAGTGTATACATTTTAAGTTGGACATTATAACCCACTTGCTGGTCTGTTATTTCCAAAAAGTGACTCTTTTTTATATAATTCATTAATTCAGCCAAACATTATTTTGAGGGCTTTCTATATTTTCCTGTAGATACATGGATGAAGACAACCCAGCCTCTGCTTTCAAGAAATACCAATCTGGATTGAGATACAGACTAGTAAAGTAGTAATCACAATAGTAGCTGCATTGGAGGACAATTTTATGAGAAAAGGCTGTGCAGGTGCTCAGGGAGCTCTGAGAAAGAACACCACATTCATCCCAGCCTGGGTGAGGTTGGGAAGCCCTCCCGGAAAATGGCCTCCTAGCTGAAGGAAGCTCTTCTCCTTTGGATGGCCAACCTCAGATTTAGAAATAAGGACAACACATGTCAATCTTGGTAGACAATGGTTGCCTCAAAGGTTTCTTACAATGACTAACAGTTTGATATTAATTAAAAAAGACAAACCAGGCTGGGCACAGTGTCTGACATCTGTAATCCCAGCACTTTGTGAAACCAAAATGGGAGGACTATTTGAGGCTAGGAGTTGGAGACCAGTTTGGGCAACATAGCAAGATCTCATCTCTACAAAAAATAAAAAAGAAATTAGCCAGATATGGTGGTGCATGCCTGTAGTCCCAGCCACTCACGAGGCTGAGGTGGAAGGATCACTTTGAACCCAGGAGTTGGAGGTTGCAGTGAGTTATGATTGTGCTACTGCACTCCAGCTTGGGCAACAGAGCAAGACCCTCTCTGAAAAAGTGGAAAAAAAAAACAACAACAGAGGAAACAAAGACAAACCAGTTAACTTGAGCTGTGGGACCTTTATACTTCTTTATTGGGAAGTTCTCTTAATCTTCAGAATTTCCTTCTGTTTATTTGGGCAATACTGAAGCATAATTGCCTTGCTCTGAAATTATCACGATGTGTTTTTACTGCATAGTTCATGCAGTAAAAATTGCAATACTGTATATTACAGTATTGCAAAACTGCATATTACATATTCTTTTATGTAGTGGTTAATACTGATTTTGATCACGTCTTCCGCTCCTGTTTCATTCCCCTGCCTCCCCTTACTCTGCAGAAGGAGGCAGTTCAATGTTGTTTTGTTGTTGTTTTACAAGGATAAACTGAGTTCCAGAATGATCACTTGGCTTCTCCAAATTATGGGGTGAGTTAGTAATGAAACTAGAAAGAGAAATTAGAATTTCTTTGTTCAAAGCTCTGACTTCTAAAGTATTTCTCCATGTAAGTAAAGTAGGTTGTTTGCCAAAAATGCATTCACCCTTAAATCTTTACTGAAAGTAATGAGCTTAAAATAAAATCTCATGAAGATAATATTGTTACAGCTTAGGATAGAAATTAAGGCTATTTGAGTAGATTAAAATGAGTCCTGAGTTAAGCTTAAAATTTGATCTATTTAATTAATTTGTTCGGCAATGGATTTTAGATTTTTTTTGGAAAAATAATAATTGAAACATTCTTACAACACATCTAAGAGTGTTTTATAATGTTTTGATTCACTTAAAATATTTTAAATAAGAGGGATGAGATTAAAAATAAAATTCAAATTGACACAGCATCTATTTGTATGCTGCTGAATGATTATGACTTCATTATCAAAAGAGTTTCCTGGCTGTGTGCAGTGGCTCATGCCTGAAATCCCAACGCTTTGGGAGGCCCAGGTGGGTGGATCACCTGAGGTCAGGAGTTCGAGACCAGCCTGGCCAACGTGGTGAAACCCTGTGTCTACTAAAAATACAAAAACTAACCGGGCGTGGTAGCACGTGCCTGTAATCTCAGCTACTTGGAAGGCCCAGGCTGAGGCAGGAGAATCACTTGAACCCGGGAGGTGGAGGTTGCAGTGAGCCAAGATTGCGCCATTGCGCTCCAGCCTGGGCGACAAGAGCAAAACTCCATCACACACACACACACGTGCGCGCGCGTTTTCCTGTAAACTATTAATGAAAATGCTAGTGTTTTGATGATGCTTTTACTAAATATTTTTACTATTAAAACAATTGATACTCTAATAAATGACGGTAATTAGGTGTTTTATGCTAAAATATTCAAGCAACAGTATAAATAAATATGAAAGAAAATACATGCACATGTTTCATTGAAGTTGTCTAGCAGTTCAATTCCCTTTATATTAATGCTATTACATGTTTTTCCTTCTAGTTAAAAATATTCATATATTTTAGATTATTTAATAAAACATGTACCATATTTTTATTTAAAATAAGTATTTTGTTGATTTAAATATGGAAATGCGCTAATTGGAGTTTGAAGAACTTTGGAGTGCAAGAATTGTTTTATTATATTTTATATAGAAATTTTTACTTACCACAATTTTGATGATTTGATTTTAGAGATATCACCTCAAACTATTTAATTTTTGGCTCCTACCTCAACCGGGCTTAAGATTTTATATGTAATGCATTATTGCCAGAAAATGCTGCTTACCAACTCTCATTGGGGCTTTTCTAGGAAAAATGAAAATAAAAAACATAACCTCATCACTATGAGGTTCAAGGGTTTATTTCACAGTTCAAGAGAGAGATAAGCAGAAACTGATATTTTGTCTGGGGATCTGGAATTTGTATCTAGCTAAACTTCATGAGAGCAGATTGATGTTTAGTGGTACCCACCTTTCTGTCCTTTGCTCTGAGCATCTGTGATGATGGGACTGAAGAACATGGAGCTTCCTGAAGATGATTCAGTAGCCATGTCATAATTTTCAGTCAGTCTTACTTGCGTAACCATGAGCAAGTTATTTCACTTTCCGAGCCTCTTAACTATTGAGCTTTGAGCAGAATAGTATCACAGTCATGAAAATCGGTACAAAAGAAGAAAGTAGATACCAGCCTTGGACTATATGGGGATACTGACCTAATCCACTAAATTATGTACCAGTATCAAAAAAATGGAAAAACTCTGCAGTTAGGCAAACTGCAAATATAAGGGGTGAAAAAATAATAGAAGGGTTGAACACAGCTAGGTGAAATCAATACTGGAAAGCCTTACAAGGCAAGGAGGGACGGGGACCTGTGCACCATGGATTGATCAAGATAGCACTGATTTTTTTAGGATCTGGACCTGGTTCACAAATGACTTGAAGTAATTATCTCAGTCAGAAGAGGAAATATCTGGGAGGTGTGTGTGTGTGGTGTGTTTACTCTCACTGTACTCTCACAGGATGAACTATTACCTGTTAGAGTTATCATGATCAGGATTCAGGTGCTGATGAAGTAGATCATACTTTCTTAAATATAGGCTTCTACTTATTTTGATCTGCTTCATTCCTGTGGCATAGGAGAGTGAGCTCTGGTGCCAGTTTCCCTGAGTTTGAATCCTAGCCCTGCCATTTTGTCAGTGGTCTTGTAAAAGTTACTTAATTGCTTTCTTCCTGTTTTCCCATCTGTAAATTGGGGAAAATATTGGTACCAACCTTATAGACTATTGTGGAGATTAAATAAGGTAGTTAATGTATGTAATTGATGTTCTAAATTTATATAAATCATTTAGAATAGTGCCTGGAACTCAATACACGATAGACATTGGTAGTAGTGGTGGTGATCTCCATTTCCTATACCTATTTGTTTGTCTGTTTGTTTTAAAAAACCATAGTACTGACTCGGTTCTTGCCCCAGAGCAGAGCTGTATGGGAAATTCTGGTTCAGGGATCAAGGGAACCATGTGAACTTGCAGATCTTCTCCCTTCCAATATCCCCTGCCTCTGCTCCTAATCGTACTCCACTGTTCTGCCCCTGACAATACAAAACTGTGACCCGAAAACTGAGTTTTAAGGAATTTGTTCTGCAGTAACACATGCTCATCTTTGTATCCCCAGGAATGAGGGGAGAATCATACTTCATCGGAATGAGGAGCCCAGGGCAGCAGGGACACGTCCCTGAAGATGGAGGACTTTTCTTACTGTGCTGCATAGACAGGGACTGGGCTGTCACTCGTTGTTTTGCAGAAGAAGCCTTTCAAGCAATCACTGACTTCAATGACCTCCCCAACTCGTTGTTTGCGTGCAATGTTCACCAGTCAGTGTTTGAAGGAGAAGAGAGCAAGGTAAGCTGCCTTTTTCTGTTCCTAAAACATGGGGAGATATGGCATTATCTCCAAGTAATCCTGTTGTTCATTTGTGGTTGGTGTTTTGAAGTTTTTGGAAATGTTTAGTTGGCTCTATTTTTGGCATGTGTACCAGGATAAGAAAATCCCATTCTATTATCAACTAACTTTAGAGATACATCTGACAGGGTTGTAGATGAGAATATGTTGAATCAAATTGAGTCCTCTGTGACTCACAGGTCTATCTAGCAAAACAAATGGTGTTAATATGGATTGTAGGAAATGCCCCTTAGGCTAGGAAGCAGATGTCTTAAACTCCTAAAAGTTTCCTTTTCCTCTATTCTGCCATAAATATAATTTGCCTTTCTCAAAACAATACAAACTCCATTTTACCTCCAGCCTTCCCGCAGCTTGACGAATGTTCTAAAAAAGCCTTCTTAAACTGTGAGCCAAGTCTCACAGTAGATATTAGAGAAGGTAAGTTGGTTGGCATCTGAGTCCTTCTTTGCTCATTGATACCATGGTGGTATTGCCATGTGTGTGTTGTAAGAATTTGAATGAAGCAGCAACTCCTCAATTTGAAATGATAGGGGAATGAGGTTGTCTATGTATTAACATTTTCCAGCTTCCCATTTTAAGAAACAGACTTAACTTAGTGTAAATGTTTTTGGCAATCACAGTAAATATTCCATTTGGAGACCTTTCCAAAGTTTATTTCAGATTTCTCTGACCTTTGAATGGGGTATCTAAATGGATTAAACCTTCCCTTGTAGATGTAGATTCTTAGTTGTAAAAGCCACTATTATACTACTGAAACATGGACAAAATTTTTTGGATAAAGGGCCTTTTTTTTTTCTTTTTCTTTTTCTTTCTTTCTTTCTTTCTTTTTTTTTTTTTAACGGAATCTCGCTCTGTTGCCCAGGCTGGAGTGCAGTGGTGCAATCTCGGCTCACTGCCAGCTCCACCTCCTTGGGTTCACGCCATTCTCCTGCTTCAGCCTCCTGAGTAGCTGGGACTACAGGCGCCCATCACCACGCCCAGCTAATTTTTTGTATTTTTAGTAGAGATGGGGTTTCACTGTGTTAGCCAGGATGGTCTCGATCTCCTGACCTCGTAATCTGCCTGCCTCGGCCTCCCAAAGTGTTGGGATTACAGGTGTGAGCCACTGCGCCCGGCTGAGGCTTTTTTTTTTCTAAACTAAAGTATATGACTCTGTGTGAGGTATAAGAGTAGGCTTTATGGTTGCTGTTTCACAGACTTTAGCTCTTTCTGCCCATTGCTGAAGTCTGTGTCTGGCATAATTACTGGAAGTCTGATTTACGGATATGATTGATTTTGTAGACAATCCTGATAGCCACAGACAAAACCATCCCAGAGGATTAGGAATTATTTTAAGCCATTTAAAGATATTTTTATAATGATATCAGTGTGGAGTTGAACTGTTGAAATTATGGGCTGAAAATAGCTTGAAATACAAGGAATTATATATAATTAGAACCTCCAGTGCTATGATCATCAGACTATTTAAAGTAAGAAAGTGGCACATGCCAATTTCTTCTTTGGAAGAAACTGAGAATTTTGTTCTTGGATTATAACCAGATTATCACAAATGATAATTTTCTCAGGGCAAGTAGTTTCCTCTGAAATATACCTGCCATAAACTATAAAGCAACAGTCTATGTATTCTCATCATATCATCCATTTCTCTAAATATCACAATTAGAAGGATTTTCCTTAGAGATTTAATGAGGGTTTTCATTCTTTCCTGATTAAATACTTCCCAGTAGACTGAAACAATGAGGCCTAGGAAGGTGCTAATCTCATTTAGCAGTGCTGCTCAAGAATGGCTGATTAACTGAATTAGAACTGAGGACATAGAAGGACAGGGGCTGGAGGGGGGAGTTCATGGGAGTCTGTACACATCTATTTTGATATTCTGATTTGTGATTGAATAAAGGATTACAAGATATTCTCATCTAATGTGTATACGAAGTTTGTGCATAGCAGTTTGGGAAATAGTATTTGGTTTTAGGATGACCTTGATAAAATATTGAGGCAAAATAAACAAGAATATAGTTAATTGCACTCAGTTTCAAATGATTTAGATCACCATTTTACAGCCATGGAGGTGAATTTTATAATTGGCTGAAGTCTATGTAATTCAGTTTATTAAATCAGAAAGTGTCCTACCTCAGCAAGATTTTTTTTTCTTTTTTTACTCTTCCTTTTGTGGACAGTCTTTAGGATACCAAATAATCTGACATGGATTTAATTTTGACTTAATTATATCTATATAGTTTAAGGTGACAAAACAAGATAATCAGATACCAGATAAGTTGACAATAGCCAGGAGGCATGATTGCTGGGACTCCAGAAAAAAAAGTGGGGAGTCTTGTGGCATCTCATTTTCACTGCATATTTCTCTTCCAGACCCAGAAATTCATATTTCTTTCATTTAACCTCCTTTTTAAAAAACTATTATGATAAAATCACTTATTTTAAGACATTAAGTATCATACTCCATTCTGTCAGAATATTCTTTCCACAAGGTTTAGGTTTCGTGAATCTGAGCCATGAAGTCTGATGATGGGTATTTTCCACAAAGGGTGGACATTTTAGGCACTGTGATAAGTTGGTGGGGAGATATTTTTAGGCAGGGGGAAAAGAAGCAAAAAGCATTTCCAGCACTCCTTGTATTGGCCTATGGGCAAGGCTGGCCATGGTAATTGTTTTTATATTTGGCTTTGGGAAGATGTATTCAGCAGCCTGGAATTATAGCAGGGGGTGGAGACATCAGAAATGATGCTTAGCCTTCATTTCCAAGGTTTACGAGGGTCGGTGGTTTCATATGTAATTTGTTTTGGCAGAGTCTTTTCTTTTTTGGCACAGCCTGCTTCTGAAATCATTGTGTCTTGATATTGATGCATTTAAGTTTAGCCTTTGTCTTGCAATTATTATAAAGTATACATTTAACTTCCATAGTTGGGTAGGAATTAAACCTTTTGCTTTCTATCACAAATGAGTCTTGCAGCATTCTCTTCTCTATTTTCCTACATGTCTGAGATACCTTTTCATT
The DNA here is from genome assembly GCF_000001405.40 of Homo sapiens. Classification (NCBI taxonomy): domain Eukaryota; kingdom Metazoa; phylum Chordata; class Mammalia; order Primates; family Hominidae; genus Homo; species Homo sapiens. The sequence goes on along the minus strand of NC_000006.12, from coordinate 46,453,675 downwards.
TTTGAGGAAATTTATGAATTGAACTTCTCATAATATAGGTAACAGCACAGGATGTGATCTGGATCTGTTTATTTCTGTATCACTTTGTTCTGTGCAAAATGATAAATATTCTGATATGCTCATTTCTGCTGTCCTATTTACATTCTAAGTTCTGACACCTAAAGCACATGTTAAAAAACAGCTTTGTGTTGTCCGTAATGTTCATTCCAATTTTCAGTTAGGCAGAATTCCGTGAGATTGTATTTTGATTTCATGCTTTTGCAATGAGTGAGCACATACTTCAGTGAGGCTTGTTGTGGTCCAGATGGTTGAGATTTGTTTATATAACACAAAGGAGAACCGGAGCTGGAGGAAATTGGCATCTGAAACCAATAAATGCAGATTGCTGTGTGCGTGCTACAGCTTGAAGTATAAATATTTTTGTATGAAACACATTTAAAACTGTGATCTTCACAGTGTCCAACACCTGAAAATTACTAGGGTACATTTCTCTTCAGAGCACTCCCCTGGGTTCATCTTTCGGGATCCAGCTGGGCTGCAGAAGTCATCTTGAGGAAGGTGAGGCTAGGAAGGTTGTCCTTTGAGCTGCCCTGTGTCTATGCTAAAGACACATAAGGGTCTGCTGGGTAGGACATTGGAATGCACTGCTTGCTAAAGGGGAACAGTGAAGCAATGACTGAAATGTTTAGCCAAATTCAATTGAATAAGAAGAAACCTGAAAGGTGACTTTTTTTTATTATTATACTTTAAGTTATGGGATACATGTGCAGAACGTGCAGGTTTTGTTACATAGGTATACACATGCCATGGTGGTTTGCTACACCCATCAACCCGTCATCTACATTAGGTATTTCTCCAAAATATGTATTTATTCAATTTATTAATAATTATAACATCAGCAGCAAATACCTATATAGCATTTGGCATGGTGCCAGGTCCTTTTCCAGGTGCTTTATAAACATGAGTCCTTTACTTGTCATGACAACCCTATGAGGGTAGTATCTTTCTGTAACTCTACTTCCTGGGTGCGTGTCAGGATTGTATTCCCTGGACCCTACTGGCTGTTTCTACCCAATGTGTAAGCAGAAATGACTTGTGTGATTTCTAGGCCAAGAATTTAATTTACCTATATTGGACCCTGAAGAATGTTCCTTTTGTTCTGTTAGGGAAACTGGCATTGTGCCAAGTAGTGCTGGCTTAGGCAGTTTGGGTCCTGGAGTAAGGACACTGATGATGTAGGATAGAATCCTAGCTAACCTATCATGAACATGTAATGCAACAAGAAAAACAAACAAACAAGAACTTTTGTTGGTTCAGGCCACTGGGATTTTGGGGTTTGTTATTATAGTATAAATTAGTCCATCTAGATTGGTGTAAGTATCATTATCCCTATTTTTCAGGTGAGGACACTAGAGAGCAGAGACTTTTCCCATGGTCTAAGCTAGTAGTGGCCAAGGCAGGATTCAAATCTAGGCTGCCAGACTACAGAGTTCATGTTCTTAAACATTATGCACTACTGCCTCCTGATATACAGATATTTATTGAAAGCTGGTATGATATTTGGTTCTGGGGATTCAATGGTAAACAAAATAGGCTTAAATTTAATTTATAATGTACCAAGAGTGGTCTATTCAAAATAAGCAAACAACTAATAAACATAAATGCTGACAGTGATGCCAAAACAAAAGGACATTTAGCATATTTTCAACTACATTCATTTCCTTACACACACAGACAGACATACACACATCACACATGAACATACACAGTTCTTTAAAAATAAGATGGTAATTCTGCCAACCATTAAAGAGTATATTCTACTAGAATGGGCATGTGGTGAAAGACCTGGCTCTGCTGTTCTCTTAGTCTTTGTGTGTCTTGTAAATAGATCATTGCAATGCATTGCAAGTAGCTAGAGTGATTCTAATATTCAAAGATGTACACTTTCATTCAGCATATCCACTAAATCTGAACCAATTTCTTCTTCTCAAGTTCAGCTGACTAAACGCTGAGCTAGTCTAACATTGCAGGCATTATGAGAGCATCCTAAAGGATTTTCAAAGCTAAATCTGATTATTTGTGGTTTTTACTGAGTTCCCCTCACTCTAGTTTGTAGGAGAATGTCGATGTTTACTTTGAACTTTACAACTGCCGGTCCACAATCTCTTATCTATAGTACTAAAATCTGAACATCTGAAAACTGAGACTTTTTTCACAATCCATTGTGAGACAAAACATCACTTCATTAAAATCTGACCTGAACTGATAAGAGGCTACTTGTAGTTCGACTAGTCAGCTATTTCTCTGTAGAAATATTCCTCCCTTTAATTACTAGGGGCTGCCCCCGATGTTGCTGGGACATTACACAATATGAGCCCTGTGCCCAGTATTACACATCCAAATCCCCCAATTCAGAATGCCAAACATATCACTCCTCAAGAGTTTCAGACAGTAGGTTGTAGATCTATAAAACATAAAAATGAATCTACATTCCATATTCAAAGAGAAGAATGAATTTATCATGGAAATCTGAAACGCCATAAAGTGAGCAATTCAATGTATTTTGCCCATAAGATGCTCATGTCTATTTTCTTAATTTTTAAATAATTTATTTTCAATTGACTAACAAAAATTATGTATACATTTATTGTATACAATATGATGTATTGAAATATGTACGCATTATGTAATGACTAATTTGAGCTAATTAACATATACATTACCTCCCATACTTATTACTTTTTCGTGGGGAGAATATATAAAATCTACCTTCTTAGTGGTTTTTAAAAATACAATAGATTATTTTTAACTAAAGTCACCATGTTGTAGAATAGATCTTTTGAACTCATTCCTCCTGTCCAGCTAAAATTTTGTAGCCTTTGTTCAACAACTTCCCAGCCCCTGGTAAGTACCATTCTACTCTCGGTTTCTATGTGTCTGACATTTTTATCCTCTACATGTAAGTGAGATTATGTAATATTTGTCTTTCTGTACCTGGCTTATTTCACTTAACATACTATCCTGCATTTTCATCCATGTTGTGCAAAGACAGGGTTTCCTTCTTGTTTAAGGCTGACTGGTATTTCATATATACCACATTTTCTTTATCCATTCATCTATTGATGAACACTTAGGTTAAGTCCATATCTTGGCAATTATAAATAATGCTGCGATGAATAATGGAGAGCAGATATCTCTTCAACACACCAATTTCATTTTATTTAGATGTATACCTAGTAGTAGGATTGTTGGATTAAATGGTGGTTCTATTTTTAGTTTTTGGAGGAAACTCCATACTGTTTTCCATAATAGCTGTACCAATGTACATTCCCACTAACAATGTGTAATAGTTTCCTTTTCCTGACATCATCACCAACACTTTCACCTTTTTTCCAGTAGCCATCCTAACAGGTGTGAGGTGATATTTCATTGCGGTATAATTTGCATTTCCCTGATCATTAGCATAGTTGAGTACTTTTTAATACACTTACTGGTCATTTGTCTGTCTTCTTTTGAGAAATGTCAATTCAGCTCCTTTGCCCATTTTTAAATCAGGTTATTTGTTTTTTTGCAGTTGAGTTATTTGAGTTCCTTATGTATTTTTGGATACTAACTCCTTGTCAGATTTACAAATGTTTTCTCTCTTTGCAAATATTTTCTCCATTGATTGTTTCCTTTACTGTGCAAAAACCTTTTAGTTTAATGTAATCCCATTTATTTTTGCTTTTGTTGCCTGTGCTTTTGGGGTCATATCCAAAAAGTCATTACCCAGACCAAAGTCAACAATTCTTTTCATACATTTTCTTCTAGTAGTTTTAGTTTTAAGTCTTATGTAAGTCTATTTCATTTTGAATTTATTTTTGTATATGTCATAAGCTAAAGTTCTGATTTCATTCTTCTGAATGTGGATATCCAGTTGTTCCAACATTATTATTATTAAAGAAACTGTTTTTTCTTCGTTGTGTGTTCTTGGCACCTTTGTGGAAAATCAATTGACTGTAAATCCATGGATTTATTTCTGGGCTTTCTATTCTGTTCCATTGGTCCACATGCCTGTTTTTATGTTAGTACCATGCTGTTTTGATTACTATAGCTTTGTAGTCAGCTTTTTTCTTTTTACTCAAGATTGTTTTGGCTATTCAGAGTCCTTTGTGGTTCCATATAAATTTCAGGATTTTTTTTTTCTATTTCTGTGAAAAAATGTTATTGGAATTTTGTTAGAGATTGCACTGAATCTATAGATTACTTTCTGTAGTATGAACATTTTAATAATATTAAATGTTAATATTTAATATTAATACTAATTCTTCTAGCCTCTGAAGATAGAATATCTTTTCATTTATTGTGTCTTCTTCAGATTCCTTCATTATGTTTCATAGTTTTCAGTGTACAGGTCTTTCACTTCCTTGGTTAAATTTATTTCTAAGTATTTGATTTTTCTTAGCTTTTGTAATTTGGTTGGTTTTCTTAATTTCTTTTTCAGATAGTTCCTTGTTAGTATATAGAAATGCTACTGATTTTTGTATTTTGGTTTTGTATCCTACAACTTTACTGAATTTGTTTATTAGTTCTAACAGTTGTTTGATGGAGTGTTGAGGGTTTTCTATGTATAAGATCACGTAATCTGCAGATAAGGACAATTTAACTTCTTCCTTTCCAGTTTGGATTCCTTTTATTTCTTTCTCTTGCCTAATTGCTCTGGCTAGGACTTCCAGTATTATGTTGAATAAAAGTGGTAAGAGTGGCTTCCTTGTCTTGTTTCTAATCTTAGAGGAAAATCTTCCATCTTTTCAATGTTAAGTATGCTGTCAGCTGTGAGTTTGTTATATATGGCCTTTGTTATATTGAAGTACATTCCTTTGACAACTAAATTGTTGAGAATTTTTATTGTGAAAGAGGGTTGAATTTTGTCAAATGCTTTTTCTGTTTCTGTTGAGATAACCATATGGTTTTTATCCTTCATTCTGTTAATGTTGTGTATCACATTTACAGATTTGCATTTCTTGAATTATTCTTGCTTTTCTGTGATAAATCTCACTTGATTGTGGTGAACAATCATTTTAATGTGCTGTTGAATTTGGTTTACAGGTATTTTGTGGATGATTTTTGTATCTGTGTTCATTAGGGATATTGGTCTATAATTTTCTTGTCTTGTAGTGTAGTTGTCTGACTTTGGTATCAGGGTAATACTGACTTTGTAAAATACAGTTGGAAGTATTCCTTTTTCAATTTTTTGGAAAAAGTTTGAGAATAATTGGTTTTAGTTCTTTAGATGTTTGTTAAAATTCAGCAATAAAGTCATCGTGTTCTGGGCTTTTCTTTGGTAGGAGACATTTTATTACTGATTTGATCTTTTTACTTGTTATTGGTCAGTTCATGTTTTCTTTTTCTTCGTGATTCAGTCTTCGTAGGTTTTACGTCTCTAGGAATTTATCCATTTCTTCTAAGTTATCCAACTGTTGGCATATAATTGTTCATAGTAATTTCCTATGATCTTTTGTATTCTTGTGGTATCAGTTCTATTGTCTCCTCTTTCATTTCTGATTTTATTTGAGTCTTCTCAGATTTTTTTATTAAGCTAGCTTAAGGGTTGTTGATTTTGTTTATCTTTGTAAAAGGCCAACTCAGTTTTTGGATAATTTCTACTATTTGTCTAGTCTCTATTTCATTTATTTATTTTCTGATCTTTATTATTTCCTTCATTCTACTAACTTTGGGCTTAGTTTGTTCTTTTCTTTTTAATTCCTTGTGGTATGATGTTATGTTTTTTGTTTGAAATCTTCTTTTTTGATGTAGGCATGTATTGCTATAAGTTTTTTTCTTAGATATATTTTGCTGTATCTCATAGTATGCTACTAGATTTTAGTATTTTGTGTGTCCATTTGCATTTGTCTCAAGATATTTTTAAATTCTTCTTTGACCCATTAGTTGTTCAGAAACATCTTGTTAAATTTTTTTGTATTTGTAAATTTTCTGAAATTCTTTCTGTTATTGTTCTCTAGTTTTATATACTACTGTAGTTTAAAAAGATGTTTGATATGATTTTAATCTTTTAAATTTTGTTAAGACCTTTTTGTGCTCTAATATGATCTATCCTAGAGAATATTATGTGTACACTTGAAAAGAATGTATATATATCCTGCTGCTGTTGGATTCAATCTTTTGTATATGTCTGTTAGGTTTATTTGGTCTAATGTGCAGTTTAAGTCTGATGTTTCCTTATTGATATTCTGTCTGGATTATCTATCCTTTGCTGAAAGTGGAGTATGGAAGTCCTCTACCATTATTGTGTTACAGTCTCTCTCTCTATTCTCTCTCTCTATTCTCTCTCTAGATCTATTAATATTTGCTTTATATTTTTAGATGTTCCAATGTTGGGCACATGTATATTTACAACCGTTATTATCAAATTAATCATTTTAACTTATATAATGGCTTTCTTTGTCTTGTTCTACTTTTTTTAATATAAATTCTATTTTATCTAATATAAATAGCTACCTTGCTCTCCTTTGGTTAGCATTTACATGGAATATCTTTTTCCCTCCCTTCCCTTTTAGTATATATGTGAAGTGTGTCTATTGTAGGCAGTGTATAGTTAGGTCTTTTTTAAAAAGCCCTTTCAGCCATTCAGTCATTCTTGTCTTTTGATTGGAAAATTGAATCCATTTACACTCAAAGAATTAATTGATAGGTAAGAATTTATTAGTACCATTTTGTTAATTGTTCTTAGTTGCTTTGTAGATCTGTTGTTCCTTTCTTTCTCTCTTACTGTGAGAGAAATTGTAATTAGATGATTTTCTATAGTGGCTTATGCTTTGATTCCTTACTTTTTATGGTTTGTGTATCAACTAAAGTGTTTTGCTTTGTATCATGAGGCTTACATAAAATATCTTATAGTTATAATAGACTTTTTTATGCTGACAATTTGATCACATGAAAAAACTCAATAATTTTACTCCTCTTTCCGCATTTTATGTTTTTGGTGTCACAATTTACATGTTTTATATTATGTATCCCTTAACAAATTATAGTAGCTATCATTATTTTTATAATTTAGTCTTTGAAACTTCATACTAAAGATATAAGTGACTTACGTAGAACCATTATAGTAGTAGAGTATTCTGAATTTGACTGTGTACTGATTTTTACCAGCAAATTTTATACTTTCCTATGCTTGACTGTATTACTAATTAGCATCCTCCTTTTCATTTAGATTGAAGAAATCCCATTAGCATTTCTTGTAAAATAGGTCTGGTGGTGATAAACTGTCAGCTTTGTTTGTCTGGGGAAGTATTTTTCTCTCCATTTCTAAAGGATAGATTTGCTGGGTAAAGAATTCTTGGTTGGCAGTTTCCCCCCAGCACCCCCACCCACACACACACCCTGCCTCTGGGTTATCACTTTGAATATATTATCCCACTCTCTTCTGCCCTGTAAGGTTTATGTAAAAAAGTCTATTGCTAGCCTTATAGGAACTTCATTACGTGTGATATGTTTCTTTTTTTTTTTTTCTTGCTTTTAGGATCCTCTTTTTATCTTTGATTTTTGACAATTTGATTATAATATATTTTATTGTAATCTTGTTTGGGCTGAATCTTAGTGGAGACCTTCCTGTACCTGGATATTTGTATATTTTTCCAGATTTGAAAAATTTTCTGTTATTATTTCTTTAACTGAATTTCCTGGCCCTTTATTGTTCTACTCTTACTTTTTAACTCCAATAATTTGAATACTTGCTTGTGATGCTGTCCTATAAATCCCATAAGCTTCCTTTATGCATTTTCATTCACTTTAATATTTTCGTCTGACTATATATTTTCAAATAACCTGTCTCTGTCTTCAAGTTCACAGGCTTTCTTCTGCTTCACCAGTTCGCTGTTGACACCCTCTATTGTATTTTTAACTTAGTTCATTGCATATTTCAGCTCTAGAATTTTTTTAATAATTCAACATCTCGTATTTTGGTTGCTTATTGTTCTTTAATTTTGTTAAATTGTTTCTCTGTATGTTATTATATTTTTGTGAGCTTTCTTAAAGCAATTATTTTGAATTCTTTGTCAGGCAGCTTACAAATCTTTATTTTGAGGGTGGTTATTGGTGCTTTATTTTATTCCTTTGATGCTGTCACGTTTCCCTGATTGTTTCTAATTCTTGTGACTGTGTATTAGTTTCTATGCATTTGAAGAAGTAGGGACTTATTCCTGTCTTTTTGGACTGGCTTTGTCTGGGGAAGTCCTTTACTAGTCAGCTCATCTAGAGATTCTCAGCAGCTGGTCTGGCATGGTCCATGGGTGAACTTGCTGCTTGAGTCCTTGGGCAGGCTATCCTGGTGCCTGGGTCAGCAGGTGGGCAGGCCTGGTGCTTGAGTCCATAGGGTTAGGCCTGGAGCCTGGATCTACTGGGATAAACGTATTGATTGGTTCTATGGGGGTGGACCTAGAGCCTATGTCCATAAGGACAGGCCTAGAGCCTGAGTCTATAGAAGCTGGCCTGAAGCCTGGGTTTATAGAGGCTGACCTGGTGCAGGGGTGGTCTTTGAGTCTGAGTCTGAAGAGGCTTTCTAGGGGCTGGCTAGGTGCTGGTATGGACCTGGTTTCTAGGTTCACTGGGACATTGCTGAAGTCTGAGTCCACAGGGACTGGCCTGGCACTGTGGTAGGCCTGGACCCTGTGTCAACTGGAGCCCGGGGACACTGGAACTGGCCAAGGGCCTGGGGCTGCCCTGTTGCTAGGACAAGTGTGGAACCTGGGACAAGTGTGGAGCCTGGGGGCCGGATATGCAGCTGTTGGCCTAGAGGCTAAGTACATGAAGGGAGGCCTGGGTCTTGGGGCCACAGGTGCTGTCCTGGTATCTGGGTCCAAGGGGTGGTCCTGGAGCCTAGCTCTGTGTGAAGAAGCATAGCAGTGAGGTCTACTGGGATGGACCTAGCCCCTGGGTCTGCTGGAGCAGGCCTGGCCCATGAATATGCTGGAGCATGAAGCTGCAGGACTGGCATGGAAAGTGAGGCTGTAGGGACTGGCTTGGCACTGGGCAGGATCTTAGAACCTGTGTCTTTGAGTGCTAGCCTGGTAACTGATGCCAGGGTTGCCAACCTGGCAAAGGGGCAGGTCTAAAGCCTGGGACTTTGTGGGCTGACCTGGGGCCTGGGGCCATAGGTGCTTGCCTGGATGCTGAGTCCATGGGTACCAGCATGATGACTAGAGCTGTGGGGGGCTCATGTCTTTTGGAAATAAAGAATATACTCAAGCTAGGATGAGCATTGTGTATAGATACTGTCTGTGTAGCCCTCCCCAAGCCAAACTCTGACACTCACTGAGTCTTTCTTTGAGTATCTATAGTTTAAAGCCTTTGGCCTTGACCTGCCTGTGCTGCCCACAGCCCTTCATTCTAGCTCCTCACTAATGGTCTGCTCTGGGTCTATAGGAGAGCCTCCTAGCCCACAAAGCAGATAGTTACTGCTCTGTGCACGTTTGTCTTGACTCAGGGAGCTTAAATTGTAAAATATTTTGTGTCACCTACCTAGACATATTTTCCTTTTCTCCATTTACATTTTCTTCTCTAGACCCTGAAGCCCTTCAAGGCAGACAGTATTTGTATTTGTCTTCTTTGTATTTCTAGTGACTTGCATAGGGCCTGACACACAGTAGGTGCTCAATCAATATTGAAATGAAACTCTTCTTAAACGGTGACCAAATTAAGACACAGAGAGATGAATTTACCAGAATCAGCTGATTATTTAGAGAGATAAAAAAGAGTAGAGTGAGGCTTTCTGACTTTTAAGTCCAGTTCATTACCCACTGTGCATCACTGTGTCTGAATTGTACTGTGGAAAGCAGGTTCCAAAAACAAAGTTGGCTGTACATCAGCACAAACTTCCATGTAGAAGAATGTAAGGCAGAAAGAACTCAGGTGATTCAGCAGCAATGCTCAAGCCAAATGTAAATGCACTGAATCCAAATCACCCTTGTAGTTAAGATTTGACGTTCATAAAGAAACCTGCTTTATACGTCAATTTATATTTATGTAATGTTCAAAATTTTTAGAGGGGACTGACTCATTTAGCAAGCCGAGTGAATAAAAAAATTAGAAGTGTCTTAAGCAGATTTATTTTTATAACTACATCAAGGAGAAGAAAAGGGAGATGGGTAAAAAGAGAGTAGCAATAAAAGCAATAAATAAAATAAATATTTATATTATTATGTTTATGTTACTGTAATAAATACATTTTTAAAAGGTAACAATAAAAGCTAAAATCTCGAACTCTGGAAGAACCTAGAAAACATTAAGGCTGGTTGGAAAATTCACGCTAGGGATCTGTAACAAAGACTAAATATGAAGATAATAATTCACTATGGTTTAAGTATCACTGAATATATGTTGTAAAAATAAAATAGAAGTGAACTATAGGAACTTGAGGGTGGGAAAATGGATCACCAAATATTAGTTTTAAATATTAAAGCAGGTAACAGTTAAATTAGACATAAAATATATAAGGAATACTTAGGAATTTCACTGTTTTTCTTGTGTTGTTCATTCCTTATAGGTAAAAGTGACATTTATAGTTATATTTGTTGTCTTAAGGAATATTTAAATTATTAAAAGGGCATATCATTGTACTCTGGAGGTTAAATCTGTTTTGTTTTGTTTTTTTTCCCTGAACAGTGACTGAGACCCATAATTAGTTACTGCTAATCACTTGGGGGCACCTGCCAGATGAGAGGCCCAGTGTGGGGCAGATTTGAACGCTGCTGTAGGACATTTTATGAAACCTTAACCTTTCTTAAAGTGACTAAAATATTCCAGAGGCATATTTAGTATCTTGCTTCTCCACAGTACTGAGTGACCCCCGGGGCCCAAGAGCCTGACAAGCTACTCTAAAAGTCCCACTTAACTACCTGAAAATAATTGAGACAGTAGAGAGAATTAAACCTGATGGATAGAGTTGAGAGTATTTGGATTCTGTGCCAAAAAGTGGGTAAACATATATTCTTGATGACACTTGGTGAAAGATGACTGCCATATTCCATTTATTCTGGTATGATATTAAATAGGGACATGGAGCTTTTTTTTCTCCCTATTTGCAAAAATGAGTACTTGGAACCCACTTCATATGGTTTCCATCAGAGCTGCTTCTAGTCTATACAGTGACTGTGAATTATTAAAATGAGCAGAAGCAGTCTTAAGGCATACTGCCTGGGGAAAGGAAGTGACTTTGTAAAAATAATGTCTTGCCCTCTAGGCTGATGGGCTGCGTGCAGCCCTGAACAGGGTGCCTTGGTGGTGGTGGAGGGGTAGGCTAGATTTCATCTGCCACTCACTTCCTGGGCCAGGAGCCCCTGAGAAGTACACAAAGACACAACCATCGTGGGGGCCATGAAAATTTCAAAGTACTTCAAATTTTAAAAGATGTAAATTCAAAGGTAACTCTTGAGTTCTGTTGCCTAAGAACATTACTTTTTTCAGAGGCAGTTTCAGAGATAGAACCCAGGGTTAGGATGAGCTTTATCATTATTATTTTCTTTAGTCTCAACAGCTGAGGATGTCATGGGCTTCACCCTGCCTGTCTTGACTTCCTTGAATCTAGTCTCAGTTTGGTGGGCATGAAATTCTTGATTGACTTGGTGATAACCAGAGAAAGTCAGAGTTTTGATGTGAACTTTAAAACTCCTCCAAGGTAACCATCACAGCAGGCCTGACATTTAGTTCAATGGATGAGATCGGTGTGATATAGATGGGCTGAGTGCCAGTTCTATTAATACCCTCTGCTATTTTCTCTGTGAGAGTGGGGTTATTAGTGTGCTGTATAGACTTCCTTATTACCTGTTCATTGATAATTTTGTGCTTATGGTGTTCAACCATATGCCCCTGCCCCTTTTAGCAAAATGGGTATATATAGAAACAGAACATGTGTAGTTTATTTTTTTAGTTTTATCAGTTTCTGTTAATATTCTATTTTACTGGGAATGTTCTATCATATAGCCTGACTATTATTTTAAACAGAAATACCATAATCTCATCTGTGTTTTAAGAGAGAGACTTGCTGATCAGGTACATGATAGTTAAGGTTTTTTAATCAACCATATTCAAATATCATGCCTCATACTTTGTTCAAAACCTACCTTTCCCCCCAAAAAATTTTTAGCTATTATTAACTCCAAATTATTTAGTATAATGTATTATTTATACATAGAATGCACTGTGTCATATGATGGTCTAGTCTTTACATTCCAGCTGGGTGATTGTAAGTGTCTTGAGGTTGGAAGAGCAACCTCCTCATTCTTCGGGTGTCCCAGATGTTGAATACAGCTCTCTAGACATGATGTGGGTGTTGGATTCAGAAGCATTGGGGTCCAAATCCTGCCTTGACAATGTAGTAGTTATTTCATCTTTGCCAACTTAAAAATATCTTTGAAACTCAGTTCCCTTTTTTATAAAATGGTGTTAACAACACCTTGTTTATTGGCTTCTTATGTGATTAAATGAGATGAAGTAGACAGAGGAGGCAGCATAATACTAGACCTTCTTAGTAAGCATGTTCTCTTCCTCATTCTTCTTCATTCCCCTCCCTGCGACCCAGATCTGTGACTGTCTATCTCTGGTTCAAGGAAGGAAGGAGGTTTTCTAATAACCAGGTGTTTTTCTAAAAATATGTAGACCTAGAGAGCACATGTCTATGGAATTTGGAAGGAAGACTTCAGCAGATCCTTGCAGAATTATAACAACAAAGTTGTGCTTTTATATCATAGCCTTGAGTTTTAAGGAAGGTTAATCTCAGTTTCCACATGGAAACTATTTCTTCAATTGTTTTAGGACACTTCTTGTTCACTGTTTCCCATATAAGGTTCACGTGATACTTTTCTTTTAGAACTAGTTCCAGGAAGACTTTGTTTACTCTGGGGAACTGGTATTTTTTTCTCACTATGAGGATTATGTGATTTATGTGTTTTTCTTTTTCTCTGGCTTCTAGGAAACTCAAATTAAAAATTAATATTCAGTCATAGCAACTATCTTTTTTCTTATTGATCCTGATATTTTATTTCTTATATACTAACCTAATTATGTATATATGTAATATAAGATATTTTTCTGAATTAGCTCTTCAAACTTTCTTCACATTTTAATGAATACTTTAACAATCATCTTTTAACATGTAAAGAAGATGTCCAGTGATCATTAAGGATGTGTTTTACAGATGTTTTAAATTCCATTGTGAATAGAAAAAAATCACCTAAGTTAATATGATATTTTTAGAATAACATGCACACAAACTTTTTTTTTTTTTGCCGTGACTCATATGGTTTAGAAAAATAGTTTTTAAACATCTCCAAGGAAAAGAATGTAACTTGGCAATCACAATTGACAACAACATCTTCCAGGAACACGTGCCATCTAGGTCCACATGGTTTTAGAAAAGCACTGGGTAATTAAACTATCTTTAAGTTTTACTCTTAAATGTGATCATTATTCTAATATTCATTTGTGAGGAAATGAACACTTATAAAGCATTTGAGGATATGTGTATTCAAGTTTGTCCTCATCATAAATCAGTCTGATTTTGAACTCTGAAGGCTTAGAGACACATTATTTCATGGGAAGATGCTATAGTTTCAATGCCTGATGCTTGAGAGTTTTATTCTTTCCCTCAAATAGATTACTTTTTGTTGATATTATGTTCCGTCAAGTTGTAGAATTTGGAACAGAAGTCCACTTAAAACTTACCATTGTGCAGCTTAAGTTCACGACTTTGCAAGGGGCACATGAAAGGAAAGTCGTTTCACTCTTCAACTAGCCTCTTTAGAAATTTTCAGGGAATGAGAGTCTTCAGTGTCATAAATGTGGCAGTGATAATCAGCTTTTATTACACATGCTTTTTATATGTAGACTTGTTCTAAATATGGGAGGAGGGAGGGTAGGGACATGATAATTTAGAAGGAGGAGGAGAAAGTGAGTATACATTTGGTTACCTAGCCCTACCTTTGCCCAGCCTCCTTGACAACCAGGCTTTCAGCTCAAGTGGGGTTGTCTTTCCCCCAGAAACATCTCTGAGTTTACATATCTAAGTAAGTGTGGTCCCTTTCAAAGTGATTCCTCTTTAGGCACCACTCACTGATTGCTCATTTTTTGCAATATCTTGAGTGGTGCAAAGCGTATGTATTTATAGAGTGGATTTGAATTGGTGGAAGCAAGTCATTTAGAGTTAACTATGGTGACTCATGTAGGTAACCAACCCAGGTAAAAATAATTTCTATTTAAACACAACATGCACATAAACTATAATAAGAAATAGCTACAAAACACTAGGAATGACTTCCTTTTGGAGCTTTTGAACTGATATTTGGGAATTTCAGAAATGCACAATGAAAGCATTGCTGCAACAAGTTCACCTTTTTGAAAAAGACTCAGCTGTACATGTAAAATTTAGTGTATTACATCAGGTACATTTTTAAATTGTGCTTTATTTATAATGCACCCAGCCTTGAGTCTCAGGCCCATGTTTCTTGCTGAACAGGGCAAGCCTTAGGAACAAAGAAATGGGCTCTGTAGTGTGAGGAAAATCCTGTCTCCAAGTATCTCCTACAGTGGACTAGAGTCTTTTGAAACCTAAAGGCTGTTTTCTGATTAAGAATCTTCTTTTTAATGAACATAACCCTGAAAGATATTATATTCTAAGATATACCTAAGATGTATCCTAAGATATTCTAAGATATACAATATAAGTACCCAGAGAAGAACAGTGACTTATAAATACACTAACAAAGCGAAAGAGTACTGCAGCAATCAATCAATCAGCCATCAATTATTTAATAATTATTGAAACTCTACCATGTCCCAAGTATTGCTCTTGGCATTGGGAGTACAAAGATGAAAGAAATGCAAGCCCTCATGAAGCTTAATGTTTACTGAGATCTGAAAATTATAGTACAAGTTAGGTGAAGTGAGAGATGGAGGCAGAAGGAGCATATTATAGGCGCTCAGGGCATGGGCACTAAGAGGGAAGAGTGAAGGCTCTGGAATATTTTTTCTATATTTTATCATGTATAGAGCGAGGAGGCAGTTCAGTGTATCCTGGTAGCCGCTTTCCTCATGGTGACCAGGACGTTGTTCAGCTCCTCTCACCTCCGCTTGGCATGGCTATGTGTCCCCACCCTTTTCTTGGTGAACCTGGCAGTACTCTTGTCCTTGGAGACCTTGAGCTCCATGATGTGTCACTCTTATAGGATGAAGCTGCATGCTCCTTGGATCATGTCTCACTTGAATTCTGAGTGCTTGGTGAGGTGTCTGCAGTGGCAGCTGTGCCTTGGCTTATGCTCTTGGTCACCTTGTGGCCCTATTGAGTCCTATGGCCATGGGATAGCACAGAGCCATGACTGCCATGCTTCAATGGCTGCTGTCACAGAAGCTCTGAGAGATGTTTTTATTCTTTGTTTTAAGCTACGCCTTGTACCTGTACAACAGTCTCCACATGGACCCATCCCATGTCATAAAATGTGCTGGCTGTCAGGACTTTTCAGGCCCTCCTCTTGTGTAATCAGCATTGTTGTCCTGTCACACAGGGCCTTTTTTGAAAGGATGACTGATGAGTGGGGGTGACAGGGAAAGAATGGCCTTTGACTCTGGCCAGGGCTGCTTCTCCAAGTAAACCCAGCCACAGTGACAGGTGAGGTGGGAAAGAAACATTTTATTTGTGACCCATGTGTCCTAATTTTCTCCTTAGTGTGAGAAATTTTTGCTTTCCTTGGAAGGTGACCTGTGAGCTTGCTTATTTTAAAAACTGCAACCTGTGAGGAGAGAGGGTGTTCTTTCACAACATTACATCATTGAAGCCTCTAGGTGTTGAGTCATCATTATTTTTAGGCAGCTCCATGCTTTTTTTGGTTGTTCTAAGAATAGCCCCTGTGTCTGGACTCTACAGAAAGTCACCACAGTAAAGATTCTGTCACCACTCAGCAGTTGGGATAGGATGCCTTCTTAATTTTCAAGCTCAAGGCATACTTTTTAGAATTTTACTTGTAAACATTCTGCCTTTCTAGGTTTTTCCTGAGACGATTGACTTTGTCAGGAGCTGTCACTTGAAGTTGTTCAACCCTTTGTCAAAAGTACTTATAGCTGGAAACAACAACTGTAACAACAACAAAGTTTGAAGTCCTCCCTAATAAAAGTTTCCTTATTATCTGCACTCAATGTACATTTGGTTTGTGAACACCTTAATCAGTGACTTTACCCAATTTTTAAACATTTCAAGACATATTTTCATGCCTTGTATTTTATAAATTAAGTGACTATAGATCCCTTATTTTAGGATATGGGGTGGGAGTGATGCTCTTGGAATTTATGCAGGATCTGCTAAAAGCAGCCAAAACACATGTTATTATACCATGTTAAACTAAATAAGCATCTAAACTGTAAACTGTATTGGAACTTGATGGCAGGGCATTAAAAAGGATTGAGCAAGCCCAGAAATGGAACATTATGGGTCAATGTGGAGGCTCGTTTTCCTATTGCCTGTTCAGGGCATACACCCAAATAGGATCAATTTATTTTACGTGGCACTTTCAAGCCCGTAAGAGTACTAATGGCTTCTGAGTATAACCAAATGCTTTTCCAACTGAAGCATAAATGGAAGCATCTGCTTGGAAAAAAATGAGGCAGTTGTTTAATGTTATAGTGTCTGGAGATGACAGACAACAGTCACATAATCTGTGTCTACATGTGACTGAAGGCATTGGTGCCTACTGGGAAGGCTGAACTTTCTTTTGAGTTACTGGTACTTTGGAGGGGTTGGTTCTGTTTTTATTATCTAAGAACTCAAGCCTCATCCCCACAAGGGTCATTCTGTCTCTAATTAGGGAAATGATATAGCAGAGTGATTGAGAGAGAGAGGGCCTTAGCATCTATCAGTCTAAGTCCAAAACCAAATTCCACTGCTTATTAGTTGTGCGACCATAGGCAGTTTATTTAACCTTTCTAAACATCAATTTCCTCACCTGTAAAACAGCATCAAGTAACAGTATTGACCTCATAGGTTTCCTGTAAGGATATAAGTGATATAGTCAATGATGTCTTGATCCTAGTTAACTGTAACTATTGGCTAGGAATAATAATAGTTTCTGCCCATCAGTCTGATCTGCATCTTGCATCATTTAAAACTCATGGGACTCTGGGCCCGGCACGGTGGCTCATGCCGATAATCCCAGCAGTTTGGGAGGCCAAGGCAGGTGGATCACCTGAGGTCAGGAGTTCGAAACCAGCCTGGCCAACATGGAGAAACCCCGTCTCTACTAAAAATACAAAAAAATTAGCCGGGCATGCTGGCACGCGCCTGTAATCCCAGCTACTCGGGAGGCTGAGGCAGGAGAATTGCTTGAACCCAGGAGGTGGAGGTTGCAGTGAGCCGAGATTGTGCCACTGCACTCTAGGCTGGGCAACAAGAGCAAAACTCCATCTCAAGAAAAAGAAACCTGTTGGGACTCTTGCTTCCCTTGCCTGTGGTTGCTGCATAACGCACCAAAGAGCAACTCTGGTCAACTGCCATTGTCTAGTCTCACTACCCTCAGAAGAACTTCTAAATCCAGATGGGGGAGCAGTAAGCCAGATGAGTACCTTCTGAAATCTGAGCACATATGTTTATTCACAAGAACTAGCCCAGAAGAAAGTGCATTTTCTATCTCCCCTGCGTACAGAGTCTTGAACAGCTACACATTTCCTTACTGTACCAATAAATTGACAGTCTTTTGTCTTCATTTCTCCAGTGCTCACTAGAAAGTTCCATTTTCCTTTATGTTTGATGTATAGTTACAAAGACTAGATGCAGTCACTTGGCAATTCCATTCATATGCCTCCATGTGAAGCCTGATAAGTGTTGGACTTGTAGTTGGTACAGCATCCTTAGAAGTTTTCTGAAAAGACAAGTCAGTTTTGCCTTCCTGTTTTGCTTTCCATTCTGTCGTTGCATCAGTTCCTAAAGAAAACTGGATTGGTTGACCAAGCCTTCTTTGTGAGTAATTAAAGGCATTTCAAATTTTAATTTCAGGAAACAAAAGTCTACTGAATAGAAGATACATTCCTCTGCGGGTGCTTCATTCTTGCTAATGGCAAATTTTGAGTATTCGTTAATTGTGATTGGCAATTTAAGCAGGTCCAATTACTTTAGAAGGAATTAACATTTGCATGGGAAAGAGAAGGTAAATGAGAACAGAGCCCTTTAAAATCTGAATATGGTTTTTAAAATATATTCATTAAGTACTTTGAGAATTTTACTTAGAAGACTCTTCACTTAATCCAAGCACATTTCTTTCTGAAGAAAATAGTGCAGGAAGCATCATAGCAAAATAGCCACATGAAAAGTGACAGTTCTCTGGAAGAGAAACATCATTATAAAGAGAATTTGAATTCATATGAATGACTTTATTACACTTAATGTTTTATATGATTAAAGGAGTTATTTCAAAAAATAATTCTTTAGGGAATCCTATATAATCACTGTAGACAGAATGATAGCCAATAGCATACATGGTAACCTTTTAAAAATCTCTTTTGGCACAGGTTGTCATTTGTATAATACTAATTATTGCTGGGCACAAAGTGAGAAGATTTATATTCCAATCTATATAGAAGGCCATCATGAATAAATAATGCATCGCAACGACATATTTAATTGTCAGAGACTTTGTTGCCAGAAATATAACTAATATGGGAGGTGCACAACTTCTCATGGCACAATCTCATTCAGGGTTTCTCCACTTCAGAATTACTGACGTTTCTGACTGATAATTCTTTGTGTGCGGGCTGCCCTGTGCCATGTAGGATGTTTAGTAGTATCCCTGGCCTCTACCCACTGGCTGACAGTATGCCATTCCCCATCATGAATACCCAAAATGGCCCCAGACATTGCCAGATGTCCCCTGGGGGGCAAAATCACCTTGCTTGAGAATCACTGGCCCAGTTGATGGTTTCAAACTACAGATGAGAGGAGTTGCCTGGGCATTTCTCAATAATCTGTTCTAGGACCTCATCTTAGGATAAGAATCTCCTGGGGTGGGTCTCTAGAAGAAGCATGAAGAAAAGAAAGTTATAATCCCATTCTCTACATCTCATTCTGAGTTCTTTTCTTTCCTCCATTCTAAATGAGGAGGCTGCAGTTCTTCAAGTCCTCTCTTTATGAGCTGCTTTGGGGCAGTCTGTGCTTAGTGACATGGAGGCTCCCATAAGCAGCCCTCCAAATATTCCTTCCTCATTCCAAAAAAAACTGTCATGTAAGGTCTCCCCAGAGTGTTTCTGCATGGGCCTCAGGAGACCTGTCTCTGAGTTTGCTTCACAGACACCTCTCCCTCAGCTGCCACCATTACTGCACCCACTCTCAGGACACCAGAAATTGTGGGATTCAGACCAAGGAGAAGTTTTGTTTTGAGATAATTTGTTTGTGGAGTTACCATTGGATTGGTTACCCAGATGGTTAGGCTCAGCACTTTTATCACTGTGGTAATATTCAGTATCCTAGGAAAAGCAGCTATCTTTGTGAGGCACATAGTGTGAATGGAACCTAAAGAAAGGTGACACAGGCATACTGGGCAATCAGCACATTGGTCAGAGGGAGTAAATTTTAAAGTACCAATGATAAATTAATTACCATATCAAATCACATGAAAGTCTTGTGCCAGGTTTGTATAGGCAGTCTGTGTTATTGGTGCCATTTTGTAGTTATACCCAGTAATATGCTGAAGTGGGCACTTACCCGCTCCACCAATTGTGTGCAGCATTTAACAACATGGATTAAATTGGCCATGGGAGTACTAACAACATGGAAATGAACAAACTATAAATCAGGCTTGTTTGTTTTCCTAGAGTATTAGTTTCCTATTTAACTAATTTAAATTAAATTCCTAACAATTTACCACAAGCTTAGTGTTTTAAAGCAATGCAAATGTATTATCTTAGAGTTCTGGAGGTCGGAAGTCCTAAAATCTAGGTGTCAGCAGTCATGTATTCCTTCTGGAGGCTCTTGAGAAGAATCCATTTCCTTGTCTTTCCAGCTTCTAGAGGTTGCCTGCATTCCTTGACTTGTAGCCCCTTCCTCCAACTTCAAAGCCAACACTGTAAATCTTAATATTTCACTACCCATCTCTTTGACTTCTGCTTCCAATAACACACCTCCTTCTCTGAGTCTGATCCTCTTGCCTCCCTCTTGTAGCTTTGTGTTACACCTGGATAATCCAGAATAATCTTCTCATTTTAAAGTCCTTAATGTAATCGCATCTGCAGTGTTTCTTTTGCCTTGTAAAGTAATGTATTCACAGGTTTCAGGGTTTAGGGCATGGATATCCTTGGTGGGACTCGGGTAGGAGTGAGGGTGAATTGTATTATTCTGTCTAACACCTGCTGAGAGCTGCTAACCAGCATACCACTGGTTATACTATACTGTATATGGCAGTTTCTCTGAATTTGGGAGTATAGGCCGATCTGAGGACCATATGTAGACTAACATCTTTTCTCTTCTACAGTTTACTCCCTACTGCCTGATTTTCAGCATTCTAAAAAGGATCACTAAAATTTGATATTATATTCCTGATTATTATTGTTGTTAACATAATTTCTTATGACACATAGAGGTAAAAAAGTTATTCACCCAAAGCCATGCAGAGATGCTCATAAGTTTTTAATTGGTGAGCCAAGGGAAGGCTCCTCCTCTTCCAAAAAAAGTAAAATAATAATGTACTTAAAGATTCAGGAATGATTTTGTTAAAAATGTTTCCAAAAACATTCTTATGTTTTCAGGTTTATAGTGAATATGTGTCTTGACTATTACAAAGTGGCATATACCCCACTTTCTGGAGTCAGATGTACTACCATTGTGCCACGAGGTCACATATATCCCACCTTCTTATTATTAAATTGTGAAACCTCAAAATCAGATAAGCTGCCTCCCTCAGCTAAGTTGCTTATCATCACAAATAGGGATTTTTGAGTTGCTAATATCTTCGGCATGTATTAATTATCTAATTATGATGCAATTTGACAGTCAGTGAACACGTTGGCCAAGTCTGCTGGTAACTGGTGATTTTCATGTTTCATGTTTAGAAACAGCATTGCTTCTAAAGATATTGATGACTTTTGATGAAGCACACCAAATTATTTATTTATATATTTATATATAAAGCTAAAGATAGGCCGGGTGTGGTGGCTCACACCTGTAATCACAGTGCTTTGGGAAGCCGAGGCCAGCAAATCACCTGAGATCAGGAGTTCGAGACCAGCCTGGCCAACATGGAGAAACTCCATCTCTACTAAAAATACAAAGTTAGCCAGGCATGGTGGCACATGCCTGTAATCCCAGCTACCCGGGAGGCTGAGGCAAGAGAATTGCTTGAACCAGGGAGGCAGAGGTTGTGGTGAGCCGAGATTGCACTATTGCACACCAGCCTGGGCAGCAAGAGAAAAACTCCATCTCAAGAAAACAAAACAAAACAAAACAAAACAAAAAACCCCCAAAACACTAAAGCTTACACAAAATAGTTATTATGGTAAATTAAACCTTTATAAGCTGATACTAAGTGCAGTTAAAGTTTGTAACTACAACTTATAAATCATCTTAAAGAACATTGTGTAATTCATTAGTAGGAAAATAGGGTAACAAAGTAATGAAGATAATTTATTGTAAGCCTTCTATCTTAGTCACAACATTTTTGTCTCCATATTTGATCTTCAATATATCCAATTTTGAATGGAATTGTCATGCTTTTGACATATAAACATACGGATGTAGTTTCCAATACAAAGTCAATACATATCAGGGCCTTTTCTCCCTATTTGAATTTGAAATGAAATGAAATTATTCTGATACTGGGAAAAGAGAAATCCCTAATCAGATTGTTAATCGTCAGATAATATACTGGGCTTCATAAACCAATGGACACTCTAGAGCATGATTTTTTTCTTTCTAACTTTAACTTTTGAATAAATGTTGGGTTAAAGTTAAAGGAAGCTAGCCAATAAATGTTTTGTTGTTTTATTTATGTGAGGACTTTTATGTGTGCACTTCCTGTGGAGTTAGAGAACAATTTTTAGTGTCACATAGGTCACTTGGAGCATCTCTAGGAACAAATATTTGAGTCGTTCAGATGCCTGTGTGTGCCATGGAAGCATTAGAATCACCTCTAGTATTCATCGTTGTTGAGTGCTGACCAAAACAAGGAGCGGACTTCTATTGTTTTTCCCTGAATGAATTTATTGAGGACTATGTGTTAGATAATGACCTTGCCATGTTATTTTTTTCTCTAGAGGTTTTCATTAGCATTTAAAAGCAAGTTGGGGCCAGGCATGTGGCTCACACCTGTAATCCCAGCACTTTAGGAGGCCGAGGTGGGAGGATTGCTTGAGCCCAGAAGGTGGAGGCTGCAGTGAGCCGTGATTGTGCCACTGCACTCCAGCCTCAGCAGCAGAGCCAAGACCTTGTCTCAAAAAATAGTTTTTTTTTTTAAAAATACAAATCTTCCATGATATATTAAATTCAACCAGGAAAATGAAACACACACACACACAGACACACACATGCATGCACACACAATGCTGGGAAGATAATCAACGAGGAAGAAATCGTTTAGCTGTTGCTTGAACTTTCCAGCAGAAAGTTCCTCCAAGAGCACCTCCTGCTTCCATATTCTGCTTCTGTCTTCATTCATTAATTATTTACATCAACCATATTCTTCTCTGCCAGAGATCATTTTCCTGATTGATGGCATCTGGGGTTCTCTACGCAAAAGTATTTTAAAAGCTGTTTCAGGGAAAATCATTTTTTTCTTATTCCTCATCTCTCAATTTTTAATAACTCTTAGAACCTACAGCTAATAGCCTCTCTTAGTTGCCTGTCTGTTGTTTCCTATTTTGTATTCTTGATACACATGTGCTGGGAATCTGCTATTGTACATACCTTTGAAGAAACCAATTTGCTATTGTACATAACTTTGAAGAAACCAATCTTTTATTTCTCAGTGAGAATGTATAAAAGTGAAATCACACCTATGGAAAATCCACATTCCCGATGAGAAGGCAAATCTTAAAATTGGGAGGACTAGGAGGATTGAATTAAATTATAAAAGTGAGTGCATTTTCACTCATATATTCCTCTTATTTCCCTCTTCATTCTCCTCCTAAGCAATCTCATCCAAACCTTTAATTGCCACCTGTACACTAACAACTATGAACATTCTACCCCTGATCCAAGCAGCCTCTCTGAGGTAGGTAACTGATGTCTCCTCTTGATGTCTCATGATATAGAAAGCCATCTGCTAACCAGGTCTCCTTCCATTATTTCTTGTATTCCTGAACCAAACCACCCTACATCCAGTTTTTCCACTCAGAAGCTCTCCTTCTCCCTCACCCAATCATTCTGTAGCTAATCCTGATGATGTTACGTCCTAAATATCTCTCCTATTTGACAGCTCACTTTTATCCCTGCTCCAAGCTTCAGGCATCTCTCATCTCGACTATTGCAGTTGTCTCTGTCTTGGTCTGCGACTGGTCCTCTCTTGCTGTTCTTCAATGCATTTCACTTTGAAGCTTGAAGTGCTTTAGTTTTTTGGTTTCAAAGCTCAAATATGGTATGTGTAAAACCCACCCAAAGCTTCCCATTCCTTTCAGGATGAAGGTCAGTATTCTTAGCCTGGCCTTCAAGGTCAACCTACCTCAAGGCTTTTCCTTCACTCCTGAGTCTTCTGTCTCCAGCCATGCTAACTTTCTCTCCTTCTTTGAGTTTACAACTGTTGTCATATTCCCAGGGTCTTTGCATGTGCTGATTTATCTGCCATATACACTGCCAGCCGCATCCCTCCTGTGCCAGTGCAAGACCTCGTTAGTTCCTCTGGGATACACTTTTAGAGTGCTGTGCTTCTTTCCTTCAGAGCGCTTATCTCAGCATGAATGATCCATTTCTTTATGTGATTGTTAACTAACATCTTCACATTAGACCCTAGGGTCCATAAGGGCAAGAACGTACCTGCCCTAATGACCATTCTCTAGCACCTGGCACAGTGCCTGGCATATAATTTGTTGAAAAAAAATGAATACAATACCTTTTAGGGATTCCTTCAGATTCTGCTTGTACTGATAGAGACGTTTCATATGGAACCTATTTCTCTCAGAAATTAAAACGTTGATAACTCTCAAGATAATATTTTCCTTCTTCAGTGTAATAACCAAGAAAACTGAAGAGTACTCTGCAGTCTACCAAGAAGTTTGTGAGTTATTTGACCCTTACAGCAAATGTGCAAGGTAAAAGATGCAGAGTTCTGTAGTAATTTGCTGATATTCACATAGATCTATCATAGGTGGGACTGGAACCCGTATCTTTTGGCTTCGAGTTAAAATGCCTCTGTTGTGCAAAGCTGCCTCTAAAGTGGCAAGTTCAGAGTACACCCTGTAAAAGTGTTTATACAATTCTATTCATTTATATCTAGCATACTGTGTTCCCCTATATTAAGTGGGATGCTTTAGGTGCATTTCTGTGAAGGACTCTGGTTTCTATACTTTAGGTGCATTTCTGTAAAGGACTCCTGGATCACCCCTTTTGCCCCTACTACTTACACTGTGGTTTATCTTTTAAAACAATTATACATGTGATTAATATCATAAGCTCTTGCTTAATTGATTACCTGATATTATCTCTGAGGCTGAGGTCATCTACCTTTTACCTTCTACATATTTACATTCCTGTTTTAGATATGACACATTGGCCATATGAATTTACTCTCATTCCTAAAAGTAAAAATATAACAAGGTATAAACCATGGTAGAAGAGAATAGAGAGAAGATATCACCTGTCAAGAGATTTTAACACATTTTGAGAAGAAAGCAGATGGAGGAATGGCAACTAATT
The DNA here is from genome assembly GCF_000001405.40 of Homo sapiens. Classification (NCBI taxonomy): domain Eukaryota; kingdom Metazoa; phylum Chordata; class Mammalia; order Primates; family Hominidae; genus Homo; species Homo sapiens. Next base: position 46,428,807 of record NC_000006.12, on the reverse strand, counting down.
TAGCAGAGTGGAAGGAGCTTTCAGCTAAATTGCCTCCATGAGGGAGAATATATTAAAAAAACAAGCCCTCAAAAGTTCTGAGAGTTCTGGGACATCAGGTACAGGGAAGAGAAGGTACAGGAAGGTGAGCTTCATGGTTGGAAAGACAGAGATATAGTGAAAATTTAGCCATGCTCCTCTGTCCTGGGCCCTGAATATCCAAAGCATGATGATTACTTTCCAGGTCAGAGACTGGAGATTCTTCTCTGGAAATTCTAAGCCATTGCTCCAAAGAAAATCCCAGTCAGATCATTTATTTATTCATTTAGCAGATATTTATTGAGTTCCAACTATGTTTACTGTTCAAAGTACCATGAATAATGCATAAACTATACCATTACTCATGGTGCATATCATCTCATGGAGAGAAATGATGAACACATAAAAAAATACATAATGTGATTTTCAGTGGGAATAAATACTACAAGGTGACGCTGCTGTGGTGAGGGACTTTTTTTTTGGCATCATTCTTATATTCTTTGATCAGGGAGTAAAAATATTTGGCAGAACGAGTACTCCCTAGCCCCAGTGAATCTTCACTTACCTCTCATTGGCTGGTACCCTTAGATGCAAAAGAGCCTGGAAAAACAAGCATCTATCTGAGAGGAATAGGACAACCAGGCCTAGCTTAGCCCTAACAGATTCATCCTGTAGCTGAAATGTGGTCCTAGCTTAGCCCTAACAGATTCATCCTGTAGCTGAATTGTGGTCCTAGCTTAGCCCTCACAGATTCACCCTGTAGCTGAATTGTGGTCCTAGCTTAGCCCTCACAGATTCATCCTGTAGCTGAATTGTGGTCCTAGCTTAGCCCTAACAGATTCATCCTGTAGCTGAAATGTGGTCCTAGCTTAGCCATAACAGATTCATCCTGTAGCTGAAACGTGGTCCTTAGTAAATCAAGGCTCTCATCAAGGGAGAAGAAAGAAATCACTTATGTGGAATCAACAGACAATGTCTGCCATAAACTTACGCTTGGATTGCTTGAAAGTTTGAATTGTCTATCTGTTGGTTTCTCTCGTTTCTTTTGAAAATGCAAAGCCCTCTGATGGTTGTATGTCAATACAGCTATATTGCATGCGAGGTCATGTGACTCAGAATCCGGGTTAAGAGAGCAGGATGTCAGAAAGCAATGAGAATGTTCATTAGTGTATTAATCTGATAGGTATGTCATTATTTATTTACTCAATACACATTTTACCCAGTCTTGTTATGCCCCAAGCCCTTGAGAAACAATTAGATGAAAGATAGTTGCTAAATTTGTTGAGTTCTGAACACTATATTCCTGGCATGATTTTAATTATTTTACATGTATAATCTTATTTAACTTTAATAACTATGCAATGGGAAAGGTACTAATACTTACATCCATTTACTGATGAGGAAATTGAAGGTCAGTAACTAACTAATCCAAGGTCAACTAGGGATGTGGGCCTAAAAGGTCTGTTTCTAAAGCCCATGCATGTAACCAGTAAGCTGGACTGCTGAGAAGAATAAATAACAGTTCCTATGGCACACTAAGTGAACAAAGTAAGAGATGATAATGTGGTTTTTAAGGTATTAACTGTATAGTTTTTATAAGGATTCATATAATTTTCCTAAAATTTTGTTTTACATGGGTCATTCTAAATTCCAGTTATTCAAAACATTTAAAATTATTTCAGAGATGCAGAAAACTATCCTGATAATATAGACCCCTCTCTTACCCTCCTAATAAGACTCTTTCTTCCATATTATTCCCAATGACCCTAGGAGGGAGGATCATTGTTATCTGCCTTCTATTTAGAGAAGCAAAGTAACTTTCTTGAGGTCACATATTTAATAAGTTAGTAAAAGGATTCACATACAGGTTTGCTACTTAAACCCTATCCTCTACTTGCTAAAAGTCTGCCAGAGTTCAAATCTCATCTCTACCACTTGCTAGCTGTGTGACCTTGAGCAAGTTACTTAAACACTCCATGCTTCTCTCTGTGTTATACTCTTTTTAAGTGTATAAGTGGGCTTTTCACAGCACAGTTTTATTGAACACCTGATCTGTTTACACAGTAGATGTTCAGTAAAAAATACCTTCTTCTTTACCCATGAATTTATGTTTTATTTCCCCTTCTTGTATGCTAGATCTGTTTTGTATCATGAAGGCATTTTAGTTTTTCATTCTAAGATTTAGGGCTCATTCATTTACCTGTATGTATTTGCATAGCCAGCTGTTCCTCTCATTCAAAAATATCTATGGAATACAGTGTTCAGCTGCCTACTATTTTCCCATGCAGATTAATTAAAGTGATTAGTACTAAAAGCGGTAAAATTGCTTGTCTTTTTAAAAACTGCTTGATGATGAAAAGAATTAACATTTATCCAAAAATTCCTGTGTCTTTAATAATAATTTTATTACAGGAACACTGAAAGTAAAACCTAGAGAAGGTCTATTATACATAATGAAATGCAATTGTGAAATCATTTTATCTATGTTTAGAAACATTCTGCGAAAATATTCATTTAAAATAGCAATAAAAGAATAATTAAATTTCTGTGGGAAGGAAATGTTAACACACCTTTTAAAGAAGTAATCAGTCAGCTGGGCATGGTGGCTCATGCCTGTAATCCCAGCACTTTGGGAAGCTGAGGGGGGTGGATCATCTGAGGTCAGAAATTTGAGACCAGCCTGACCAACATGGTGAAACCCTGTCTTTACTGAAACTACAAAAATTAGCTGGGCATGGTGGTGGGCACCTGTAGTCCTAGCTACTCAGTAGGCTGAGGCAGGAGAATCGCTTGAACCCGGGAGACAGAGGTTGCAGTGAGCCAAGATTGTGTCACTGCACTCCGGCCTGGGTGACAAGGTGAGACTCTGTCTCAAAAAAAAAAAAAAAAAAAAGAAAGAAAGAAGTAATTAGCCTCTATCTGAACAAACTTCCAGAGTTAAAGCTATTGCGAAGTGAACCACTGAGAAATATTTAATGTATAATTGTAATTGAGAAGTTAATTTTATCTCATAAGGATGGCTGAGCTTCTGAAGATCAAGAATTAAGATTTTGATATATGCTGTTTTTTTTAAGGTAAGTAGGCACATAAATTATAACTCAAGGAACTAATCATAGGTGTTCACATTTTATGTAGTTCCAAACTGTAATTTAATTTTTTCAGCTTCTGATTGTAGAAAATGAGCAAGAAGACATCAGCAGAGATAGGAGAATAAATTAAAATATCTTTTTTTAAAAAAATTCTTACATCAGTCTAAATATATCTTCACTAGAATACAGTTACCAAAGTATAGTCTGATAATTCCTGGGGGTTACTAAGATCCTTTCAGGGATCTGTGAAGTTAACCACAATATTAAAAGTGGTAAAATGTTACCTCTTTTTAGGTACAAGGATGTTTTTGCCTTTTTCACTTATATTCTCACATAGGTGCACAGTGGAGTTTTCTAGAGGCTGCATGATGTGTGGTGATGTCATTGCTCTGAGGACTAATGGAATGAGCTTTTGTGCATTCCTGTGCTTTAAAACTTTGCTCAAATTTTTAATACAGTAAATACACACTGATATAATCCACATAAATGAAAGAACTTTGGTGTCCTCAATAATTTTTAAAAGCATAATGGATCTCTAAGACCACAAAGTTTCAGAGCCACTGCTCTAGAATAAGATCGCTCCTGGTGGATGACAGGATCATCTTGCAAGAGCTGTTGACATCCAGCCTGTTGAAGAAAGGGGACCACATGCATGCCTGAGGAGTCTAATTTTCTCTGTCAAGATCATTACTTGGTATGTATTATACAATTATTTGTTCCTGGCTAGAACAAAAGCTCCATGAGGGTAAGGGCTTTTTGACTGCTTTGTTCACCACTCTATGCCCAGGGCTTATAACAGTATCTAGCACGCCCCCAATATGCATTTGTTTAAATTTGAAAGCATTGATTAAAATCTAAGACATTGAAATATTTAACTGTTTACTATGTGCTAACCTTGTTATATATATTATCTATAGTATTCCCAGAATCCCTGGGTGGAAGATACATTATCTCCATTCTGTTTAAGGAAGTGAAGTAACTTGTCCCAGGTCACACAGTCTGTCAGGGGCAGCCTAAGGACTCACACATTGCCGCCTCTGCTCCATTGGCTCCTTGAGGCCAGATAAGTAGGGGTGTGTGGCAGATATCACAGATCTAAGGAGTTCGGTATAGAGGGGTCAACTCATTTGGAAGAAAACAACAGTGCATTCTAGGGATAGGTGCAGACAAGCAGAATCTGATGCAAAGGAAGTCAGGGTCAGAGAAGAAGAACTGGAGGATGGGTTGGTAAACTGAGTCCATGACAAAGGCAGGTCACTTTCTGGCTTGTTTTATGCCCTTTGCTTCAGAGGCAGGACACCCTAGTGATTAAGATGGGAGGATTGGAGTTTGTCTGCTGGGATTTGAGTCCCAGTTCTACTTGCTTGCTGTGTAATGTCTGGTTAGTTGCTTAAGCTTTCTGTGCTTCAGTTTTCTCATGTGTAACATGAATGTGATGATAATATTCCCACTTACCTTGTGGGATTGTTTTGAAATTAAGTGAATTGATAATATTTGGATAGTCCTTAAAATGGTGCCATGCTCTTACTAAGTTCTATATAAGTCTATGTAAGTACGAGCAGTTATTTTATTGGAAATTGTCAGGGGCTCATGAAACTTCCTTGTAAGTAAAAGGGATGAACCAGGTTTCAGTGGAGTCAGAGGCAGGGCTGCTGGGATGGTGGTACAGAGTGGTTAGCTCGCAGGTTCGAGAACCACACTTTTGCCACACTTATTGGCTGCGTGTTCTTGGGTTAGTTACCTAACCCTTTTGTGCTTTAGCTTCCTTCTATGTAAAATAGAGAAGACAAGAGGGCTGATGTGATTGAATTATGTGAAGTAGTAAGTTAATGAATATAGACTGTTTAGAGAAGTACCTGGACCGTGGTATGTGGTATACTCAATGTAGTTCTTACTGCATCATCAGATTATGCCTTCAGTGATTGGAAAAGGAAGTTCAGTCTAATCTCAGAAATCAAAGATGTGGCAAAAATTGTAACTATCTAAGACAATAGGATTTAAAATGTGATAATCAGATCACAATAAAAACAATGAGATAATAAGGTACCCATAATTAAATTACAA